>NC_000005.10:160003748-160306778 GCF_000001405.40 Homo sapiens
TAAATTTAAAAACTGATATTCAATTCAGTTACTGGGAAGTATGTTTGAAAAAACTTACATATATGAATCAATTTTTTAAAATATAGATTTTATGAAATGTGAATGCAGACTCAAGTATTTTTGATGAAAATTTGATGTCCAAATTGAGATACACTATAAAATACACACATGATCCCAAAGACTTAGTAAGAAAAACAGAATGTAAAATAACTTGTTACAGCTGGGCACGGTGGCTCACACCGGTAATCCTAGCACTTTGGGAGGCCAAGGCAGGCAGGTCACCTGAGGTCAGGAGTTCAAGAGCAGCCTGGCCAACATGGCGAAACCCCGTCTCTACTAAAAATACAAAAAATTAGCTGGGCATGGTGGTGCATGCCTGTAATCCCAGCCACTCAGGAGGCTGAGGCAGGAGAATCACTTGAACCCAGGAGCTGGAGGTTGCAGTGAGCTGAGATCGTGCCACTGCCCTCCAGTCTGGGCGACAGAATGAGTGAGACTCCGTCTCAAAAAAAAAAAAAAAAAAACACTTGATAAACATTTTTATATTCATCACATGCCCAAAGGATATTTTAGACATATTTGATTAAATAAAACATTAATTGCATTTAATAATAGTAAATATTAAATTAATTTTACTTATTTTACTGTTTTTAATGCCGATACCAGGAAATTTAAAATTTGACCAGGTATAGTGGCTCACACCTATAAGCCCAGCACTTTGGGAGGCCAAGGCTGGAGGATACCTTGAGGCCGGGAAATCAAGACCAACCTGGTAAAAATAGCAAGACCCTCTCTCTACAAAAAAAAAAAAAAAAAAAAAAAGAGGCACGATGGCATCCGCCTGTAGTTCCAGTTGCTTGGGAGGCTGAGGTGAGAGGATGGCTTGAACCCAGGATGTCAAGGCTGCAGTGAGCTATGATTGTGCCACTGCACTACAGCCTGGGTGACAAGAGTGAGACCCTGTCACAAAATAAAGTAATAAAATATGTGTGGCCCAGTACAGTGGCTTATGCATGTTATCACAGCATTTTGGGAGGCTGACATGAGAGGATCACTTGAGGCCAGGAGTTTGAGGCTGCAGTGAGCTAGAATTATGCCATTGCACTCAGCCTGGGTGACAGAGTGAGATCCTGTCTCTAATAAATAAATAAATTACATATGTGGCTGACATTGTATTTCTATTGGGCATGCTGATCTAAGGGAAAACAAAAATGTAGACATAAATGCACAGGATGCTAATTCTTGATTATGTCTCATCAGAAATTTTAATTCAAAGATTGGAACTGGGAAAAAATAAGAAACAAAAGCATGTTTTGGAAACACTGTAGGAATGCATAATCTACATCATAATTATTTATTTATTTTTATTTTATTTTATTATATATTTTGTTTGAGACAGAGTCTCACTTTGTTGCCCAGGCTGGAGGGCAGTGGCGTGATCTCAATTCGCTGAAACTTCTGCCTCCCAGGTTCAAGCGATTCTCGTGCCTCAGCCTCCCGAGTAGCTGGGATTATAGGCCTGTGTCACCACATCCAGCTAATTTTTGTATTTTTAGTAGAGACAGGGTTTCACCATGTTGGCCAGGCTGGTCTCAAACTCCTGGCCTCAAGCAATCCTCCTGCCTCCGCCTCCCAAAGTTCTGGATTACAGGCATAAGCCGCCATGCCCAGCCTTATTTATTTTTATATACATCTCATTCTCAAGGAGTTCTTTTAGCATCCCTGACTGTTCCTGGATTTTAGACCCTCCTTTGGCAAGCTCAAGAAGCTCAGTCCCGGGGAAACAGAGAGAATGGAGCTCAGGACTTAGAGGGTCCCAGAATGTAAGGTTTTATCCCCAAAACCAACTGGGCTCAATACAACTGATTAGGTGATGGACATGTGTCATTAAGAAACCACTGACCTGCTCCCCCCCAAAAAAAAAAAAGAGGGAAACTGATTCTTTTGCTACTTTCTTGATTTATTGCTATACCCACCACTGGACCTAGTATGATGCCTAGCATTTATTCATTATTCAATAATTTATGTTCAGCACTGATTCTTTCAACAAACTTGGGTGCTCAGTTCCCTATCTGGGGGGTGTGAATGAAACCTTCACAAATATTGCCACTATTAATAATAGTAGTAGTATTCATTAACATAGTAATAATAAAATCACTATTAGTAATTAATCATAATAATGGTAATATCTGTGAGATCTTCATTAATAGTAATAATGATTACAGTAACAACAAACACTTATTGAGTACTTACTGTGCTAGGTGCTATTAATATTAAAGCGGCCAGATGCAGTGGCTCACTCCTGTAATCCCAGCACTTTGGGAGGCCAAGGCGGGCGGATCGCTTGAGCTCAGGAGTTTGAGACCAGCCTGGGCAACATGGCAAAACCCCGTCTTCACAAAAAATACAAAAATTAGCCAGGTGTGGTAGTCAGCGCCTGTAATCAGTCCCAGCTACTCGGGAGGCTGGGGTGGGGAAGATTGCTTGAGCCCAGGCGGTCAAGGCTGCAGTGAGCCGAGATTGTGCCACTGCACTCCAGCCTGGGTGAGAGAGAGAGAACCTGCCTCAAAAAAATTTTTAAGTATTTTTTCTATCTTGAGCACTTCATTTTCTGTGTTTTAGATAAAACATGACACCATTTAATTCTTACAACAACCCTATAACTCCAAAAGTGTCAGTATCTGCTTACTCAACTCAGAGAGCTGAGTGGCCAGTGTTTTGGCCATAAATTTCTGAAATAGGATGTTCACTGATCCCTTACAACTGTAAACAGGGCAAACATGGTCTCTGCCCTGGGAAAATACAAACAGAACCACCCTCTGAATCAAAAACATTTCTTGTCCTTTTACAGGATAGTTGTAAGGACTAAGAAACAAAATCTTCATGTTTCCAGGAATGGATGAGT
Organism: Homo sapiens; assembly: GCF_000001405.40. Taxonomy (NCBI): domain Eukaryota; kingdom Metazoa; phylum Chordata; class Mammalia; order Primates; family Hominidae; genus Homo; species Homo sapiens. The sequence continues at coordinate 160,006,654 of NC_000005.10, forward strand.
TGGCTTTCATCATTAAAAATTTGTTTTTTGCTTTGTGTTCTACATACACTTAAACAGCATCCAACTACCTATTGTTCCTAAAAATGCTTCTGATATTTTTATGCTCCTGATTCCATGTCCTTCTACCTATCCTGGTTTGTTTTTTTTTTTCCCCCACTAAGTGAACTATTCCTCTTTCTACAGCCTAACTCGAGTATCTTATTAGTGAAGACCTACCAAATTGGGCCAGTTGCACTTTGGTTTCTTTTGGCATAAAAAGAAAGGCAGATTGCTCTTCTTTTGGGCTCAGTAACTTCTTTATTTCCCTTCTCCACTCCCCCACTAGTCTGTGAGCTCCTGATGATGGGGAAGGGCAAGGATTCTGTCTTATTAGGCTTTCTGTCCCCAGCTACTGGCACAAGACCTGCCATATAATATTTTTGTTGCTAATATTCATTAAACACTGTGTTCCTTGTCTTCTAGATATTTTTTTCTCCCGCGCCCTGTGCTCCTTGTCTTCTAGGTATTTTTTCTCCCAACAAGCTTGTGAGGTAGGTACCATTGTTACCGATCCCAGTTTTTATACATGAGGTAAATTTATACATTAAAAAGTTGGCTGGGCCCTGTGGCTCACATCCATAATCCCTGCATGTTAGGAGGCTGAGGCAGGAGGATTGTTTGAGCCCAGGAGTTTGAAACTAGCCTGGGAAATGTGAGAACTTGTCTCTTAAAAAAAAAAAAAGTAAAATAAAAACCTTAGAAGCATAAGTAACTGGCCCCAAAATCACACTGCTACTCAGTGGCAGAGACTGAATTAGAACTCAGTAATCAAATAAGCCACCTAAAGCATTTTTCACAGCATGCGGTGCTTAATAAGCGTATAGTCTATGAATATTAGCAATGGGAATTATTGTTTAGAGTTGTACAGCTAGTAAAGGAAGCTGAGACCGTAACTCAAGTTTTATGGGTTTAGTTACTTATTTATTTAGCTCCAAAGTTTACAGTCTTTCCATTACACCAGAATTGAATTAACAGGGCCACTTAAAGAGGCTTAACCATTTGCTTTTTTTTTTTTTTTTTTTTTTAAATATAGACAGTCTCCCTCTGTTGTTCAGGCCAAAGTGCAGTGTCGTGATCACAGCTCACTGCAGCCTCTGACTCCTAGGTTCAAGCATCCTCCCACCTCAGCCTCCTGAGCAGCTGAGACTACAGATATGCGCCACTGTGCCCAGCTAATTTATACACACACACACATATGTATATGTATATATAGATAGAGATGGGTTTTGCCATGTTGGTCAGGCTGGTCCCGAACTCCTGGCCCCAAGAGATCCTCCCATGTCCACCTTCCAAAGTGCTGGGATTACAGGCATGAGCCACCACACTCAGCCTCCATTTACACTTTTTAAATTCTGGGGGTATTTTTTAAAATTCAGAAATACTAAAACCAAAATAGGATATATTTTTGATGTTTTCTTTTAGCATATAAAGCTTTCAACTTACAAAAAATACAACTGTATGCATAATCTCATTTAGATGGAAATTCAAAAAACAAGTTTCATACTCTTCCTGAAAAAGTCTCTTCCAGCTATCTATCTCTGCAATAGGTTCTGTGAATTACAGAAAACGAATTCTCTGCTGTCATTGCTGGTTACCTGTCTGGCTACCTTGAGGATGGGTACTATATTTCAATTCTGTGATCCCAGCACAATGCCCAGGGTCTAATAAACATTCAGTGAACATTTCTCGAATGAATGCATAGGGCAACCACTCTTGGTCTCAGGGTTCCCTTACGGTCTTAAATATTATTGAGGTTGGTCTGAGTGCAGTGGTGTTTACAACTAACTGATCACAACCAGTTACAGATCTTTTTGTTTCTTCTCCACTCCCACTGTTTGACTTGGCTAGCCCTTGAAAAATAAAAATGGACCGGGCGCGGTGGCTCACGCCTATAATCCCAGCACTTTGGTAGGCCGAGGAGGGAGGATCGCTTGAGCCCAGGAGTTCAAGAACAGCCTGAGCAACATAGTGAAACTCCGTCTCTACTAAAAATACAAAAAAATTAGCTGGGCGTGGTGGCGCGCACCTGTGGTCCCAGCTACTCGTAAGGCTGAGGCAAGAGAATCGCTTGATCCCAGGAGGTTGAGGCTGAAGTGAGTAGAGGCTGTGATTGCGCCACTGCACTCCAGCCTGGGCGACAGACTGAGACTCTGTCTCAAAAATAAATAAATAAATAAATAAATAAATAAATAAATAAATAAATAAATAAATAGTGAAACGAACACCACAGGGACAGACTTCCTTTTGTCCTTTTTTCTCTTCGTGCAGAGTAACGCGGAGTCTTGCCGTAACCCAAGATGGCAACCATCTCTCAAATGTCACGCCGTACAATGACGTCACACAGCGACTATGCCTTTCCTCCCTGAGAGTTTCGCTACATTTCCCAGGATGCTTTGCCAATAGCGACGCTATTAGTCGTCATCGACGGAAGTGCACCTGACTGAGCGGAAGTAGGAGCTCTCAGAGGCTAAGAAGGTGGAGACCGGAGAAGCTGTGAGGTTGTGAGTAACCCCGTGGGTCTAAGCGTGTTGGCTGTGAGGAACAAAGCTAGGGAATAATCTGCTGGGAAGCGCGAGGCATCACTTCCCTAACTGTAGGAGCTCAAACTCCTGTGTTCTTCCAGTAGACCTGGGAGCGAAGAGAAGCAAGACATTGCTGTGGAGGCGAAGTCTCCGTATTAAGATCTTGCTGGTTTTTTAAGTTTTCTTGGCACATACTAGGGCAAATTCAGACTCTTGTCGTGATACAAGGGTCGTTGGCGTGATTTTGCTGCGACTAGAGCAATTTACGTTCTTGCAAATCTGTCGCAAATTTTTGCAAATGTCTGGGCTGCTGATGCTCTGACTCAGCTTCTACAGCAGTGGTTCGCAATTGGCTGCATATCAGAATCACCTGGGATGAAAACATAAATAAATAAATAAATAAACCTGATGCCCTTGCTTGACGCGACACTAATAAATCAGAATTTGGTCAGGGTCTGAGCAGTGGTATTTTCTAAAGTATCTCTAGTGTTCTCTTGGGCAGCTAGGGTTCAGAGTCACGCTTTCTAATGCCTGACTCTGGCCCCCACGGTAATCCTGATTAGGGTCACCTGCGCCAGGGTTCCCCTTCCAGTGTAAGCTGAGTGGGCTCTACCACACGCATTTGGGTTAAAGTGATCACAATTTTGGCACGGATTTTATTTTGAAGTCTACTAGAAACGTATTCTTGGGCTTCCTGTGGTGGTGCTAAAAAGACGGACCGTAGTTTCTTACTCGTGCCTTGGTTATTCATTCTGAATGGAGATTAGGGCTGCTTCCTTTTTCTTGGCACTGTTTTAGTTTCTGCCTAATTTTTGCTATCCAAACAGAACACGAACGGTGGAACGTGGAAGAGTTACATTAAAAACGGCTTCTTTTGTTGCTTTTAAGAAGTTCTGGGCCAGGCGCGGTGGCAGGCGCCTGTAATCCCAGCTACTCGGGAGGCTGAGGCAGGAGAATCGCTTGAACCCGGACGGCAGAGGTTGCAGTGAGCCGAGATCGCGCCACTGCACTCCAGCCTGGGCGACAGACTGAGATTAAGTCTCAAAAAAAAAAAAAAAAAAAAAAGAATCTGGTACCAGATTTGACCAGAAAAGGGGTCTCAGTTAAAATGACGATTTGACATTATTATTACTTATGATAAGCTGTATTTTTAAATAATGAATTCCAGTGAAAGGAAATTACGGTGTGTTTTTTGGCTGTAATGCAGAGGTTTGTTTAGGTTTGAAACAGAACTTTTAAAAATACAAGCACCATTATATAGCAGTTTTGTTTTGTTTTCCCCCAGCTTTAGCGTCACCTCCCTCACTGGGCAGCATGGGGGAGAAGTCAGAGAACTGTGGGGTTCCAGAGGATCTGTTAAATGGTTTGAAGGTTACAGATACTCAGGAAGCCGAGTGTGCTGGCCCTCCAGTTCCTGATCCCAAAAATCAGCATTCCCAGAGTAAGCTGCTCAGGGATGATGAGGCCCATCTCCAGGAGGACCAGGGAGAAGAGGAGTGTTTTCATGACTGCAGTGCCTCATTTGAGGAGGAGCCAGGAGCGGACAAGGTTGAGAACAAATCTAATGAAGATGTGAATTCCTCTGAACTAGATGAAGAATACCTAATAGAACTGGAAAAAAACATGTCGGATGAAGAGAAACAGGTAAGTATTTTATTTATTGTGCAAGATCTGCCACTTACACTGCATTTTAAAATGTGGTCGATACTGTATCATAGACCACCTCATCTGTGGTAAAGAATAACTTGCCCCTTTGTCTTCTTATGGCTTTAGTAGTGTTGGATCTGAGATAAATCGGTGGCGTGACAGGGAAGCACTTGAGTGTGTCTGCTTAACAAAGAAATTTTCATTATTTTCTGTGAACCTTCAGTTATGTTCATCTTGTACTTCAGGAGTCTGTAATGTAACAGTCTTTTTGTTTATTTTCAAAATGTATATATACTTTTTAGTTTTCTGTTATGAACTTTTCTACGGTTGGCTGCTGAGATTTCTGTAATGAACATTTTTATGTTTATGCTACATTTATGTTTATGAACATTTCCTGTTTATGCTAATCCCTTGTTAGCAAAATATGACTGCCTGAATATCTTGGTGGGGTTTTGGTTGCAGAGGTCTTGAGAAACAGAATTGTGTATGATTATAGCTAGCTATCCTTTGTTGAATGCCTACAATGTGCCATCCACTGACTTAAAATGTTACTTGTGTTTTCATTAATCATCACAACATGCCTATGAGATACATACTGTTATTTCCCATAAGGAAACAGCTTAGAGGGATGAAGTAACTAGCCCAAGATCAAACACCTAATGAATTGCAAAACTAATTCTCAAATCAAATCTGTTGGATTCCAAAGCTAGAGTATAATGTATAATGTAATAACAAAAACATCTGTCTTCCTACAAAGCAGATAGACTAATAAAATGTACACTCTCCTGTTTCTTTGCCCTGGGGCCACACCCTTAACTGGGCAAGCCTTCACTTTTGGAGACTGAAGTCCTGCTGTCCTACTTCCTTCTGATTGCACAAGCAAGGTAGTCTCTGAAGAGTTACTGTAATGTCTTGAGTTTGTCTACAAAGAACTTGAACTAGATTGTAGTTTATGCCACTAAGGAGCTCACTCACTGAACAGGTTGTGATACATTGGTATTGAGATGAGATAATAAATGTTCAGCCTAAGCCTAACAGTGGGGGTGGGAAGGTAGCCTGGGGTGGGTAGGAGCATCTTCTCTTTCTCTCTCCTTAGACGCTTTTCATTATCAAATCAGTTAGCTTTAATGTGAACGTGTTCGTTTTTGTGCTAGTGTGCACCACCAGAACAGGAGGAAAAAGGGCAAAAGTGAGCCAAGTTCATAAACTACCACAGCAAATACAGCTCAAAAAAATTAACTACTGTTCCATAACATTATAACAGGTTTCAGGCTTTTTAGAAACACTGATTATGCATCTATGTTAAAAAGTTAGTAGTGCTTTTCTGATACCTTAATATATTTTGCCCTGAAATTATATTAATTTTCTAGTGCCCTCTGGATTTGACAGTTGAATGGTTTGGCTCAAGGTGTCACAAAGTCTGATCCCTACCTCTAATTTAGTAAAACTTTTTTTGTGTCTCCTAGGCCAGAAAATCATACTTTAAGTTCTATAAATACTTTTATGATTTTTTTTTTTTTTAAGACAGGATCTCACTGTGTCATCCAGGCTGGAGTGCAGTGATGTGATCACGGCTCACTGCAGTTTCAACCTCCTGGGCTCAAGTGGATCCTCCCACCTCAGCCTCCTGAGCACCTGGGACAACAGGCTTGCACCACCCTGCCTGGCTAATTTTTGTGGGTTTTTTGGTAGAGACAGTGTCTCACCATGTTGCCAAGGCTGGTCTCCAACTCCTGGGCTCAAGCAGTCCTCCCACTTTGGCCTCCCAAAGTGCTGGGATTACAGGCGTGAACCACCACACCCAGTGAGGATAATTATTTTTATTGCCTGTAAGTTTAATATTCTAAGTAGAACAATACTTTTTTTCACTTTTTTCCTCCTTTTAAAAATTGAGATATAATTTAGTGAAACTGTATATCAGTTCTCATGTGTAGAATGCAGTGAGTTTGACAATTGTATACACCTGCATAGTTCACGTTTCTATCAAGATAGAGAACATTTCCATCATGTCAGAAACTCCATTTGTGTGCTTTATCAGTCATTCCTTTCCCAACCCTGCCAGTCTCTGGTTAACCACTCTTCTGATTCCTGTCCCATAGGTGGTTTTTTCCTGTTCCAGACATTCATATAAACATAATCATACAGTAGTATTCATGTTTAAAACATAAATATTTTCTATTCATTTATATATCAGTCTAAGTGTTTTCATAGCTAATTTGAAAATTTGTAAGAATATCTCATAACAGTAACATACTGCAGTGCTAGTCTTATTATTTAGAGAAATGTAAGCCACTGACTCTACTTTAAGGAAACAACCTATAAGAGTGCAGATTGCCTTCAGCTAACTGTGGTACTACTCTTATTAGGTGTTTGTATGCTATTTTGATAAATATCTTTCCAAAATTTTCAAGAAGCCAGCGAAACAGATTGAAGAAATGTCTTCTACATATATGGTTTGGCTTTAATAGCTCATCAGAAACAGGATAGTGTTATATTTGAATCTTTTAAAATAAAGTTCAGATAGTTCAACAATGACTAAAAAAAAAAAATGGCCAAAAAATGTGAAAAGACTCAGCCTCATTAATAATGATGAAAAGTACAGGCTGGGCGTGGTGGCTCATGCCTGTAATCCTAGCACTTTGGGAGGCTGAGGCGGGCGGATCATGAGGTCAGGAATTCGAGACCAGCCTGACCAACATGATGGAACCCCATCTCTACTAAAAATACAAAAATTAACTGGACGTGGTGGTGTGCGCCTGTAATCCCAGCTACTTGGGAGGCTGCGGCAGGAGAATCGCTTGAACCTGGGAGATGGAGGTTATAGTGAGCTGAGATCAGGCCTCTGCACTCCAGCCTGGGTGACAGAGCAAGACTCTGTCTCAAAAAAAAAAAAAAAAATACTAACTAAAACATTATGTCTCATCTATCAGATCAGAATATTGATCTGATGTTGACAAGGAGAGGATGTTGGAACTCATATACTAATATTGAGAATTTAAATTGTTATGTCACTTCATGGGATGCAGATACCAAATTTTTATGTGACCATTTCTTTAGATAGGGCTATCAATAGACTCTTCTACAAGGATAGGAATGTTCTACATCCTGCACCATGCAGTATGGTAGCTGCTGACTACATCAGGCTATTGAGCACTTGAAATGTGGCTATTACGGCTGAGGAACTGAATTTTATTGTAATTAATTTAAATAGTCATACGGGATGGCTCACACCTATAATCCCAGCACTCTGGGAGGCTGAGGCAGGCAGATCACCTAAGGTCAGGAGTTCGACCCGAGACCAGCCTGGCCAACATAGTGAAACCCCATCTCTACCAAAAATTAAAAAATTAGCCAGGCCTGGTGGCGGGCTCCTGTAATCGCAACTACTCAGGAGGATGAGGCAGGAGAATTGCTTGAACCCAGGAGGTCGAGGTTGCAGTGAGCCGAGATTGGGCCATTGCACTCCAGCCTGGGAGACAAGAGCAAAACTCCGTCTCAGAAAATAAATAAATAGTCACATGGGCCAGGCATAGTGGCTCATTCCTATAATCCCAGCACTTGGGAGGCTGAGGCTGGAGGATCACTTGAGCCCAGGAGTTTGAGACCAGCCTGGGCAACATAGTGAGACCCTGTCTTTCCAAAAAAAAAAAAATTTTTTTTTAATTAAAATTTTTTAAAAAGCCTTTAAAAATAAAAATAATCACGTGTGGCACAAGCCTGTAGCCCCACCACTCAGGAGGCTGAGGTGGGAGGATCCCTGGAGCCTGGGAAGTCAAGGCTGCAGTGAGCCATGATCACGCCACTGCACCCCAGCCTGTGCAACAGAGTGAGACCTTGTCTCAAAATGAATAAATAAATAATTTTAAAATCGTCACATGTGGCTAGTAAGTACCATATTGGACATGACAGCATTAACGCTGATTCTCTTGTAGCCATTTATTTCAAGGAAATTATTAGAAATATACACAAATGTATATACATAGATGTGTTGCAGCATCATTCATAATTTTGGAAAGCTAGACAATGTTAAACAGGGTATTTGTAGTATAGTAAATTTATTTGGTCTTTGTCCCTGGTTCCTGTTACAGAGCCACTAGAACCCTTGGAATTTTCTGATAGTGTAGTGTATTTTTTTGTTATTCTTAATGTACCCCTTTTGATAACACCTGAGTTCATCCTAATGAGATAACTTTTAGGATCTGGCCTATCTATAGCCTAAGGAAGGATGGGGCCAGTCACCAAAAAGACTAAGTGATTAGAGTTTTAGAGGGTTGGAACTTTTGGCACCACCTACCAAAATCCAGGAAAGGAGGAGGGCAAGTGCTGGAGATTAAGCTCCATTAAAGCTTTTTTCTTCTTGTGTTTTGAGCCAAGTCTCGCTCTGTTGCCCAGGCTGGAGTGCAGAGGTGCGATCATAGTTCACTGGAGGCTTCAACCTCCTGGGCTCAAGCAATCCTCCTACATCAATGTCCCAAGTGGCTGGGACCACAGGCGCCTTCCACCACACCTTGCTAAATTTTTTTGTGTTTGAAATGAAGTCTTACTATGTTGCCCAGGCTGGTCTCGAACTCCTGGACTCAAGCAATATTCCCATCTCAGCTTCCCACAGTGCTAGGATTACAGGTGTGAGCTGCTGCGCCTGGCCTATAAAAACTCTTGAACTAGAAATCTGATGAGCTTCCAGGTTGATGAGCACATGGAAGTGTTAAGAGGGTAGCACCCAGAGAGGGCGTGGCAGCTCTGCACCCCTTCTCCCTCTACCTTTCCCTGTGTGTCTCTTCACCTGGCTGTTCTATATCATTCATAATGTCCTTTGTAATAAACTACTAAGTGTAAGTAAAGTGTTTCCCAGAGTTCTGTGAGCCATTCTAGCAAATTATTGAACCCACAGAGAGGGTGGTAAGAACCCTGTGCTAACCATTCAGTCGGAATCATAGGTCACAACCTGGGACTTGTGATTAGTGTCTGAAGTGGGGCCAGGCTTATGAGACTAAACTCTTAACCTGTGGGATCAGACACTGTCTACCTGGAGATAGTGACAGAACTGAATTGAATTATAGGACACTCCGTTGGTGTCCATTGGAGAATTGTTTAGTGTGGAAAACACTCTCATCTGGTGTCAGACCTATTGGGAGGGTATAGTAGGAGAGAAAAATGTGTTCTTCCCAGAGTATTACTTAAATTTTGTTGTTATATTTATGTAGTATACAATGCAGTTGTTAAAGGTAAATCTTGGCCGGGTGCAGTGGCTCATGCCTATAATCCCAGCACTTTGGGAGGCCAAGGTGGGCAGACCACTCAAGACCAGGAATTCAAGACCAGCCTGGCCAACATGGTGAAACCCCATCTCTACTAAAAATACAAAAATTAGCCAGGTATGGCGGTGCACACCTATAGTCCCAGCTACTTAGAAGGCTGAGGCACGAGAATTGCTTGAACCTAGGAGGCGGAGGTTGCAGAGAGCCGAGATCACGCCACTGCACTCCAGCCTGGGTGACAGAATGAGACTCTGTCTCAATAAATAAATAAATAATTTAAAAAATTTTTTTAAAAAGATGAATCGTAGGTATTGACCTGGGAAGCTGCCTGTAATATAATGTCAAATTAATTAATCAGGTTATACAACAGTGATGATTTCTTTTAAGGCTATGTGAAAATATGTTTATACATACAAATTTGAAGGATATACACCAAAGTATAAGCAGTAAGTAACTTTGAGAGGTATGATTATTAGGGAATTTTAATTTATATGTAATGCAATTTTGTAATATTTGCTTTTTTTTTCAGTAAGCCTGTATTACATTATTCCATTTTAAGAATATAAATAAATAAAAATTGATTACTTTACAACCAAACTGTGTGCCCTACCACAAAAGCACATGAAGCTGACCCCTGATGATTTGGGAAAGAAGTGCTATTCCGTACAGGGTCTATGTAGTATTAAAGGTTTCTTGTTGGACACAACCAAATAATAGTAGCCAAAGTCTGTTAATCAAGCTAACTTCACTTGTCCTGTGGCTGGGAAGATAATTCACGCTCAAGTGTAGTGTCACTTCTCAGCAGGACTCATAAATCAAGAATAATTGAGGAGGAAAGCAGTTAAGATTTGGTAAAAACAGGAAAAGCTCTCAGAGAGTATAGTGTATTCGTGTGTTTATTTCAGCAGTAAATCTTAACTATTTGTGAAAGCTTAAATGTAGATATAACTACCCACAGGAATGGAATTTTAGCTAACATTTGAGATGTACTAGGTATGTGAAGCAAATAACTGGTTCTGAGAGGCTTGGCTAAGGTGAAGGACAAATGTAGCAGCAGAAGAGAATTGCAATAATAACATTATGATACAAAAATTCTATCTTAGTGTGTTGGAGCTGCTATAACAAAATACCTTAGACTGGATAACTTATAAATAATAGAAATTTATTGCTCATAATTCTGGAGGCTGAGAAGTCCAAGATCAAGGTGCCAGCAATTTTAGTGTCTGGTGAGGGCCTCTTCCTTACAGATGGCACCATTTGTGTCCCTACATGGCAGCAGGGGCAGGGCAGCTCCCTTCAACCTCTTTTATTAGGACACTAATCCATTCATGAGGTTGGAACCCTTATGACTTAATCACATCCCAAAAGGACGCACCTCTTAATACCAACACAATGGGGATTATTTCAACATGAATTTTGGAGGGACACATTCAGACCATAGCAAGTGTTTATAGTATTAGGACCTATGGCACATACTGCAGAATGCTAGTATTGATTCCATAAGAAAATCGCCTTTTATGGACTGCTTGTCACAGTGCAGTTTCTTAGGTCTCATGTGTAAATTTCCTAGGTAATTCATATGCACATGCTGAGGCTTGAGGACCACTGTCACAGGTTTTGCACAATCTTCCTTCATTAAATAGCTGTTGAATGAATAGCATCTTTTTCTCCCCCATGAGAGCCAATAATTGGCCTTATAAGTTACAGAAATTTTTTTCTCACATTTATTCAAGTAATATTTACATTTCTTCCACCCACTAGACATTGTTTGAGGCCCTGAGGGATACAGTGGTGAACAAGACAGGGTTTCTGTTCTCTCATTGGAGAATTAGGACAAAATGTTAACATGAAGGATGGGTTGGGTTGGAAGGATGGTGCTATGGTTTGAATGTTTTCCTCCAAAATTCATGTTGAACTTAATCCTCAATGTGTAGTATTAAGAGGTGGAGCCTTTAGAAGGTGATTAGAAGAATTAGTATCCTTATAAAGTATACCAATAAAAGACTTGAGGGAACCTGTTGGGCCCTTCTACTCCCCTTCCACAAAGTGAGGATGCAGAAAGAAGGCACCATATTGAAGCAAAGAACAAGCCCCTTACCAGACGCGAAATCTGCTGGTGCCTTGATCTTGGAATTTCCAGCCCCTAGAGCTGTGCAAAATAAATTTCTATTATTTATAAATTACTGAGTCTGTTATTTTGTTATAGCAACCTGACTAAGACAGGTGGAGAGGACTGCTTTAGATTGGCTGGTCAGGAAAGCCTCTCTGGAGAGGTGGCCTCTCAACAGAGACTTAGGGGAGGGTGGCACTGGGAGCAGCCAAATGTGTGACCGTCTGAGAGGGAAGCATTGCAGACAAAGAGAGCAGTTGAATAAAGCCCTAAAGTAACAACAAGTTTGGTGTTTTGGCATGTTCAAGGAATGGAAGAGCCGATGGCTGAAGCATGATGATTAAGGAAGAGAGTGGGCTGATAGTAGGCAAGGGTCTGATTATGGAATAGTTCCTAAGCCGTAGTAAAGAACTTGAAGTTTTTTCCAAGTGCAGAAGGAAACAGATGGATAATTTTAAGCCAGGGAGAGACGGAAGTTATTTACATTTTAATAAGAGAATTCAGTTCTTATACAGAGAATGGAGGGGTATGAGGATGGAGGAGGGACATGAATAGAACATTTGAGCCCAATTAGGCTCTAATGCAGTAGCCCAGTGAAGATGATAGTAGCTTGAACTGTGGATCTGAAGAGAAGTGTATGATTTTGGGATATATTTCAGAGGTAAAGCAGACCACACATTGCAGTGGATTCGATTGGCGGGATGGAGTGAGACGTTAGAATGATTCCTTGTCTTCAGCTACTGGATGGATGGTGTGGCCTTTATTAATATGAAGAAGATGAAGGAACTTTGAACTTATCCAGGTTCTGGTGATTTAATTCTTTCCTGCAAACAAACATTTTTTATTTGTAAGCCAAAATGCAGATTTAGTCATTTCAATGGGTTTGCTCCCTTTCACTAGTGGTTTGCAAATGGTATTCATTTACATGTACACATAAGGGATCCAAAAGTCTGTTGCTTGGTGAACATGGATTCAGAATGCCTGGTATCTGGGATTTTAAAACATTAGGCTCTGAAAGTTTTAAGGATTATTCTTTAAGGTCATTTTCTCTTTAGGAACCATTATCAAAGCTTAGAAGTTTCAGTTTAGAACAGATGTTATATTTCAGTCTCTTCCCTCTGTCATTTTTCCTAAATTCCACATTACTTAATCTTTTGGATTTCCATGTTTCTGCCACCCTATTGCACCATTTTCATAATCTAATTAATGTTGTGGCTGTGGATGTGTTTGCAGGGAATACTCTCGATTGCTTCCAAAAAGTTCTCAGTAACTTCTTCCATAGTGGCCTGCATAGTCCTGTTAACGTCATGAGCAACCTTTCTGATTTTGTTGTTTCCCTTTTCTTTCATTCTTTTTTTTTTTTTTTTTTTTTTTGAGATGGATATTCCCTCTCTGTTGCCCAAGCTGGAGTGCAGCGGTGCGATCTCTGCTCACTGCAACCTCCGCCTCCCGGATTCAAGCGATTCTCTCTCTGCCTCCCGAGTAGCTGGGGCTACAGGCGTGTGCCACCACACCCAGCTAATTTTTGTATTTTTACTAGAGACTGGGTTTCACCATATTGGCCAGGCTGGTCTCGAACTCACATCATGATCCACCCACCTCGGCCTCCCAAAGTTCTGGGATTATAGGCATGAGCCACTGTGCCCTGCCTCCTGCCTCCCTTTTCTTTCATTTCTTGTTTTCTTTTTGTTGTTGTTGTTTTCTGTTTGTTTATTTTGAGACAGAGTCTTGCCCTGTCGCCCAGACTGGAGTACAGTGGCATGATCTTGGTTCACTGCAACCTCTGCCTCCCAGGTTCAAGTGATTCTCCTGCCTCAGCCTCCCAAGTAGCTGGGATTACAGGTGCCCACCACCACACCCAGCTAATTTTTGTATTTTTAGTAGAGACGGAGTTTCACCATGTTGGCCAGGCTGGTCTCGAACTCCTGACCTCAAGTGATCCGCCCGCCCCAGCCTCCTTTTCTTTCATTTCTAATAGGCATCCTTTGGAACTAAGGTGGTCAGTTTTACCAACTTCTTAGAGTTACCACTGTTGAACTTAATGCTGTCTACAAACGATTAAATCAAATCCTAGAAGGAGCTTAGATTTCTGATCCCAAGTTTGTTTATTTTTATTTTTGTAGAGGCCCTTTCACTTGGCCTCCCAAAGTGCTGGGATTACAGGAATGAACCACCCTGCCTGGCCTGATGCTAAGTTTAAACCAGTGGAAATAAGGGTTGCTTGCTCTAAAACAGGGGTCGTCAACCCCCGGCCATGTACTGATACCAGTCTGTGGCCTGTAAGGAACCCAGCCACACAGCAGGAAGTGAGCAGCAGGCTAGTGAGCGAAGCTTCATCTGTATTTACAGCCACTTCCCATCGCTTGCATTACTGTCTGAGCTCCACCTCATGTCATATCCATGGTAGCATTAGATTCTCGTAGGCTTGTGAACCCTGTTGTGAATTGCACATGCAAGGGATCTGTGTTGCCTGCTCCTTACAAGAATCTAATGCCTGATAGTCTATCACTGTCTCTCATCACCCCCAGGTAGGACCGTCTAGTTGCAGGAAAACAAGCTTAGGGCTCCCACTGATTCTACATTATGGTGAATTGTATAACTATTTGATTATATATTACAGTTTAATAATTATAAAGTACACAATAAATGTAATGTGCTTGAATCATTATGAACACCCCCTTCCCCAAGACCCTAGTCCGTGGAAAAATAGTTCCCCACAAGAGCAGTCCCTGGTGCCAAAAAGGGTAGGGACCGCTGCTCTAAAACATTTGGAAGTTAGTGAGGTGTGTTTACATTATTTGCTGGCAGAAAAGTTAAAATGACGTTCAGTATTTCCTGTGTTTATTAAGAAAGGTCACTTTGTGTAGATCAGTGGTTTCCAGACTTTATTGTGTCTAAGCATCACAGGAAATGTATTAACCATGCACAGCCTGAGAAGTGTCTGACACCACACACCTGTGAGGCAACAACCAGGCATCTGTTTTGTTAGCAAGCCTCCCAGGTAATTTTGATATAGGAAGAACTGTGGCCACACCATGGGAAACAGATCCAGATGGACACAGATGACTAAGCTTCCAAAACAAGAAGTATTGACCTAACCCGTACATTGACTGCATCCAACATCGGAAGAACTGAATAGGAGGTTTTCTTTTACCTACATCCGTTGATCAAGGTCTAAAAACAACTTGTTGGGCCGAATTTAAGCAGTCCTGACATAGAAAATTTATTTCTGTTAAAGATTGAGTTTTGGGAAATAGAATTTTCTGATTTAAGAAACAAGGGACTATTTCCAAGATTAATTCCTCATAGATCAGTCATTTTTTTCCTCAGAAGGATAACACCTACTGAGAGGCAGGTTCTAACTGTGGCTTAGATCCAAAGATCCTCCCTCATGCCTCCCTAGAGGACCTGTAAAGGTGACTTGTGGAAAGAACAGATATGTCTTTATGTATGTAAAGCAAGTGATATCTGATTTCAAAGAAGACAAAACCAAAAGCTTATTTTTTTAATGATAAGGAATTCCCTTCAAAATAATTATAGAACTGATGTCCCTAGCCCTTCCAGTATTTGCATTCCAAGTGTAGTTTTCTTGTCCCACCTAGATAAGACTAAAGCAGAAAGTTTTGTTGCATGTGCCTCCACTTTCCAGCAGTTGAGCAAGTATGTACCTCTCTTTACGCTCTCTTTTACTCCAGCTATTGATCTCTGGGTACTGTGATCCCTGGGTACTGTGCTTGGCATAAAGTGTATGCCGTTTTATTTTGTAGCAATTACTTCACAAAACTGCAGAGGGCAGCAGAGAGCTGCTGATAGATTTATAATATGGACATAAGCTTGCCGGAGTGAGAGTCTTGGTTTTCCCCCTGTTTGTCTGTTGAGCACATGCTTACCATAGGATTATTTAAATATGAGATTATTTTTTAAATGTATTTCATGCAAGTTTTTAACTATTTAATAATGATAGATGGGGTATACACTTATAAGCTCAAAGTCAAGTGTGTTTATGTTGTATTCACTGACCTAAAGTAAAAGAAATACCCTACTCAGCCACTGCATTGTAGTCTGCTGAAGAGTGGTTTATTTATAAGGGACTAGAGAAGCACTTTCTAACATTTTGCCATGCTACCCAGGATTTTAAATTATATCAGTTGAAGTTCTCTAGCTTGGATTTTTGGGTTTTTTGGAGGGTGGTTTTTTTGTTGTCAATTAAAAAATTATATTCAAGCTACTTCTAATATTTTAAGAAAGTGAATCAATCCATTTGAAGCTCTTAGCACAATGTTTGGCACATAATAAGTATTATGAGTTTTAGCTCATTGAATGAGTTACACAGCCATGGAATCAGGCATCTAATATAGTATAGGTAATTAAGCAGATAGGGGTACTATGTTAGTAAATAGGAAATTACAAGGTAAGATTATAGCCAAGTCATGGATATTTGCTTTACAGGAAGACTCTTCACTTAGCAATAGTAGCATACCATTTCCATTTTTCATCCTAACTAGTATTTACAGTAATTTGTCTTCTTTATAGAATATCTTCTTTATGTAAAGAAGTTTATAATATTTAAATCCTTGATTTGCTAATTTTATTCAGAAAGGACACTTGTAATAGTTTCCACCTTTATTTCTTTGTTAGTTAAATGAAAATTAACCCACATATGCTACAGATTCGGGGTAATTCTAGAAATTGAGTTATTCATTCAGCAGACATTTGTTAGTACCTGCAATTAATAGACAAAATTGGCCGGGTGCAGTGGCTCACGCCTGTAATCCCAACACTTTGGGAGGCCGAGGTGGGCGGATCACCTGAGGTCAAGTTTAAGACCAGCCTGACCAACAAGGTGAAACCCCATCTCTACTAAAAATACAAAAAAAATAGCAGGGCCTGGTGGTGTGCGCCTATAATCCCAGCTACTCAGGAGGCTGAGGCAGGAGAATCACTTGAACCCGGTAGGCGGAGGTTGCAATGAACTGAGATTGCATCACTGCACTCCAGCCTGGGCAACAGAACAAAACACTGTCTCAAAAAAAAAAAAAAAATTAGGCAAAATTGGTTTTCTTTCTTTTTTTTTTTTTTGGAAATAGAGTTTTGCTCTGTTGCCCAGGCTGGAGTGCAGTGACGCAATCATGGCTCATTGTAACCTCTACCTCTGGGGCTCAAGTGATCCTTCCCCCTCAGCCTCCCAAATAGCTGGGACTACAGGCATAAGCCACCACGCCCAGCTAATTTTTTTTATTTTTAGGAGAGACACGGTCTTGCTGTGTTGCCCAGGCTGAAGTTTTCTTGAAGAATATGGTTTTCTCTGTCAAGAAACTTATAATTCAGCTAGGGAGACATGTAACTCTGCTTACCTTTTTATTTTAGGTAGTTTCGTGTTTTATCACGAAACAGATCCAGATGGACACAGGTGACTAAGCTTCCAAATACAAGGCTCAATGGGGACAAAGCCGTGTGCACAAGGCATGTCACATGTTGCCTAATCTTTCCACTCCTATGTGCTTCTTCTTGTGCTTCTTCTTTTTCTTCTTCTTTGCTGCCTTGCTGTCTTTTGATGTGTGCCTTGCCCTCTTGCCTGTATCATTCTCAGAGTCTGAGCTGTCAGAGTCAGATGACTTCCAATTCTTTTTCTTCTCCTCCTTTCTTTTTCTAGAAGGATTCCTTGTGGGGTCAGGCTTCTCAAACTCTGCTGACTTTGCCTCTTCCTTTTCCTCTTCCTCATCAGGTATCAGAGAGTATTTGGTCCCACCTGGTTGCATGAAACAATCTTTTGCAAAGTGGCCTTTACAGCCACACTTCTTGCAGGTAGTGTTCAATCAATATACTCTGGTTAGCATGTAAGTGTGGGGGGATGGGCAATGGGTAGAGCCTTCTCTGTGCTGTGTACATAGCACAGTGCCTACACATTCTGTGCCATAAGTATGTTGAAAAACTCTCATTACTGAGGTAGGGGTTTAATGTCCTTACTGGAGACTATATTTAGCTCTTGAAAGATAAAAATTATTTCCCAGGTGGAGAGTTCTATTTTAACTTTTTATTTTTGAAATAACATTTTTCAGAAAGTAGCAAAAAATAGATTCCAGCTTCCCTTAATTTTAACAGCTTACATATCCATAGTGCAGTTATCAAAACCAGGAAATAAACATTATTACAACACTATAAACTGCAGACCTTATTCAGATTTCATCACATTTTCCATGAACATCATCTTTTCTGTTCCAGGATCCACTGCATTTAGTTTTCATGTTGCCTTAGTTTTCTCTAGTTGATGACAGTTCCTTTATCTTTTTTAAGAGAGACAGAGTAGCCCAAGCTGGAGCACAGTGGCATAATGATAGCTTACTGCAGCCTCAAACTTACGGGCTCAAGTGATCCTCCTGCCTCAGCCTCCCTCATAGCTGGGAATACAGGGGCTTGCCATCACACCCAGCTAAATTTTTTTTTTTTTTTCAGGATATGGGGTTTTGCTTTGTTGCCCCGGTTGGTCTCAAACTCGTGCTCAAGTGATGCTACCACCTCAAGAGTAACAGTAATAATAATAGAACAGCCTAAGTCCTGTGGTCCAAGCCCTTGATTCAGTGAGGAAGAGGTTTGTTTTTGTTTTGTTTTGCTTTGTTTTTTTGAAACCAGGTCTTGCTCTGTCCCCCAGGCTGGGGTGCAGTGGCACGATTCCATAATTCCACTGTAGCCTCAAATTCCTGGGCTCCAGTGATCCTCCCACCTCAGCCTCCAGAGTAGCTGGGACTGCAGGCATGAGCCATCATGCCCAGCTAATTTTTGTATTTTTATTTTTATTTTTTTGTTTTGTTTGTTTTTGAGACGAAGTCTCACTCTGTCACCCAGGCTGAAGTGCAGTGGTGCAATCTCAGCCCACTGCAACCTCTGCCTCCCAGGTTCTGGTGATTCTCCTGCCTCAGCCTCCCAAGTAGCTGGGATTACAGGCGCCTGCCACCACACCTGGCTAATTTTTATATTTTTAATAGAGATGGGGTTTGACCATGTTGGCCAGGCTGGTCTCGAACTCCTGACCTCAGGCAATCCACCTGCCTTGGCCTCCCAAAGTGCTGGGATACAGGTATGAGCCACCGCACCTGGCCTAATTTTTGTTTTTTAGTAGAGACGGGGTTTTGCCATGTTGCCCATGCTGGTCTCAAACTCTTGAGCTCAAGCAATCCACCCTCCTTGGCCTCCCAAAGTGCTGGGATTACAGGTATGGGCTACCACACCAAGTGAGATTTATTTTTAACATAGGTCTCGAAATGACTATAGGTCAGAGCTCTGGAACTGAATAACATGTTTTGGAGCAGTGTCATCCCCTTTTCAAATGCCCTAGTTCTTGACACCAAGGGAATTAAAAGTGACTTTTTCTTTAGAACTATGAAGCATATAAGTTCTGTGAGTTCACCTTTTTGCAGCAGCTTCTGTGCATTACTCAGTTCTACTTCCTGCAAACAATTCTTTATTTCCACACCTGTGGAAGACAGTATGGTCTTGTAGTTAAGAGGATGAACTTTGTTGTTTTGTTTTGTTTTGCTTTGCTTTGCTTTGTTTTATTTAAAAGATAGGGTCTAGCTTCGTTGCCAGTGCAACTCCTGGGCTCAAGCGATTCTCCCACCTCAGTCCCTCAAGTACTTGGGACTATAGATGTGCACCACCTCACCTAAAAATATGAACTTGGAAATGTTAGATCTGTCCTAGCTCTATCATTTAACTTGGCGTAAAGTGGGATCATAAGGATTAAATGATTAGCAGGTAAAAGCAATCCGGAACTGTTAACTATAGCTAGTAAGTCAGAATTCGGTGAGCATAGACCATAAAATATTTCAGGTCTAGAATAGAACTTAGAAGAGCTCTTTAAAAATCATTTTTAGATACTTGGTTTTCTAAAGGTTGCAAGCATACATTCCACAGTGTTATAGAAGTATGACAACCTCAATTATTTAGCTCCTTCAAGTTATGAAGAAAAGTTGTTTGGCTAGGGATGTCGGGGTGAGAGAATTTAGAAAGGAGTACACTGGAAGCTTCTGAGGTTCTGGCAGTGTTCTCTATCTTAATTTGTATAGTAGTTTTGTGAATGTATATTTTGCAACAGTGTACTAAGCTGTACATTTCTGTATGTTTTTCCATATGTATTGTACCTCTGGTTGTTTAAAGAATTTCTGATATTGGGGTATTGAAATCTTCAACTAATGTTGTATTGTCTGTTGCTCCTCTGAATTCAGTCAGTTTTTCCTTTATATATTTTATGGTTCTGCTGTTAGATACGAATACACTTATAGTTGTTATATTTTCCCAATTTGTTGACCTTTTTACCGTTATGAAATATCCCCTTTTTTGGTCTCCAGTAATGTATCTTGTCTTAAAGCCTGTTTTGTCTGATAGCACTTCAGCTACTTAAGGTTGCTGTTTACACAGTATCTTTTTTTTATACTTTTATTTTCAACCTGTATATGTCTTTGAATGTAAAGTATGCATCCTATAGTCAACATATAATTGAATCTTTTTAAATCCAGTGTGATAATCTCTGCTCTTTGAGTTGTTTAGTCCATTCATATTTTATCTGCTTGTTGATATGTTTGGATTTACATTAGTCATTTGTCTTTTACAAGTCTCATGTGTTCTTTATTCCTGTTTTTTACTGCCTCTTTTTGTATTAGATAATATTTTCTGCATGCTATTTTAATACTTTGGATTTTATTAACTATGCTTACTTTTTAGCTATTTTCTTAGTGGTTGCTGTAGGAATTGTAATGCACATCTTTTTATAGTCTACTTTAGTTTTTCGGGATTCTTTTTTTTTTTTCTTTTTCTTTTTTTGAGACAGGGTCTCACTTTGTTGCCCAGGCTGGAGTACAGGGGTGCAATCATGGATCACTGCGGCCTCCACCTCCCTGGGCTCAGGTGATCCTCCCACCTCAGCCTCCTGAGTAGCTGGACTACAGGTGCACACCACCATGCCCAGCTAATTTTTGTATTTTTTGTACAGATGGGGTTTTGCCGTGTTGCCTAAGCTGTTCTCAAACTCCTGAGTTCAAGCGATCTGCCTACCTTGGCCTCCCAAAGTGCTGAAATTACTGGCAGGAGCCACTGTGCCCAGCCCTACTTTAGTTTAATAGTACCTAATTTCAGTGAAATATATTGATAGAAGCTTTGCTTTAGCATAGCTCCATTTCCTCTCCTCCACTTCGAACTATCGTTGTCATGTACATTTTATCAATATATGTTGTAAACCTAACCACTGAGTGTCATAATTACAGCTTTTTATAATCTTTTGTCTTTTAAAGAAATTAAAGAAGAGAGAAAATAATATTAGAGTCTTATATCTGCTTACCGTTTCTGATGTTCTTCATTTCCTCCTGTGGTTTTGAGTGACCATCTACTGTCATTTCCTCCAGCCTGAAGGACTTTAATATATTTGTGAGGCAGGTTTCACAGCAGTAAATTTTCTTTGTTCATTGTGAAAGTCTTTATTTTTCCTTCATCTTGAGGTAGTTTTGTTAAATGTATAATCTTTGTTGAAAATTTTTCTCATTCACATTTTAAGTATATCATTACACTGCCTTCTGGCCTCCACTGTTCTGGTGAGAAGTCAGAAATTAATAGTCTTGTTCTCTTCTATCATTTTTCTCTTGTGGCTTTCACATTTTCTCTTTGTCTTTTTCTCTCACCACTCTGATACTCTGGTGTCTTCAGATGTAGATCTTCTATTCTACTTGAGGTTCACTGAGATGAGCTTCTTGGATCTTTAGATTAACATTTTTCATCAAAATTTTAAAGTTATCAGCCTTGGCCGGGCGCGGTGGCTCATGCCTTTAATCCCAGCACTTTGAGGGGCCGAGGCGAGTGGATCACGAGGTCAGGAGATCGAGACCATCCTGGCTAACATTGTGAAACTCTGTCTCTACTAAAAGTACAAAAAATTGGCCTGGTGTGGTGGCAGTTGCCTGTAGTCCCAGCTACTCGGGAGGCTGAGGCAGGAGAATGGCGTGAACCCGGGAGGCGGAGCTTGCAGTGAGCCAAGATCACACCACTGCACTCCAGCATAGGCGACAGAGCAAGACTCCGTCTCAAAAAAAAAAAAAAAAAAAGTTATCAGCCTTTATTTCTTCAGATATTTGTTCTGTTCTTCTCTTTCTTCCCTTCTTCTGGGTCTTCCATTCATGTCAAGAGGGCCCTGTTCATTTTTCTTCAGTCTTTTTGTTTTCATTCTTTGGCTTGGATAATTTCTTTCGATACAACTTCAAGTTTACTTATTCTTTTTATTTTTATTTTGAAGCAAGGTCGCACTCTGTCACCTAGGCTATAGTGCAGTGGCACAATCATGGCCTCAACTTCCTGGGCTCAAGCGATCCTCCCACCTCAGCCTCCAGAGTAGCTGAAACCACAGGTGCGCACCACCACACATGGCTAATTTTTTTGGCTTTTTGCTAGAAACAGGGTTTCGCCATGTTGCCCAGAATGGTCTAAACTCCTGACTCAGCCAGTTCGCCCACCTCGACCTCCCAAAGTACTGGGATTACAGGTGTGAGCTACTGCCCCTGGCCTGCCCAGTTTTGTGGTTGGCTTTAGGGAAAAGGATTTGACAACCTCCTTACTTCACCACATCAGAAATTCCACCTATTTTTGAACTGTATAAATAATTTTTTTAATTTTCAAAAAATCAGAAAAGATGAGAAAAAAACTAAGCCTTAAAATTGACCATAAACAGAAACAAGTTAACATAACAATCATGAATAGATTATATAGAAAAGATAATTCCATTAACTTTGGACACAGACTCTTGACTGCAACAAAACCTTGAACTTTACATAGTAGGTTCATTGTTGGTAATGATATTTGTATAGTAATTTTGGAACTCTTGTTTCTTGTAGGATAGAGCAAATTAGTAAAGTGGCTATTCTGAGAACCAGAGTTTTCACTGTGGAGGAATGTGAGGAAGAATCCTGGGTTGTTGGATTTCACTTGTATGTGTTCTTTTGACTCATAAGGGTTTCATTTTGTTTAAGATGTATTTCCTGGGTTTCTTCACTGAAAGGGCCTAAAAGGAGTAATACCCTAGTAACAGTGAACACACTAACACCCAGATCTTTGTTTCTAAACACTATTCCACACTAAAAGAATCCAGGACTCGGCTGAATGGGGTGGCTCATACCTGTAATCTCAGCACCTTGGGAGGCTCTGGTGGGAGGATCACTTGAGCCCAGGAGTTTAAGACCAGCCTAGGCAACATAGTGAGACCCCCCCATCTCTACAAAAAAAAAAAAAAAAAATAGCTAGGCGTGGTGGTGTGCACCTGTGGTCCTAGGTACTGGGGAAGCTGAGGTGGGAGGATTGCTTGAGCCCAGGAGGTTGAGGCTGCAGTGAGCCATGATCTCTTTAGCCTGGGTAGTAAAGCGAGACCCTGACTATAAATAAATAAATAAGTAAAAATTGATCTAGGACTCCTTGGAGATATGGCAAAGTACAGAATACAAAGTACAAAGTACAAAGATATGGAGGTAGGCAAAGTACAGAATACTACACCTGGAATATTATGTAAACCTGCAACAAAGTTCACCCTTGGGAGAATAAACCCAGGTAAAATGCCCATGCAGATCCTGGAAGTGGGCTAGGGAGGCTTGAACTGGAAATCCTAGAGAACTCAGTACCTGGAGCATAGTTTAAAAGGGCCGTATGGGATATGGGTGGGGCCCACCAGAGAGGAGGGCCTTGACAGGAGCCTCTTCTGCCCAGGTCTGAGGGCCAAAAAGCGCTCTACAACACATGAAACCATTTAAGCATTAAGTAACACTCCAAATTTTTTGCAGTGCTTTTATTGTGTTTATAATTTAAAACAATCTGTGAGGCAGAATTGAATTACAAAATCAAAAGCAGTATGTACAGTCTGCATTCAAAGAAAGGTAATGTGGGAAAAGAACTGAAAGGTGGCCCCAGGGAGGAGCTGTGGTTTGTACTAGACTTTGAAAACTACAGAAAATTTGGTGTTAGAGAATTAGGAGGAGGATATGGAAGAGTTATTCCATGGAAGGACATGGGGGACACATAAGCAAACAAATGGAATGAGGGATAAGCATGGTAAGCTCTGAGAGACAATAGTGAGATCAGACTGTCTAGCAGAGAGGACTTGTGTTGCATAGCTTGAGTAGGTTGGAATAGAAGCTTGATGTAGTGTGAACAAGAGATTTCTGAATCTTGATTTTTCTCGTCTGTAAAATGAGTCAAGACCTCCATGCCCACCTCTCAAAATTATCTTGAAAAACAAATGAGCTGATGTATGTGACAGCAGATTTTCAGCAGTGAAGCGCTGTACTGGTATAGGTTGTAATGAATTTTGAATACCATGTTGAGAAGTTTACAGTTGTGGTAGTAACTGTTGAAATAAACTCCGTTCATCAAGAGCATTGGCTGTTTGGGGCTCTCCTTGGCAGTTCCTGTGATGATTTACAATGCAGGATAATGTCACTGTTTCCCCCTAAGTTTTCAGTGATGGAGAAGAAAGTACTGAGTAAACAGCCCTATAAAATTTCTTTGGTTTCCATTTCTATGGAAGTATAATTCAAGATCAGATGTTTCCCTGTGAGGCCTCTCTGGAATGTGTTAAAAGGCATTGTGGAGGTATGTAAGGGTTTTAACCACATTAGAAGCTTCTGTTCATAGAACAGAACCTGGAAAGACTTTCCTCTGATAGTGCTGCAGAATATCAGCACTGCCAGCTCACATATGTGTGAATGCTCCTGGCACCTAGCACGCTAAGGAAGACCTATACACTATCTATCATATCTATCCTTGGATTCCAATAATATTGTACTATATACCTGTCATCCTTTGGAGAAAGAATGTATTCAGCAGAAAAAAACTCCAGTCTTTGTACTGGGATCATCAATTCAGTCTCGGCACAGCTGGGAAATAGTTCAACTTTCTCCTCAAAGTGCTATTTTTAGCTGTTTCCAAGGAGATGTTCAGCATGATACTGATAATTGCATTACTCTTAATTTGCACAATCTGTGGAGAGGGAAGCAGCAGTTCTTTTTCAATGTTTACTACTCAGTGGGCCACTGGGTTGTGATTTATCCGTTGAAACAATAGGATGCCTCACTTAGAATAATTGACCTTAGCTCACACCTGTAATCCCAGAACTTTGGGAGGCCAAGGCAGGTGAATCACTTGAGGCCTGGAGTTCAAGACCAGCCTGGGTAACATGGCAAAACCCCCATCTCTACTAAAAATACAAAAAATTAGCCAGGTGTGGTGGTGCATGCCTGTAAACACAGCTACTCGGGAGGCTGAGGCACAAGAATCACTTGAATCTGGGAGGCAGAGGTTGCAGTGAGCCAAGATCATGCCACTGCACTCCAGACTGGGTGATGGAGTGAGACTCTGTCTCAAAAAAAATAAATAAATAAATAAAAAATAACCTCAGAATTACATTCTGGAGCCTTTCGCTTTGCTACCTCAACTTTCAGTCCTTCAAGTTATAAAGGCAAGATGAGGGCTGGGCACACTGGCTCACACCTATAATCCCAACACACTAGGAGGCTGAGATGAGAAGACTGCTTGAGCCCAGGAGTTCAAGACCAACCTGGCCAACACAGTAAGACCCCATCTCTACTAAAAACAGAAAGAAATTACCTAGGGGCAGTGGTGCTTGCTTATAGTCCCCGCTACTCAAAAGGATTGCTTGAGTCCAGGAGTTCAAGTTTACAGTAAACTCTTATGGTGCCACTGCACTCCAGCCTGGGCAACAGAAGGAGACCTTGTCTCTGAAAATAAAAATAAAGACATGGTAAGTATTTCTCGAGCTGGCTGCTCAGGCCGGCCCGTAGCACTGATTCCTTTCTGTATACTTGAGACGTGGTTTTGCCCATTGGGAACTTGATGTTATAAATTTCCCAAAGAATGATTGGTCTCCTAAAACATGAACACACATACACACGCTTACTTCACAAGAGCCTAATCCGGCAATCTGATTGATTCATCTGTGTTCATAGAATATTCCTAATGAGTTGGCTCTGAAGAGAAGATTATAGATCAGAAAATAGCTTAAGATTTACAGTCAATGCTAAAGAAATTGAAAACTCTTAAAGAGTGGGCATTAAGATCTAGTAACTTGATGATTTAACCCCTCTCTAAAGAATTTGTTTCTTAAATAACTGTTAACTGAATTTGTTATGTTGTCTTGGCTCTCCAACATCCAACACCCCTTCCTATTTGGAGGAATTCTCTTGTGTTGTGATCTTGTTGAGTGGCAGTACCCCATGTCTCTCACTTCATCCTCTGATAACCAAGGCTTGTGATCGATGCTTGGTATATTAGATGCTTCTGACCAAGATCTTAAATCTAGATTGAGTGAAGCAAAGACAATGGAATGGTTAGAGTTGATTTGCTGTCATTGCAGCCCTGTCCTGGCAAGTCTTTCACTAAAAGACATGCATTCTGCTTCTTAACAGAGCCTCCTTGAGTTCTACCTGCTTTCTTTTTTTTTTTTTTTTTTTTTTTTTTTTTTGAGACGGAGTCTCACTCTGTCGCCAGGCTAGAGTGCAGTGGCGCGGCCTTGACTCACTCCAGCCTCCGCCTCCCAGGTTCGAGTGATTCTCCTGCCTCAGACTCCTGAGTAGCTGGGACTACAGGCGCCTGCCACCACACCCAGCTAATTTTTTTTTTTGGGGGGGTATTTTTAGTAGAGACAGGGTTTCACTATGTCGGCCAGGATGGTCTCAATCTCTTGACCTCATGATCTGCCTGCCTCAGCCTCCCAAAGTGCTGGGATTACAGGCGTGAGCCACCACGCCCAGCCAAGTTCTACCTGCTTTCTAAGCCTATTCGTTAAGCCTCTCACTGATTCTGTGAGCACTGATACCTTGCCAGTAAACCTGCCCCCTAAAGTTTTTTGCTTAAGATAGTCTTTTGCTTGCATCCAGTAACCCTAATCAATACAGTAGAGATCATTACAATCTAAGCATCTTTCTTATGGGTAGTACTAGGTAAATATGGCCATATTCTTATATTTTATTTTTTTCTGAATTCCTTTAGAATAGCCCTTCCCTCAGATACGTTATATCTTAAAATGAATTGTTATTTGTACCTGCTGTGTGTCTGGCACATAGTATGTACCATAAAAATTAGATTCACTCTATACTTACCTTTTAGTTTCCTCACTGAGATTCATCAAGTGCTCTGTTTAATCCATAGTGTAATAATAAGACATTTGGGAAATACCCGGTCTCATCAATAGCATATTGACAAATCTTTTCCAGAGAAAGAATGTTTTTATTTTGGTTCCTGTATTAATCCATTTTCACACTGCTATTAAGAATTGCCTGAGAGTGGGTGATTTATAAACAAAAGAGGTTGAATTGACTCACAGTTCCACATGGCTATAGAGGCCTCAGGAAACTTAACAATCATGGCGGAAAGTGAAGAGAAAGCTGATGGTTTTAAAGTGTGGCACTTGAAAACCATCAGTTCTCATGAAAGTGAACTCACTATCATGAGAACAACATGGGGGAACCGTCCCCATGATCCAGGGTCCGTCCCTTGACCCGTGGGGATATTTGGGTAGGAACACAGATCATATCAGTTCCTCATGTTAAAAGGACCAATTGTTTAGGTTCCAGGCTTCTCTTGTGCATGAAATACCCTGCTAACTGTATTTCCTCCCTTTGAAATTACTTAATCAGAATGCTAACTGTATTTCCTCCCTTTGAAATTACTTAATCAGAAGCTTCAAGAAGGAGGAAAGAGCCCAGCACAGTGGTGTGCACCTATAGTCCCATCTACTCAGGAGGCTGAGGCAGAAGGATCACTTGAGTCCAAGAGTTCAAGGTTATAGTGTGTGTTGATCACATCTGTGAATAGACACTGCACTCTAGCCTGGACAACATAGTGAGACCCTATCTCTTTTTTTTTTTTTTTTTTTTTAAGGGACTTTGGTAGATTTTCTGTTTTTGGGGTTTTTTTGTTGTTTTTGTTTTAAAGCACTGTCAAAAGGTGGCAGGCATACAGACTCTTCTGGTTTGGCTTGTGCCAGTTATATTGTTAAGATGTTCCACAAAAAAGTGCACACACTCAGCATGCGTCTACTTTGCTTTGCAGGATAACATTCTCTCAGCCTTTGTGTTTGATGAGTTTTTGGCCATCTATGTGAGTTTCTGAGTTGTTTGAATAAGCTAAGAAAAGACAGACTTATTTATTTAGGTTTCTTCACATTTTCCTATGTTAACCTGCTAACAGTATACTGCCCTAACCCTACAGACTTGGCTTGTACCCACAAATGTGCTCTCCTAGCATACTGTGTCTCCTTCATGACACAAACCATGAAGGGTTCTTATAAGGATTAAAGTACTTATTTCACAGAAAATAATAGCTTATTTATTGAGCCCTTATTTGCTAGTCACTGTATGGGCAGCTTTATGTATATTATGACATTAATCCATTAAACAGTAGTCCATAATACTATTAAAGCTTCATTTTTGAAATGAAGAAACTAAGGCTCAGAAAGATTCTGAAACTTGTCCGAGGCCACATAACTAGTAAGTACTAGAAGCTACAATTTGAATTTACACTGGTATGCACACCAGTGGGTATGTTATTTAGTTTCATTTCTGAGTAAGTAGAAATTAAGTGATACTGTAATTATCATTCCATTGCAAAAGATAGAAACATAGAAAGCAAAGGACATGCCAAGAAGACCTACATTTTTTGTTTTAAACATCAAGAATGCAATTGATAATTAGCCTGATGGTCATGTGTTTTTTTTCCTCTATCACTGTACAAGGTTTTGGTGAAACTGATGCAGTTCTCAAAAGTCAGACTGTTGCCTATTAAATAGACTTGTGCATAAGGAAAGCTCACCTTTTTGTTCACTTATAATAATATTGTGAGAAATTATGTAATTCTCTGATGTCTTTCAGAAAAGAAGAGAAGAGAGCACTAGACTAAAGGAGGAGGGAAATGAACAGTTTAAGAAAGGAGGTAAGACGACTTTCAGCACTGATAATCTGGTCATCTTGACTCCTCATCCTGTTGTAGAGTCTGTGAAGAAACCCCAAAGAACATCTGAAGAAACCCCAAAACCAGACTTCACAATACAGTGTTGCTTCCCAGTACCTTGGCATTTTGAGTTTTTAACCAGGCCAAATTATTCATCTGATGGTGACCAGTTACCATTTGTCTCTTGGCACATGCATAGTCTTTCTGTAATCCACTATCTGTTAGTCTAGAATCAGGGGTAAAACTCTTGAGCTCTTGCTTTGGAAAACACTAACCTGGAATATTAAAGGTTATGTGCTGCATTGCTGTGAAAGCAGAGTCGCCGCTCCTCACTTGCTGTGGGGCTGTGAAAGCAGCCTGACTGCTCTGGTATGGCCTAGGGCTGCCTGTCCTTTGGTTGCTCTTTCTTTCTTTCTTTCTTTTTTTAAATTCTCCAAACTGCTTCAGAAAGGTTGCTCTTTCATGTGCCATTTTCTTTGGATGCCTTAAGTAGGGAGATTCTTCATGTCCTTCTGCATTTTCTACATTTGCTTAGAAATAAGTTGGTGGGGTTCATTCTGATAATTTGGGGTAACTATTTGATCTTAGAGCAAAAGTCTTCTGTCACATCTTAAAGTGTATATGCTTCAGAAATCTAGGAGTGTTAACATTTTCCGCTAGTTATTTTCAGGTTTTTAATTTTTTTCTTATTGTTTTCCAAAAGTTACCCTATTACCTGATTTCAGATTTTAGGGTTTTTTTTTTTTTCCTATATCTTGGTTTAGTAATCATTAATACTGTTTTCTAATAGAATAAACACTTCTAATTTTGGAAGCATATTTTTTGTATGTTAATATTAAATATTTCAAACCTGAGAAAGGAGTACATAGGCAATTTTCTATTAGTATCCTGACCATAATTCTCTTTTTCACCATTTTCTCTTTTAAGGTCTTGATTTAAATATTGATTTTTACATTGTTCCTTTTAGCTCTATCAAATGTCTCTCTTCAAACATTTCACGGATGCTGTTTTAGCCAGGTTGACTGTATGAAAGCACAACAGATTTAATGAAAACAAATATGTATAATTTTTTTCTTTATCTCAGGCCATGGATCCCAGAGTTTAGTCTCTTTCCTCTGTCCAGTTCTGTAACCTCCTTTGAAAACTCCTTTCTGAATTGCCCAGCCAAATGAAAACTGAACATTGAGGGAATGCCAGGACTCCTGAGTATTGAGGGCTTGTCACTGACAGCATGTTCAGCTGTCAGTTCACCAAGCACAGCCTGTGAGATTGGCACAAGCAAGCACTGTTCCTTTAAAGAGAGAAGAAAAGAAGAAATGATTTTTACTGCGCCAGACTTAATAGACTGTTACCATCTTTTAACTCAAAACCTTCATCCTATGAATGGAAAACAGTGCTTCTGAGATCCTGTGGAATATAGTAGTATCAGGAATAAAATCAAAATGACCATTCATCCTTTCTCTTATCCTCAGATTATATAGAAGCTGAAAGTTCTTATAGTCGAGCCCTCGAAATGTGCCCATCCTGCTTCCAAAAGGAGAGGTCGATTCTATTTTCAAATAGAGCTGCAGCAAGGATGAAACAGGTATGTATCTGTGACCTTTTCTTTTTAAAAAGCACATGGACTTGCAGTCTTTTCATACCATAGTTTCTCTCCAGAAACTAGCATAGAGGTTGCTGCCTCCCTTTTCCTGCCCATATATTTCCCTGATGTAAAGGCCACAGGGAGAATAGAAAATCTTTTGAAAAACTTGAGTCAGATTACTGTTAACATTCCCCATTAAAGTAGCTGAGTGAATACTTTCATGGAAGGAGGGCTGGCAAATTTTTTGCTAAACTAGGTCAGGTTAATGAAGCAATGAGCCAAGCAGTGCATGTCCTAGAATAGCTCTAGATCCTTATTTTAGGCCTCTGGAATTCTAGATAAACATGCAAAGGCACAGGGAAACACTGGTAAAAACTCTGGGCTTTAAAGCATCTTTAAAGATGGTTATTCCCAGGATTCTGACTTTTCTGTTCAAAGTATGGACACTTGGAGAAATCTCCAACAGCTGGGATAAAAGGTACCCTTAAATGCAAAATAGGTGTCAAGGAACTTTGAAAACATTTTGTATTTCCAAAGGACTGAGAACCTAGTATAACAAGGTGAGTATGGAATAGGTGAGAGTACAAATATATTTGTTTTATACCATGACCTTATTAAAAGTTAGATTTGGGCCAGATGCAGTGGCTCACACCCGTAAACCCAGCACTATGGGTGGCCGAGGCGGGCACATCACCTGAGATCAGGAGTTCGAGACCAGCCTGGCCAACATGGTCAAACCCCATCTCTACTAAAAATACAAAAATTAGCCAGGCATGGTGGTGGGCACCTGTAATCCCATCTACTCAAGAAGCTGAGGCAGGAGAGTCGCTGAAGCCTGGAGGCAGAGGTTGCAGTGCACTGCACTCTGGCCTGGGCGACAAGAGCAAAACTCTGTCTCAAAAAAAAAGTTAGATTTGTTTCTGATTTGTCTGATTTTCCGATTTAGTCTTCATAATCCTTGGATTGAAATGAGAGTGGTTTTTTTTTTTTTTAAACCATACCACTTTTTAAACTATGGCTACTTACATCCAAAGTACAAAGGATAGGTTATTTAACATACCTTTAAGCAACCATGATGCTGGCTCAAGATTGGAAGTGGCAGTGTTTTCATTTGTTTGTTTAGATCAGATATCTCTTTGATACTGTCTGAAATTCTCAAATGCCTCTACCACAGTCACTTTAGGTGACAAGGTTTTTTTTGTTGTTGTTGTTTTTTTTAAAGGCCCCAGGGCAGGGTTGCGGGGGTGGGTGCTTGAATGCTTGGACATGCAGAAAGGTTACGGTTTTTTTTTTTTACCAGAACTTGTGTAAGATTCAATCTTCAAAGCAGAGTATTTTTGGAGTATTTCATGTGGCATGAGAGAAGAAATAATTTTATAGTATACAAACCAACATTTTGTATTAGAGAAAACAAAACAATTGGTTTAACTTTATTTAAAACAATATTCATTAATGTGTCCCACCAGCAATCAGAATTAACATCTAACAGTTTTTACACTTACCTGGAAAATTCTGATCTTTTAGATTTGCTTCTCCCTTTTGCCACATTTTTAGACTGGACATTGTCATTGTGAAATAGGATCAAGGATGTGCCTTCAGTATCAGAGGAAATGCACCATACCCAGTTGGCTCCTGGGATTTGGGATTCTTTGTTTCTACAGTTGCCCAAGTTATTGATATTTCTAGGTTTGGGCTCACATAAATAGTCTGGTTCTTGAGTTAGGAAAATGTATGGTCTTGTTAGTATTTTGTCTGTCACATCTGAGGAGAACTCAAAAGAGCGTTGCTCTATGATTGTTGCCTGTTCAAAGAATAGTTTTGTTGGTGAAGTTTTCTGTTCTTTTAAGTTGCGTTTCTTTTTTTTTTTTTTTTTTTTTGAGACGGAGTCTCACTCTGTCACCTAGGCTGGAGTGCAGTGGTGTGATCTCGGCTCACTGCAACCTCCGCCTCCCGTGTTCAAGCGATTCTCCTGCCTCAGCCTCCTGAGTAGCTGGGATTACAAGTGCGCGCCACCACGCCAGGCTAATTTTTGTATTTTTAGTAGAGACAGAGTTTCACCATGTTGGTCAAGCTGGTCTCAAACTCCTGACCTCGTGATCCGCCCACCTCAGCTTCCCAAAGTGCTGGGATTACAGGCGTGAGCCGCCGTCCCCGGCCTTAAGTTGCATTTTTAATACTTTATGAAGACTCTAAAATGAGAGACTTGATAACTTCTAGGATTAGTACCCTGACACAATTTAAGGAGCATATTATATTCTAAGTTTTTCAAGGAAATGATGGTTTAACTGCTTTAAGAGGTAAAGATGAAGAATTTCTGAAAGGCAGGTTTGCAAGCTCAGCATCCCTGACTCAGTGCCCCTGGCCACGCTTCACATTTCATATCTGGAGAGAGAAAAGGTAACCTGGAGCTAGGGCAGAGTTTCAGCTCTAGGTCTCGCTAGCTATACAAGAGCAGAGCCCTAAAAGAGTAGGTTCTCTTTTTTTTTTTTTTTTTAACTACTGTCCTTATATATTATATACATTGTTTTATATGTATAGTTAGATTTGTTTGTCCTTATATGCTGTGTACATTTGTTTTGTCACTATATATTATGTATACTGTTTTATATAGATAGATAGCTACCTATATATAAAAATTATGAAAGAATGGTAAAGTTGTGATTTTTTTTTTTTTCCCACACACTCCACTTTGGGGACTACCATTGTAAGCAGCAGACAACACCTGGGTCCTCTGAGGTATTAGTAGACTATGAGCCTCAAACAAAAGTTTCTGCAATAAAATTCCATAATTCCTTGATTTGAGGAGACAGTGGATAAGATGCACTACAGCTTAA
Organism: Homo sapiens; assembly: GCF_000001405.40. Lineage (NCBI taxonomy): Eukaryota > Metazoa > Chordata > Mammalia > Primates > Hominidae > Homo > Homo sapiens. The sequence continues at coordinate 160,039,638 of NC_000005.10, forward strand.
TAATCACTTCTAGGCACACAAAGAATACCATCACAACAGTTGTACACATAAATTGTAAAGATTTATTTCTATTTCAGAAACTGTGAAATTGTGTGTCTTTGACTTATAGAAATGTGATAAGTTGAAAAAATATTGACTTATATAAAGTTATACAGATTACTTACAGGACTTCTTAGAGTTTTTGATATTTGAATTGGTATGCTGAACATTGAAAGAGAAATAAAAAAAGGTCCCAGATGACCCTGAAACCTTTTTTGTTTTGTTTATTGTGGTAAAATACAGATAACATAAAGTTGGCCATTTTAAAGTACAGTCATGAGTCACTTAACAACGGGTATACATTCTGAGAAATGTGTTATTAGGTGATTTCATCATTGTGCAAACATCATAGAGTATACTTACACAAATCTGGATGGTATGGCCTACTACACACCTAAGCTATATGGTATAACCTATTGCTCCTGGGCTACAAACCTGTACAGCATGTTTCTGCACTGAATTACTATAGGCAGTTGGAACACAATGGTAAGTATTTGTGTATCTAAAAAGAAAAGGTGCAGTAAAAATGCAGTATTTTTTAAATGGTGCATCTATATATATAGATACATAAACACACACACATATGTATACACACACACACACACATACATATACCGTGTATGCCATGAATGGATCTTGCAGGACTGGAAATTGCTCTGGGTGAGTCAGTGAGTGAGTGGTGAGTGAATGTGAAGGCCTAGGACATTACACTACTGTAGACTTCATAAATATCTTACATTTAGGCTTCACTAAATTTATTTTTTTAATTTTTCTTTAATAAATTCACCTTGGTTTACTGTGCCTTGTTTTCTTTATAAACTTTTAAATTTTTTTAAACTCTTTTATAATAACAGCCTAAAACATAAACATGTTGTACAACTACAAAAATATTTTCTTTATGTCCTTTTCTCTTCTGAGCTGGGGCAGGGTCTTGCTCTGTTGCCCAGGCTGGAGTGCAATGGCACAGTCATCGCTCACTACAGCCTTGAACTCCTGGACTCATGCGATCCTCCCACCTCAGCCTCTCCAGCAGCTGGGTAGCTGGGACTACAGACCTGCACTACCACTCCCAGCTAATTTTGTTTGGTTTTCTTTTAATTTTTTTTTTTTAATTTTTTTAGAAATGGGGTCTTGTGTTTCACAGATTAGTCTTGAACTCCTGGCCTCAAGTGGTCCTCCTGCTTTAGCCTCCCGAATCACTGGAATTATAGGCGTGAGCTACTGTGCCCAGCTATATCTTTATTCTATATACTTTTTTCTATTAAATAATTTTTTTTTTTTTTACTTTTTAAACTTTTCTGTTGAAAACTAGGATGCAAATACACACAGTAGCCTAGGCCTACACAGGATCAGGAGCATCAGTATCACTGTCTTCCAGCTCCACATCTAGTCCCACTGGAAGGTCCTCAAGAGCGACACATACATGAAACTGTCATCTCCATCTCCTATGATAAAAATGCCCTGTTCTGGAATACTTCCATACTTCCGATAGGACCTGCCTGAGGCTGTTTGACAGTACACTTTTTTTTAGTAGAAGGAGTACACTCTTAACATAATAAAAAGTAGTGTATAGTAAATACATAAACCAATAACAGCCATTTATTATCAAGTATTATGTATGTATTATGCTTTCTTTCTTTTTTTTTTTTTTTTGGAGATAGAGTTACTCTGTTGCCTAGGCTGTAGTACAATGGCGCTGTCTCAGCTCACTGCAACCTCTGCCTCCCGGTTTCAAGCAATTCTCCTGCGTCAGCCTCTTAGGTAGCTGGGATTACAGGTGTGTGCCACCATGCCCAGCTAATTTTTTTGTATTTTTTCTAGAGATGGGGTTTCACCATGTTAGCCAGGCTGGTCTTGAACTCCTGACCTCAGGTGATCCGCCCACCTTGACCTCCCAAAGTGCTGAGATTACAGGCATAAGCCACCATGCCCGGCCTGTGTTATATTTTCACATGACTTGCAGTGCAGTAGGTTTGTTTACCCCAGCATCACACCAACACCTGAGTAGTAGGTTATGCCATGATGTTATGACGGCTACTATGTCATTAGGTGATAGGAATTTTTCAGCTCCGTTATACTCCTATGGGACTACTGTTTTATACACAGTCTATCATTGATTGAAACGTCATTGTACAGTGCATGACTGTATACAATTCTGTGGATTAAAATACCTTCACAGTGTTATACAGCCAACACCACTATCTAGTTCCAGAACTTTTCCATCATCCTAAAAGGATCCTCCACACTCCTGAAACTTTTTTTTTATTTTCTGAGATGGAGTCTTGCTCTGTTGCCCAGGCTTGAGTGCAGTGTCGTGAACTCAACTTACTGCAATCTCCACCTCCTGGTTTCAAGCAATTCTCCTGCCTCAGCCTCCCAAGTAGCTGGGACTACAGGCACCCACCACCACACCCGGCTAATTTTTGTATTCTTAGCAGATACAGGGTTTCACCATGTTGGCCAGGCTGGTCTCGAACTCCTGACCTCTAGTGATCCGCCCACCTTGGTCCTCCAAAATGCTGGGATTACAGGCATGAGCCGCTGCGTCCAGCCCTGAAACTGCTTTTGATTGAATCCTGAAACAGTTTGGCTGTCACTGCTGTGAAATATTCTGCAAAATATTTAGTATTTGCTACAGTAGGCATTGTGAGAATATTGAACACTTATTTGAAATACCTTATTTCTGTAATACAAAAATTCCTAATTTCAGGAAAATGGACATTTTAGACCTGCAAGACATCTTATATAACATCCAGTCTACCCCGCTCCTATTTTAGATGAGACAAACTGAGCCCTAGAGAAGGAAAATAGCATGGGCAATGTTAAAGAGCAGGTTATTGTCAAAGCCAGGACCAGAATTCAGTTCTTTGACATCCAGTGTTCTTTCCGCTATGTCATGCTTCTAGATTCAGAAACTAATTGAGTTAGATATTTTGTTTAAGAGTTGTGTATTTTTGTTTGATCAGTGGATAAATTAAGGTTTATAACTGAGACTACATGACAAGCCACACTGTGTGTCTGTAGGTGGAGCATCTGTATACTTTCTGAAATATACCACTTTGGGGTATGATAGTATAACCACTAGCCAGAGAGGAGGGTAATTCAGTTATTCACATGTCAGTCATTTGCCCTGTTTTAGGTCACAAAGTTTCTCAGTGTCAGCATTCTAATGTAAAGTGTCTTGCAAATGTAATAGGTCAGTTAGAACAAAAGACACTTTCAGAAAAAAGCGACTTGAATAAGTGTTACCAGGAGGCCTTCAGATCAGAGCCATCCCCATCCCCGTGTTAATTTTGAGTTTTGTCTTGGAAGTAACATTCAGGTTTTTACGTAATTTCTTTGAAAACCATTCTGTATCTCCATAAGCAGTTATTAGTGATCAGATCATGTCATTAAGCCTTTGGGCCATTAAGATAAAACTAGGGCAACACATATTAATACTGTTTTTCTTTTTAGGACAAGAAAGAAATGGCCATCAATGACTGCAGCAAAGGTACAGCTTTATTATCTTATTACATGTTAACATACAGGAGCATTATGTCAGACAGAGGGGCTTTGGGTCAGGTGTGCACTTGTACATGTGTACCCTTCCTCTGGGGCCTTGCAAGAGGCAACTTTATAATTATTTTCAAAGATACTATATAATAGAGTAACTGCTTTTGAATGGATAGTTCAATCAGTTTCTCCTCTACTGGTAAATACATGAAGAAAAATTCAGTGCTCTAGCCTGGGCAACATGACAAAACCCTGTCTGTACCAAAAATACGAAAGTTAGGCATATGTGGTGGCATGCCCCTGTAGTCCCAGCTACTCGGGAGGCTGAAGTGGATCACCTGAGCCCAGGAGGTTGGGGCTGTGGTGAGCCGTGATTATGCCACTTACTCCAGCCTGGGTAACAGAGTGACCCTGTCTCCAAAAGAAAAAAGAAAACTTCAGTGCTCTCTTGGCAACAGAACTCATGGAATAGAATTTACCTCCTGTAGTCTCTGAATTACATTCTGTTGAGATTCAAAGTGAAGATCATAGCTGCTATTAGAGCATTTGGATCTGTGTGTTTTGAGAAGGGGGACAACTGTGATGAGGGACAGTTTCTGTTGGTGAATTGATAGTCTTTTCAAGTGTCATAATTCTTCCAAACCTACTTCACATCATTTTTTTTTAACCCTTTCAGATTCTACACAATGAATCAAGCCTTTGCTATATGATATCTAAGTTCTATTAAGGTCTTATCACCCCACTAACTTTTATAGGGACACCTCAGACATAGGGTCACTACAGTTTTTTTGTGTTTTGGGGTTGTTTTGTTTTGTTTTTCAAAAATTGCCTGATAGGCCAGACAGGTGCCTTGCCTTTCTCACCAACTTCATGTGAAGAATGTACATAATCACTTTTTCTTGCGGCTTAGTCTCAGAAGTTTTTCTAGCAAATCACTATTTTTGTGTTTTCTATTTTTTTAGTTTTTCTTCTTTGGATAATAGTTTCTGGGACAATTATAGAGTGCAAGAGAACCTTATATGTTATCTAGATCCCCTGTCACGCTAAGCATATATTCCCCTGCTGTTACCAAAAAGGGGTCCTGATCCAGACCCCAAGAGAGGATTCCTGGACCTCTCACAGGAAATAATTCAGGGCAAGTCCATAAAGTGAAAAAGCAAGTTTATTAGAGAAATAAAGAAACAAAAGAATGGCTACTCCATAGGCAGAGCAGCAATGTGGGCTGCTCAGTAAAGTATACTTACAGTTATTTCTCAATTATATGCTAAGCAAGGGGTGGATTACTCATGAGATTTCCAAGAATGGGGCAGAGATTTCCCAGAACTGAGGGTCCCTCCCCTTTTTAGAATATATAGGGTAACTTCTGAATGTTGCCATGGCATTTGTAAACTATTGTGGTGCTGGTGGGGATGTCTTTTAGCATGTTAATGCATTATAATTTGCATTTAGGGAGCAGTGAGGATGACCAGAGGTCACTTCCATCGCCATCTTGGCTTTGGTGGGCTTTGGCCAGCCTCTTTACTGCATCCTGTTCTGTCAGCAGGGTCTTTGTGACCTGTATCTTGTGCCAACCTCCTGTCTCATCCTGTGACTAAGAATGCCTTAACCTCCTGGGAATGCAGCCCAGTAGGTCTCAGCCTTATTTTACCCAGCCCCTATTCAAGATGGAGCCACTTTGATTCAGATGCCTCTGACACTCTAATTTTTTATTTAATTAATTTGGTGCCCTCTCTACTGGCTTTCTTTTCTTTATATTTGGTATTTCCTTATAGTATCTGAATGAAACTCTTTCTATATTATAATATAGAAGACCACTTCTGATGTGTTACCAAGTTGGACTGGAACTAACTCTGAATGTACTGTTTTGTTTGGAAGAAGTTATTTAACCTATTTCCTTTATGTGAGGATGTGTGGGTTTGGGAAGTTTAAATTAGGAACAAGCTGCTGGTTTTCAAAGCTTCTTTCTCTGTAACCAAATGGTGAAAAAATGCCTTGTAAGCGTGATTAGCATGGTATGTTGTAAGAAATAGTTCATTTCCATATGAAACAGTTTACTTCCAGCTGCAGCCCGAAGTGTAGGAGCCTTGCCTAGAAAATGAGGGAAAGGAGAAGAAAGTGTTTTCCAACCAAAGTGTTTTCCGCATTTGTTTTTGGATTTGCTTAAACTAATATTTATGTGGTTAGACATGGTCATTATGGATACATGCATTGTATTCATAGGCAAATTACATTTATATCAATATGGTTTGTTTGTATTGAGAGCCCCCGACATCCCCCACCCTCCACACACACACACACACACACACACACACACACACACACACACACACACACACACACACATACACACTCTCTCTCTCTCTCTCTCTCTCTCTCTCTCTCCCCCTCCCCTCTCTCAATCTCTCAATTCATAAACCTTGGCAAAGAACTTAGCTTATTTCTGAGGTCATATTGGAGCTCCAGGGTTTTCATCCTTGACATAAAGTTTAAGTTCATTCTCACCTCAGTCTCCTAAGTAGCTGGGACTACAGGTGCACGCCACCACACCCAGCTAACTTTTTTTATTTTTTATTTTTTATTTTATTTTTTGGGACAGAGACTCGCTCTGTTGCCTAGGCTGGAGTGCAGTGGTGCCATCTTGGCTCACTGCAACCTCTGCCTCCCAGGTTCAAGCGACTCTTCTGCCTCAGCCTCCTGAATAGCTGGGACTACGGGCGCATGCCACCATGCCCGGCTAATTTTTGTATTTTTGGTAGAGACAGGGTTTCACCATATTGGCCAGGCTGCTCTCGAACTCCTGACCTCGTGATCTGCCTGCCTCGTCCTCCCAAAGTGCTGAGATTACAGGCATGAGCCACTGCCCCCAGCTCAAGATTAGGGTTCTTTCAGAAAACCTTCTCCTGACCCAATATTCTCCTTCAATTGCTGTACCATTTATCTGATCCCTTTCATTGAAATAATTGTCTATACTTGGCTGTCTCTACTTTGTCTTATCCTATTTTTCTCCTTACTTCACTTCCATGGAGCATTTGTTTTATCCATGCCATTGAAACCCATCTTGTAAAGGTCATCAGCAGTTTCATCTTGCTCAATTTAGTCGTTGCTTCTCTAGCCTAACTTTACTTGACCTTACCTGCATTTAATACAGTTTATCATTCCTTTCTCCTTTAAAATTCTCTCTCTTAAATTTAATGAACTCTATTCATTTTTTCCCTGCTTCATTGGCTATTCCTTCTTATTCTCCTCTGTTAGCTTTTATGTCAACTTCAACATTTTGGAAGTCTCTAGATCTTAGTTGAGCGTGGGACCCTCTTCTTTTTTTTTCCCCTCTGTATTTTCTCCCTAAGTGATCTCATTCAGTTCTGAAGCTTTAAATACTATCTATAAATTAGCACAATGTAGCCATTCCACCTTGTGTGTATATTTCAAAACATGTTATGTTATATTTATGTTTATGTTATATACCATAAATATACACAATTTTTATTTGTCATTTTAAAAGTTAAATTAAGACAGAAGGAAAATGCACGGATTTTTTAACCTAAGAAATTAGAGCAACAGGCCGGGCACAGTGGCTCACGCCTGTAATCCCAACACTTTGGGAGGCTGAGGCTGGTGGATCATGAGGTCAGGAGTTTGAGACCAGCCTGATCATTATGGTGAAACCCTGTCTCTACTAAAAGTACAAAAATTAGCAGGGCATGGCGGCACGTGCCTGTAATCCCAGCTACTCAGGAGGCTGAGGCAGGAGAATCACTTGAACCTGGGAGGTGGAGGTTGCAGTGAGCCGAGATCACGCCATTACACTCCAGCCTGGGTGACAGAGCAAGATTCCGTCTAAAAAAAAGAAATTGGAGCAACAAAAATGCAATTAAGGGAAACAAAAGGAGTATTTTCATAAAGATAAAAGCCAAAATTCATGAATTTTAAAATATAAAACTAATAAATACATGCCATGTGTATGGCAGAGTTTCTGTCTTCAACTCTGACTTCTACCCTGTAGTCTAGTGTCCTGTATCCCACTGCAAAGTTCTTTCTTCTTGGATGTCTGGTAGGCACCTCAGATTTAACGTGCCCAGCCCCCACACACACACAAAACTTGCAGTTAGTTTTTTCCATTCTAATAAATGACATTACCATCTGTCCCCTTGCTTAAGTTAAACCTTTGGAGTCATCCCTGATTGTTCTTTCGTGTCACATGGCTAATTGATTAATTAGCAAGTTCCATGGGCTCAAATTTAAAGACATATTTAATGTAATCCGGCTGCTGTTTTCCATCTCTACTACTTCCAGCTTAGACCAAGCCAACATCTTCTCTCATCTGGACCACTGCATTAGCTTTCCAGCTGATCTCACAGCTTTCAGTCTTGCCCCACCCGCCAACACTACAGCCAAAGCAGTCCTTCAAAAATGTAAATCAGAGTATGTCTGAAGCTTGCTTGAAAACTTTCCAGTGGCTTCTCATCACACTGAGGAAAAAGTCCAAACTCCTTTCCCTGGCCAGGAAGGTCCTCCATGGCCCTACATTTCAGCCTCTGATCCCCAGCCTGATAACTCACATGCCAGAGTTATTCTTGTTGGTCCCTCTTCCTGGCACGCTCCTCCTTAGCCTTTCACATGGCTGGCCTCTCTCACATAGTCCCTCTTCATATTCTGAGACCACTTTCTGAAGTTACCTCATTTCTCGCTTCACTTGTATTTCCATGACCTTGTTTTATTTTTCATTATAGTACTATGGCTATTGAAATTATATACCTGTCTGTTCTTGCCTACTAGAATAGCATAAGGCTTCATGAGAACAAGGACTGTGTCTGTCTTGTTTCCCACTATAGCCCAGAGACATACTACATTGGACGTATATATTAAGTACTAAATAAATGTTCACAGAAAGCATGAATTTAAAAATTAAGGATAGATTATGAGAAAAGAAAAAAGTTCTAGAGCCAAGACATTGCTTTTTTTTTTTTTTTTTTTTTTTTTTTTTTTTTTTTGGGACAGAGTATTATCTCTCTGTTGCCCGGGCTGGAGTACAGTGATGCAATCGCCACTCACTGCACGCAACCTCCGCCTCCTGGGTTCAAGTGATTCTTATGCCTAAACCACCCAAATAGCTGGGATTATAGACCCACACTGCCACGCCCAGCTAATTTTTGTATTTTTAGTAGTGATGGGGTTTCGCCATGTTGGCTAGGCTGACGGTCTCAAAGTCCTGACCCCAATTGACCTGCCTGCCTCGGCCTCCCAAAGTGCTGGGATTATGGGCCTGAGCCACCACACCCGGCCAGCACTGCTTTCTAATAGAAAAAGAAACAACTTGGAAGAAATTAGAAGAAATGCAGTATGTTGAACCAAAACATAGCAAAGGATTATTAGAAGGGCAGCTGATGCTGGATAAAGGAAAAGATATTATGCATCAACCACCTCATAGTGCTGGAGCAGTAGTTTGAGGGTTGAAGGAACAGTGAGGATTTAACTAGAAATATAATCTTAGTACTCAAGACCTAGAAAAAAGAGAATGATAGTCTGCCACCAGATTGGTTTCCCTTAACTCTTTAATTTGTATCTTCAAATTCTCTCTCACCTAGCCTGGCCAACATAATGAAACCCCATCTCTACTAAAAATACAAAAATTAGCCGGGCATGGTGGCGCATGCCTGTAATCCCAGCTACGTGGGAGGCTGAGGTAGGAGAATCGCTTGAACCTGGGAGGAGGTGGTTGTAGTGAGCCAAGATCACACCACTGCACTCCAGCCTGGGTGACAGAGCGAGACTCCGTCTAAAAAAAAAAAATTCTCTCTCACTCTTTCACTGCGCACTTGAACTCTGTTCTGGCCTGTCCTGGACTGGGTAAATGACAAGTAGGCAAAAACCAGGACTTGGAGTATAGACCAGGATATGGCAAACTACAGCCACAAGCCAAATCCAGCCTGCCACCTGTTTTTGATAGCCTAAAAGCTAAGAATGGTTTTTACAGTTTTAAATCATTGGAAAGCAAAATATTTCATGATAATGTGAAAATTATGTGAACTTAAATTTTAGTGTCCATAAATAGTTTATTGGAACACACCTATCCTTTTTTGTTTACATATTATCTGTGCCTGCTCTCGTGCTACAATAGTATCATTGAGGAGCTGCGACACAGATGGTCTGTCTGACCCACAAAGCCTACAATCTTTACTATCTTGCTCTTTATAGAAAAAGTTTTCCAGCATCAGGTATACACTTGGCAAATGACTCTTCCTTTCGTATCCTTGGAGGATGATTGATGAAGGAATCTGATATAGCCAAAGATATGTAGGCCATTTTTCTTTGTGATAAAAATTATTTCTTCTCTTTTTACAGCAATTCAATTAAACCCCAGCTATATCAGGGCAATATTGAGGAGAGCAGAGTTGTATGAGAAGACGGACAAGCTAGATGAAGCCCTGGAAGACTATAAATCTATATTAGAAAAAGATCCATCAATACATCAAGCAAGAGAAGCTTGTATGGTAAAACCTAAAATTTTAAAAATATTTTTCCTTCTATTCTTTGTGTTGCTACCCAGTGAGTCCTAAATAATCCTTTCAGACACAATTAAATTCCATTTCTGTGCTTTTGAGGAGCTTATCAAGATATATGGGAGGCCAGGCGCAGTGGCTCTTGCCTGTAATCCCAGCACTTTAGGAGGCCAAGGAGGAGAGATCACTTGAGGCCAGGAGCTCGAGACCAGCCTGGCCAACACAACAAAACCCCATCTCTTCTAAAAATACAAAAAATTAGCCGGGTGTGGTCGTACACATCTGTAATCCTAGCTACTCGGGAGGCAGGAGAATTGCTTGAACCCAGAAGGCAGAGGTTGCAGTGAGCTGAGATCATGCCACTACACTGCAGCCTGGGCAACAGAGAGGATCATTGAGCCCAGGAGTTGGAGGCTGCAGTGAGCTGTGACTACATCACTGCATTCCATCATGGGCAACAGAGTAAGACTTTGTATCTTAAAAACAAACCAACAGGCTGGGTGCAGTGGCTCACGCCTGTACTCCCAGCACTTTGGGAGGCCGAGGAGGGCGGATCACCTGAGGTCGGGAGTTCGAGACCAGCCTGACCAACATGGAGAAACCCTGTCTCTACTAAAAATACAAAATTAGCTGGGTGTGGTGGCACATGCCTGTAATCCCAGCTACTCGAGAGGCTGAGGCAGGAGAATCGCTTGAACCCAGGAGGTGGAGGTTGCAGTGAGCTGAGATTGCGCCACTGCACTCCAGTCTGGGCGACAGTGTGAGACTCTGTCTTAAAAAAACAAAAAATACAAATGAATTTAAAAAAAAGTTAAAAATACAAATATAGCACTGTAAACATCTGATATGTATCCTTTCAAACTTTTTTCTGTATATATTTATTTGTTAAATTTGTATTGATGCCCTCCTTTAGTGTAGACTTTCTATTAAGAACTGGAAACAGAGCCAAACAAAACTTTTTTTTTTTTTTTTTTTTGAGAAAGGGTCTCTGACTCCCAGGCTGGAGAGCAGTGGCACAGTCATGGCATACTGCACCCTCAACCTCCCAGATTCAAGCAACCCTCCCACCTCAGCCTCCTGAGTAGCTGCGACTACAGACACATGCCAACACACCCAGCTAATTTTTGTATTTCTTGTAGAGACAGCATTTTGCCATGTTGCCCAAGGTGGTCTCAAACTCCTGAGCTCAAGCGATCCTCCCAACTCGGCCTCCAAAAGTGCTGGGAATATGGGCAGGAGTCACTGCACCTGGCCCAAACAGAACTTTTGTCTTTATGTAGCGCACCACAAACATAAATACTTGGGGTTTTTTTTTTTTATTTAATAGGATCATAGACATACTTAACTTGATCTTATTTCCACATTAGGATTCTTGTGTTTCTCAAATTCAAAATAAAGGGAAAGGTTTTGGTTTTTTTTTTTTTTTTACCAACCCTTGTTTCTCCTCTTTTCCTCAGAGATTACCTAAGCAAATTGAAGAACGTAATGAAAGACTAAAAGAAGAGATGTTAGGTAAGCTTACTTCTTACTTTGCTTGATCATAAACAGCTAGGAACCTAGGGTGGGGACATAGCGAATACTAGAGGAGAACACATGAGTTAGAAAGTTTCGGACTCTACCACAAGGCTACTGACTTCTGAGTTATTTTGACCCCAGAAGGGGCAGCGTGGCTTAGAGAGGGTATTGGCTTTTTTTGGAAACCAGATTTCCTTTTTGATTTTCTTGGAAATTTTTCTTGCCTGCAAGAATTTAAGCATAATTCAGTTCCCTGGGATTATGCTTAAATGGGATTTAAAATCCTAGGATACCACCAACCTCGATTTCAGATAACAATTACATAAAAACAGTTTAGTTTCTTCATTGAATAATCATTCCTTGAGGTTCATTAGGATGCAGTCAAGATCATGAGAATTTTTATTTAGAAAATGGCACTCAAAGTCCCTTTAGTGTTTGAGAACACACGAGAGGGCAGGAATTAGGAGTAAAGAGAAATCAGACTGGGGGTAGGGGTAGGGCAAATGGATTCATTTGATCCATGTTTAGTTATTTCTCATATTTGCCAAAGCATTTTAGAGTTGGAACCTCCCACGAGCAATCTGCTTAAGTAAGAGGAGTGAGGGTTCCTGAACACAGACTTAAGTCTTTTCCACATGTAACCTGTCTGATATTTCGCTGGTGAAGATCTGCCATGTATTTTCCTTTTTGAGTATTTTCTAAATCTGTTGTTTGAATTACATTTTATAAACTGCAATCATGTGGCCCTAAAGGAAAAATCATTTAAAATAAATTGAGCCTGTCTGGCATTTATGGCCTTCAGACATCAGCATCCAGACAATGGGAACAAATTTCCCAAAGGATCATTCTGATAGCCAAGTTGATTGAGAGGAGGCCATTAACCTAGACTATCCAGAGACTTTGGCCCCTGCCGGGTAGACTCAGACTGTAAAGACGGCTGCTTCCGATTCAGGATAGCTCTGGAGCCTTCCCCAGATTTTCCAAAAAAGGGAGGGGGATGGGGGAGCTTTTCCCCTAATTTACATATTTAATTAAACTTGGCCAGGCACGGTGGCTCCTGTAATCCCAGCACTTTAGGAGGCCAAGGTAGGAGGATTGCTTGAGCCCAGGAGTTCAAGGCCAGCCTAGGCAACATGGTGAAACCCCATCTCCACAAAAAATTAGTCAGGCATGGTGGCATGTGCCTGCCCATAGTCCCAGCTACATGGGAGGATCACTTGAGCCCAAGGGTTAGAGGCTGCAGTGAGCTATGATGGTGCCACCACACTCCAGACTGGGCAACAGAGCATGACCCTGTCTCAAAGAAGAGGGAAAAGAGCATTTTCTCACCTATTTTTACTAACAATGATGCTCTATTTTAGCAAAAAAAAAAAAAAAAAAAAAAAAAACTGTTTGCATTTAGTATTTGAATTTCTTGCTAAAAAAGATGACCTTGTGAATGGCCATAGTGGATCTGGAAGGCATTGGTCTCTTAGTCCATTTTTTTAAAGCCAGTCCAGTAAAGGGACTGGTGCAAACTGAATCTTACTGCCTATTGTTAGTTCCAGATGGAATTAAAACTTCCATTTGTCCTTGTCTTTATAAATTCTAATGCACCAGAATTTTCTGTCTCCAAGGCTTTGGGTTTTTCTTATGTCATTCTCTTCATTTGAAAAAATTCAAATTGAATTCATTCCCTCGGTTGCTTCTAAAATGAATTCACCTGCCATTAGACTTAACCAACTTAAGTTGCTTTGTAAATAATATGTGTTGTTACACATGTGTAGTTTGAATGGCTAGATTCCTTTTTTCCCTTAATGAGTATAAAAATCATGAATAAGATACTGCTCTAGGTGTTACCCCACAATAGATAACCTAGAAGAGAGAAATCACTCTTTACATGGAATTTCAGCCCCCACAAGAGCTTTTCTGGTATTCCTTCCTCCTTGTTGCTGATGAGGTAACTTTGGTTCATGTTCTGTGAGATTCCCTAGAGGCTAGACATTCTGAATGCAAATTAATATCACTTAGAAGTTCTGAGCAAGCTTTTCACAGTGGACTGCATCATCTTTATGCTAGTTCCTGTTAAAATGATGGCTTCTATGGAGAATAAGCAGTTAAAAATTTTTTAAATTGGGTAGTGTGGGCTGGGTGTGGTGGCTCACACCTGTAATCCCAGCAATTTGGGAGGCTGAGCCCGAGTTCAAGACCAGCCTGGGCAACATGGCAAAATCCTGTCACTAAAAAAATTAGCCAGGTGTGCTGGTGTGCACCTGTAGTCCCAGCTACTTAGGAGGCTGCTGTGGGAGGATCACTTGAGCCCAGGAGATCGAGACTTCAGTGAGCCACAATGATGCCACTGCACTCAAGCCTGGGTGACAGAGTGAGACCTTGTCTTTAAAAAAAAAGAAAATTATAAAATCAGGTAGTGTGATGCCTATGCCTGTAGCTTTTGTTCTTTTTATTCAGGATCACTTTAGCTTTCAGAGTCTTTTGTGGTTCCATACAAATTTTAGGATTTTTCTATTTCTGTGAAGAATGTCATTGGTGTTTTGACAGGGATTACATTGAATCTGTGGATCACCTTGAGTAGTACAAAATGGGTTTTTATTTAGATGTGTTCAGTATTCTTTAACTTGTTTTTTCTTCCATCTCTGTAATTTCCTTTTCATTAGAAAGAAGAGCTATGTACTCCTTGAGGGAAAAAATCCTGATAGGAATTATTAGTGGGTAGAACAATTATTTGCTTTGCCCTTTCTAGCCCATCATTTATAATCTTTAGAACAAGAGACCCAGGGTGGCCATTAGTCCTAGTGGCACAGTCCTTGCTGATCACAGAAGATGATCGTGATAGCATCAAGACGATCACTTGAGGAAAGTGGTCAGCAGCTGGAGTGGGGGTTGGTTGTTTTTGTTTGTTTGTTTGTTTGTTTGGTCCTTTTCTCTGGGATAATTAGCCTCCCAGCCATAATAACCAAGGAATGTAAGGTTTAAAAGGACTTAAGGGTATGTGTGGTTGATAGTGTGATGAGATGGAAATAGAGACCCTGGACATAGCATCCCAGGAGGCTCAGAGCATTTTTGAGGAGCTAGTCATTGATGCTTTATTTGCTTTCTCTCTAATGGAATGATTTCACAGTTTTCTTAAATAGCTGGGAAAAAAGTTGGCTGGGTACAGTAGCTCATGCCTGTAATCCTAACATTTTGGGAGGCCAAGGTGGGAGGATTGCTTGAGCCCAGCAGTTCGAGACCAGCCTGGGCAACATGGCAAGACCCCCATCTCTGCAAAATCTTTAAAAATTAGCCAGGCGTGGTAGCACAAGACTGTGGTCCCAGCTACTTGGGAGGCTGAGGTGGATTGCCTTAGTCCAGGAGGTCAAGTTTGCAGTGTTACGATGGTACCAGCCTGGGCAACAGAGCCAAGACCCTGTCTCAAAAACAAAAAAAGAAAGAAAAAAGAAAAGAAAAATCTCATGTGAAACCACAATATAGAAAAAAAAAAAGTAGCGTTTTATATAAATTCAAATGTACGGTATAGCATTTATAATCAGAATAATCAGGTTAGTTTGAGGAACATAAAGATTTGAAGTCAGGTTTCATATGGCAGACACGGCCTTTATGAGTATATCTAAGCCTTTATGGGTATATTTCATTGTTTCAATTTTACAGTAGTAAATTTTTGCTCACATAGGTAAATAGGAAAAAAAACATTTAAAAGTAAAACTGACGAGACACTTTCAGCTACCCTGAAGCTCCTCTGCTCAACTGTAAGATACTTAGGACAAACTCCCAGGGTTACTGCTCTGCCCTCAGGAGTCCCTTGAGAAGTGTGGCTGTGTCACCTTATGGGAGGAGTGCCTTCCTGGGGGTTGGTTCTTTGCACATGAGTCATTATTTATGGCAGCCATGCTGGGAGGGCAAGAGGTTTGTACTGGGATGATGATACAGGTCTCCAAACAAGCTTTGATTCCAGATAGAAAAGAATATAGGGTAAAGACATCTGTCATCATTTGCAAGTTATTTTATCCCGTATGCTGGCCCAGCCAAGAAGTCTTTCAAGCAAGTGAAATTGTCAATAAAATCTGTATGTATATATTTTTGGTTCTTCCTTGATCTGTCATCTCAGCTTATTGAACTATAAGGTAGCAGATAGAGTCATCTACTTTCTCCAAAAAGTAACCTAGGCTGCATGGGCTACTTTTCACATTGTCTAACGGGGAAGCCCTACCCAGGCAGCTTTAGCCCTCTAATCACTAGAGATGGGTGTTTACAATTCATTTTTTAATATAAGCTCTCTCATCAAGATTCTAATCACCAGTTGCAAAGCAAGTTAACCTTTTGGAGCTGCATCTCAGATATGGTGCCCAGAACATCAGCACCTGAGAACCTGCCAAAACCATGCCAAAAGGCATGATATCAGGCCCTACCCCAGACCTACTGAATCAGAGATTTAAGATGGAGCTCAGCAATCTAAGTTTTAACCTCTCAAGTGTTTCTGATGCACACTCAACTTTAATGACCCTGATGAGTTGAGAGACGGAGTATAGAGGCAGCTCAGGTGAGGGGTTAGAGGCCAGAGGAGGGCATGGCTAAGAGGGGCGTTCAGCTCTGCTCTGAGAGACACCTCCTGAGCAAAAGCAGCCATGGCACTGAGTTTTATCTTTTCTTCTTTGTGTTGTAGCTGCAGCAGAGAAAAACTAGAAAGCAAATATTTCAGAATGTGTGGTCTTCCAATTCACTAGAGTTCAGATCTCAGCTCTCTATTTGGACAAGTTGCCACTGGAGGAATAGAGTCAGTTACATTACTACTTACTGGGTGTGCAGGGGATAACAAGCTTCCCTTGCCCCAGGTGCTGGGTAGGGACTAGGTCCCAGAACACAAGTATGGCTTGTATTCTGACCATTCCATGCTCTTCCTAACTTAACCAAGAGCTGCCAGGTGCCTATCCCTACCTTGACCTAGAGCAGTTACTTGAAACTTATCTACTTCCCTCAAAGAAACCATAACACAAAGACAGGGCATTGCCCCAGTAATCCACCTTCCTTTCACCAGCACCTGCTGCTGCTCCCTGCCCTGGCCACTCTGGCACACATGTGGGCCTTGTTCATAATCCAACCCAGGTTTTCCACTCATACCTTCACTTTCTAGGAACATATTCCTGGTGTCCTGATTCTTAAAGTCACTCAGTTGTTCACTCCTGGCCACTAGCAATCTGATGAGGGCACATTGTGAGCTGAATTAAGAATACCATCTGGAGCTTGGCATGGTGGTCATGCCTATAATCCTGGCACATTGGGAGGCCTATGTAAGAAGATCACTTGAGCCTGGGAGGTCAAGACTGCAGTTGAAGAGTTCAAGACCAGCCTAGGCAGCATAGCAAGACCCTGTCTCTACAAAAAAATAAAAAATTAGCCCGGCATGTGGCATGTGCCTGTAGTCTCAGCCACTTGGGAGGCTAAGGTGGGAGGATTGCTTGAGCCCAGGAGATCAAAGCTGCAGTGAGCTGTGATGGCACCACTTCATGCCAGTCTGGGCAACAGAGTGAAACCCTGTCTCAAAAGCAAAATATATATATATATCATCTTGTATGAGTGCCATATTAAAGAGCTATATATGGAGATAGAATTAACATGTCATTGCCAAGTTCAGCATATTCTTCTGGCTATACCTGGACATTGTGTGCTTTTCTGCTTTGCAAGTAGTAGAAGGTCCTAGAATCAGCTTCCTCACTGAGGCTTACAAGAAAGATTGACTTGTTACCACCCCTCTTAAAGCTGCTGAAGCCATACATGTAGGTACAGAAACCCAGTCTTTTTTTTTTTCCACATTTCTCTTCATACTATTCTGCCTGATATCTGTCATTACAGACTGTACACTTGCAGGATTTTGCACTCTGGCCACATGGCACAAGAAACCAATTCCTTGTTGTGGTTGGTTGTTCCCTCAGTAGAGAATATCAGTAGCTTTTCAGTGCTTTGCTTTTGTCTTCATTTCCTAATTGCTATCCTGAGGCTTCTCTTAGGAGAATAGTTCCCACTTCTTTGAAAGTTCTTGGTAAGGCTTCTTTCAGCCCTCGAATTTACCCAAGGTCAAATACAGGCGTACCTCAGAGATGTTGCAGGTTCAGTTCCAGACCAGCACAATAAAGCGAGTCACAAGAATTTTTTGTTTCCCAGTGCATACAGAAGTTATGTTTATATAATACTGTAGTCTACTAAGTATGCAACAGCACTGTGTCTAAAAAAAAAAAATGTACATACCTTAATTTTAAAATACATTATTAAAAAATGCTGACGATGAGCCCAGCCTTTAGGGAGTTGTAATCATTTTGCTGCTGGAGGGCCTTGCCTCCACGTGGATGGTTGCTGACTGATCAGGTTGGTAGTTGCTAAACATTGGGGTGTCTGTGGCAGTATCTTTAAATAAGATAGCAAGGAAGTTTGCCACATCAGTTGATTTTTCCTTTCATGAAAGATTTCTCAGTAGCATGCAGTGCTGTTTGATAGCATTTTACCCACAATAGTTCTTCCAGTATTGGACTCAGTCCTCTCAAACCCTGCTGCTGCTTTATCAGCTAAGGTTATGTAATATTTGGGGGTTTGTGCGTGTGTGTGTGTGTGTGACACAGAGCCTCATTCTGTCGCCAGGCTGGAGTGCAGTGGCACAATCTTGGCTCACTGCAACCCCGCCTCCTGGGTTCAAACAATTCTTCTGCCTCAGCCTCCCAAGTAGCTGGGATTACAGGTGTATGCCACCACACCCAGCTAATTTTTCTATTTTTGTAGAGATGGGTTTTCACCATGTTGGCCAGGCTGGTCTCGAACTCCTGAACTCAGGTGATTGGCCTGCCTCAGCCTCCCAAAGTGCTGGGATTATAGGCGTGAGCCACTGTGCCCGGCCAGTTTATGTAATATTCTAAATCCTTTGTTGTCACTTCAACAATGTTCACAACATCTTCACCAGGAGGAGATTCCATCTCAAGAAACCACTTTTTTTGCTCATCCACAGCAAGCAACTCCTCATTCGAGTTGTATCATGAAATTGTAGCAATTTAGTCACATCTTCAAGCGCCACTCGAATTCTAGTTACCTTGTTATTGTCACCACATCTGCAGCAACTTCCTCCACTGAAGTCTTCACCCCCTCAAAGTCATCCATGAGGGTTGAAATCAACTTCTTTTAAACTCCTGTTAATGTTGGTATTTTGACCATCTCAGCAGCCATAGCCATATGAAGTGTATTTCTTTTTTTTTTTTTTTTTTTGAGACGGAGTCTCGCTGTGTCGCCCAGGCTGGAGTGCAGTGGTGCGATCTCGGCTCAGTGCAAGCTCCGCCTCCTGGGTTCACGCCATTCTCCTGCCTCAGCCTCCTGAGTAGCTGGGACTACAGGTGCCCACCACCAAGCCCGGCTAATTTTTTGTATTTTTTAGTAGAGACAGGGTTTCACCGTGGTAGCCAGGATGGTCTTGATCTCCTGACCTCGTGATCCACCCACCTCAGCCTCCCAAAGTGCTGGGATTACAGGCGTGAGCCACCGCGCCTGGCCAATGAAGTGTATTTCTTAAATAATAAGACTATAAAGTCAAAATTACTCCTTGATCTGTGGGCTGTAAAATGGATGTTGTGTTAGGAGGTTTGAAAACAACTTTAATCTCCTTGTTCATCTCAGAGCTCCTCAGTGACCAGGCACATTGTCAGTGAGCAGCAATTTTTTGAAAGGAATCTTCTTTTCTGAACAGTAGGTCTCAACAATAGGCTTAAAATGCTCAGTAAATTATTCTATAAATAGATGTGCTGTCATCCAGGCTATGTTGTTCCATTTCTAGAGCACAGGCAGAGTAGATTTAGCATCATTCTTAAGGGCCCTAAGATTTTTGGAATGGTAAATGAGCACTGGCCTCAACTTAAAGTCACCAGCTGTATTATCGCCTAACAAGAGAGTCAGCCTATCCTTTGAAGCCAGGCATTGAATTATTCTTTCCTGTTGCTTTGAAAGTCCTATACGGCATCTTCTTTCAATATAGTGCTGTTTTCATCTACACTAAAAACATGCTTAGTGTAGCCACCTTCATCAGTGATCTTAGCTAGATCTTCTGAATAACTTTTTGCAGCTTCTATGTCAGCCTTTGCTGCTTCACTTTGCACGTTTATGTTATGGAGATGGCTTCTTTCCTTAAAGCAGTTTCCTCACTCAACCTTGGTAGGATTGAAGAAAGTTAGGGCCTTGCTGTGGTAATCCAAGGCTTTGGCTTAAGGGAATGTTGTGGCTGGTTTGATCTTCTATCCAGACACCTAGAACTTTCTCCATATAAGCAATAAGGCTGTTTTGCTTTCTTATTCATGTGTTCATTGAAGTAGCACTTTTAATTTTGTTAAAGTCTGGCTCTTCCCTTTACTTGAACACTTAAAGGTCATTACAGGATTATTAATTGACCTAATTTCAATATTGTTGTGGCTTAGGGAAGAGGGAAGCCTGAGGAGAGGGAGAGATACAAGGGAATGGCTGGTCAGAGGAGCAGTCAGAACATGCACCGCACTTACCATTTCAGTTAGCTGTCTTATGCGGGTGCAGTTCATGGCACCCCAAAATAATTAAATAGTAACCTCACAGATCATTGATTACAGATCACCATAACAGGTATAAGAATAGTGAAAAGGTTTGAAATATTATGAGAATTACCAAAATATGAAAGAGACATGAAATGAGCACGTGCTATTGGAAAAATTGTGCTGACAAACTTGCTCAATGCAGGATTACCACACATCTTCAATTTGTAAAAAACACAATATCTGTAAAGCACAAAAAGCACAGCACAACAAAATAAAGTCTGCCTGTATAAGAATTTCAACTGGGCATGAATTTTATCCTTTCTATGCTGGGCTCTCTTGATTTGCCTTTTGCTCGGAGAAAAGCTAGAGTTAGCTGCATGCCTTAGTTTCCTGCCTCACAGGAGGAAATGTGGTATTAGGATTTAGTTGTATGCAATTTGTTTCATCTGAACAGAGGAGAAAGTCCCAAAGGAGCCATTCCATCGAATCCATGCCCGAGTGATCTTAAGGAGATGAAAACACAGCATTCCTGGTTATGCTCAGGGTAAACTGCCTGATGCACAGTCAGTATCTCCAAAGAGAAATTATGTATAACAAATCAATTGGGTTATGGTGATATGCTACTTGGCAGAGAAATTAATATTTATCAACTGAACCCAGTGGCAAGCACTCGGATCCCTGTCTCTAAACATTCTGGTCTAAGCACGAGTAGTTCTGTACTCTTCTCTTTGCCATGGGATCTAGTCTGATAGACGAGATCCTAATAGTTCAGGACATGTGGACATATTCAGGCTGAGTGATGGTGCCACCTGTGCTGTAGGTGGAAACAAGGAAACCTCATTGATTACTGTCCAGATAGGGAAGACAGAATTTGACAGCCAGTGGAAAGTGTGGCAGATAGGCTAGTTTGGCACATGATCCTATTTGGATACAAGGAAGCTGCTTTAGCCTCTGAGCACCCAACCTGACTCTAAACAGCAGGCAGAAAAACGTATGCATGTGCATATATTTAGGAGACTGAGCTCTCCTGAAGGCTGTTGCTTCTCTGTCATCGGCACAAACAGCAAAAGGTAAATTTTTCAGTCACCAAAAACTTGTTGATTCTACCATACTGTTTTGCCCTGTTCTTTGTGTTCCACTGACCACACTCTGGCTTCAGAGCCCATCTACCCAAGCATTGTAGAAATTTTAATGTTTGTTCAGTGAATAAATGGGCTCTTTCCCACAATGTGGGACTAACTTTCTGTCAGAACCACCCCCAGGGTCTCCCCTTCTGGTTCATTCTTCATTTTGCCACAGGATTACTAACCCTGAAAACTCAGTTCTCAAGCTGTCAGTGGCCTCCTGTGGCACGGGAACCGTAGGCTGACGGGCCTGGCTCAGGACAGCCTGGCAGGAGGCACCTGCCTGCCCCGCTTCAGCCCCATTGGACACACAGCTCGCCTGCCTATCTCTGTGCATTGGCTCACGCTGTTTGGGCTTGCACGGACAGCACCTCTGTCTCATATGGTTGCAGTCCTATGGCCTTTGGTGCCTGGTTCAAGTGTAAACTCTTAGACAAAGATAGACCAAATCTCTTCTTTCCTCCACCCCTTTCCTGTCTTCCTGCCCCAGCCAAAGGAATCTTCCCCTTCCTGACTCTCGTAGCATTTTATAACTCAGCTACATATGAATTTGGTTTTGTGTGTATGTCTTTTCTTCCTTGTCAAATTCTAAGCTTGTTTTGGTGTATAGACCATGTCATGTATCTTTGCATCTCTACCACACATAGCAAGGTGCCACACACATGTAATTAGTACATGTTGGTTGAATTAATCTATGTCAGGTGACCTTAGGTCTTCTCTAACGCAGAGACTATTTATTTGTGTGCCTTTTATTATGTGTCTACTACCTGCCAGGTATTATATATATGTAATCTCATTTAGAAAGCAGAATTTCGCATTTTCTTTTTTTTTTTCCCCCTTAAGTGATGGTCGGTGAAACTAATGTGAAATGTTATAAAGGCAGAGATACTGGAATTGAAGGAAAAAGAATAATTATCTATGTGTTAGTTTGGGTCATCCAAAAAACAGATGCCAAGATAGGATTAAAAGTACAAGAGATTTACTGGGGGAAACACCTGCAAGGGAAAATGGGGCTGGGAGCTGGAGGCTGTTGGCAGAGTTGGCAGACCCCTGTGGAGGAGGAAAGGCCGGGGGAGCGGGGAAGTTTTCCACTGGAGTGTGGTGCTGAGAAAGTTTCAGCAAAGCCATTGGGGAGCCAGTGCTGCCCCTCAGACGAGTCCCTCCCATGCTCAGGCATTGGCTGGAAGCAGCAGGTGGGAAGGGTGGCCTCTGCATGAATGTGCTGATGGATTTTAGAGTGCAGCCACTCTGTCCCCTGCATTTGGAGAAATACATCTTCATGACTGCCACACCATAGAATCAACCAAGCTAAAAGTTCAAAGGTGGCTTGTGGCACACAGGCCCTTTAGCCAGTTAGGCAAAACGAGGGCCTGGGAAAGAGAATTCTTCCTCTCGTCGGCAGTTTGAATATTTGCAGTCTTAGCTTGGAATGGTCTTTCTGCACTAGAGGGAAACCTCCTTTAGTGCAGACCAGCCTAAAGCCAAGCCATTGCTGCCTGAGGAAGCTGCCATCTCTGGAGCACGGTGACATGCCACCACCCTGGACCTATTCCCATCCCCCGGAGCACTGTGGCATGTAGCCTCTTCGTGCCACTGCAAGGTCAGAAAGCACCTCTGGGCACACCTCCGTCTTTTGGGTCTGCCTCCCCACTAGACTGAGCATTGTGCATAGAAGCTACTTTTATTCTTTACATCCCAGTGGCTTACATGATAGATGCCAAGTAAAATTTCCAGTTTGTACTTTAAATTGTTTTTCTGGCACTGGAGATGGGCTTGCAGTGATCCCTCCATCCATGTAATGGCCCTGGGCTCAGTGGACCATCCAGAGTAGGCTTCTCCACCATGGAGCTGCCCCTCCTCAGGAGTCTGATGTGAGTGGCTCTTGATACTCATTCTCACTTCACTCACTCCATATCACAAGAGCCAAGGATTTCCCAGTACCAACATTTTCTTGGGCTGCTTTTGATGGTTTTTTTTTTCCCCCTTCCTGTCCTCTTTTTCCAACCCCAGAACAAACTGCCAGCGTTCCTGGTTGGTGTTGCTAACTCAGGTCACCCTGAGGCTGCCCTGTCTTTCTCTTGCTTGTTGTGAGCCCCTCCCTCTACGCCCATGTGCCCGAGGCTGTGCCGCTGCCTTGTGCAGGCACCCAGGGTTTATGCCAGTGATTTCCTGACACAAGCAGCAGCACAGAACGTGTGTGTCCCAGGTTTAGGTTTGGGAGGCCTGCCTGGAGAACAGCCATCCCAGGTTCTGGGAGCTTTCTCAATTTACTGTTTTATCCAAAGATGGGTTGGCCTTTCTCTGGACATAGTGAGCTTCCTTGGGCTAGTTCTTAAGCCTGAGACTAAAAGTTCTCACCATGAGTTATTAGGGAGGCCTGTAAAATGTAAAGGCCATGCGTTTTTTTTGCTCTGTTACCCAGGCTGGAGTGCAATGGTATGATCATGGCTCACTGCAGCCCTGAACTCCTTGGGCTCAAGCAATCCTCCTAACTCAGCCTCTGCATAGCTGTGACAACAGGTGTGTGCCACCACACCTAGCTAATTTTTAAATTTTTGTAGATACAGGGTCTCCCTATGTTGCCCAGGCTGGTCTCAAACTCCTAGGCTCACATGATCCTCCTGCCTCAGCCTCCCAAAGTGCTGGGATTACAGGTGTGAGCCACTGCACCCAGCCAAGGCCATGCACCTTTAAGTTCTTTACCTGGGCTTTACTCTAAGATGGGAGGCCTCAGAGTGAGAAAAGCTGCTAAGAAGTGGGAAGGAGCCTGTACCTCTGGTGATTAGGGATTTCTCTTTTCGTCCACCCCCATTCTCACCTCCACTGGAAGTAGACCTGTAAGAAAAATTAAAGCAGTTTAGAAAGGGTTGAAACTGTTTATTCACCCATCCCTGCCAAAATTTTCTGGAACATTCCTAGTTTCAGATGTTCCTTATATCTTAAAACAGCATAAGAACTGTTTTTTGTTTTTAAAAAAAAAATTTGTAGAGATAGAGTCTCACTGCGTTGCTCGGGCTGGTCTTGAACTCCTGGGCTCAAACCCTCCTCTTGCCTCAGCTTCCCAAAGTGCTGGGAATACAGGCATGAGTCACCATGCTTGGCAAGAACCGCTGGCTATAGACCATGACTTTTTTTTTTTTTTTTTTTTGAGACGGAGTCTCACTCTGTCACCCAGGCTGGAGTGCAGTGGCGCAATCTCAGCTCACTGCAACCTCTGCCTCCCAGGTGCAAACGATTGTCCTGCCTCAGCCTCCCTAGTAGCTGGGACTGTAGGCGTATGCCACCACCCTCAGCTGATTTTTGTATTTTTTGTAGAGATAGGGTTTCATCATGTTGGCCAGGCTGGTCTCGAACTCCTGACCTCAGGTGATCCACCCATCTCGGCCTCCCAAAGTGCTGGGATTACAGGCGTGAGCCACCACGCCCATCCTATATACCTCACCCAAGTCGTGTAAATAAAGCCTGAAACTTGGGAAGAGGAGGCTGGACTATTGAGGTCTTATTGAGGTTGCTGTGCAAATCAAGATGATCCCATTTCTAAGAAATGGCTAGTCTGGTATAGAAGCTAAGGATTTGTTTAGGAAAGCAGGAAGCTCTTGAATATGAATCCAAGCTCAGTGGAAATGGGCTGAGTTGAATTACATTTAGCAGGTGGCTGCTGCCGTTCTAGAGAGAAGAGACTTGGAGGGACCTCTGCCCTCACTACCAGGCAGACCTGGCTTGGCAGGGTGCCTTGAGCCTCACTGGAACAGCAGTTGGTTTTCCCAGAACTCACCCCAGAAGCCTGTGTCCTCTGATAGCACTGGCCAGTTAGGACAGGAGGCTTTGATTCCCAGAGAGAGCCAGCAGGACTCCACTCTCATCTATGCAAGCACAGGCTGAGGGTGGATGGCATTAAAGTGACTGCACTGCTGAGTGGGGAATAGGGGCTGGGAACTCTCCTGGAAGCTTTCATCATATTAAAAGTAGGCATTTCTTTAACTGCAAAGAGATACTTTTATATTTTGTACTCAGTGGTAAGGCAAGATTAATTGGTACCTTCCTGCTTCTGTTCATTCCTGTATTCATTTGAGTTTTTGCTTTTACATTACAGGTAAATTAAAAGATCTTGGGAACTTGGTTCTCCGACCTTTTGGGCTCTCCACGGAAAATTTCCAGATCAAACAGGATTCCTCTACCGGCTCGTACTCCATCAATTTCGTTCAAAATCCAAATAATAACAGATAACAAAGATAACAAAAGCTTTACAAGCTGACTTGGAATTGTGTGCTGCTTGCTGTTAGCTAGGGGAAAGGCCCTGCCAATGTTTAACTTTTAAAAGCATCTTATCTAAAAGAAAGGCTATCCAGTAGAGCCCAGTGCTCCCTTGTCCCTCTTTTATGATCAGGGTGAAATGTACTTCCTGATGTAATGAACCTAATTTGATTTCCATTTTAAGGTGGTGTCTGTGCAGCTGGTGTCCCCGATTCTGGCTGTCCTATGTCCAGGAAGAAGCCCATTTGTTGAGGCTGACCTTCCTGATCATACACACACACAGCCCAGCAAAAGCCTCTCCTGAACCAAACAAACCTGTTGGTTGGGAGACTGCCCAGACATGATTGATGACGGGTTCCCGCCTGCTGTCCCCTCCCTGATCACACAGCTAACGAGGCTGCCTCCAGCATTTCCTGATTTCCTCTGTGGTAATAAAAGCTTTCTGTGCTTAGGTCTGGGTTAGGTTGTGAATTTTGTCACGTAACGACAACTAAGGCAGAAGCCTTCTCTGGCTTTGGGAGCAGTGTTGGTTTCAAGCAGGGTTACTGATTCCAGATTCCACAGATCTGCCCAAAGTTTTTGTTGCCTTGAAGATTTATCTTGAAGAGTTGACCATTCTACCATGTACTAGAATTCAGAAAGTCCACCTTACAAGCTATCTTGGGCCCCTCCAGGTTTGTATAGATAATTATAAATCTGTGTTTGACCAAATGTTAATATTTTTAACTTAAAATAGCTTCATTGAGGAATGGTAGTATATGAACCCCAGAACAAAACCATATTCTTTTAAACTACATGAACCTAGAGGTGTCAAAGATAGAATTTTTTTGTGCTCATCAGTTGATGCTAGTGAGAAGCTTGCAGTTGCTCTGGTTTGAGTCTCAAAAGCTTGACATGCAAGTTTCATCTTGGATGTAAATTACACATATAATTCTGTAAGTGACATGCAGTAGTCAGTCATACTCCCAGTGTTAAGGACTATGTGGTTCTTCTCATCTGTTCCTAAAAGCTTTTTATCTTTTTTCTTCTTTTGGTCAAAGTGAACCTCAGAAGAAACTGTTAAATCTGGCATCCAATTTTCCTGAAAATGTGTGTGTGAAAAATCACACAAGTTGTATGGAAACCGTGTGGAATGCTGGATGGTCTGGTAGTCAGTGTTCGGTGCTTCCTGTGCAGCCAGCATTATGCTAGAAAGTGGTTCTCATTTTTTTTTTTTTTTTTTTGAGGGGGGTCTCGCTCTGTCACCCAGGCTGGAGTGCAGTGGCGCAATCTTGGCTCACTACAACCTCTGCCTCCCAGGCTCAAGCAATTCTCCTGCCTCAGCCTCCAGAGTAGCTGGGATTACAGGCATGCACCACCACACCTGGCTAATTTTTTGTATTTTTAGTAGAGACAGAGTTTCACCATGTTAGCCAGGCTGGTCTTGAACTCCCGGCCTCAAGATGATCCACCCACCTTGGCTTTGGATTACAGGCGTGAGCCACCGTGCCCAAACTTTTATTTCAGCAGCCCTTCATAGTCTGGAAAAAAAAATTTTAAGAGCATTTCCATTTATGTGCATTCTATCAATATTTAGTATATTAAAAATTAAGATAGAAAGTGTTAAAGTAATCCCTTTGAAAAATAACATGTTTCCTGTTACTATAAATACTTTTATGTCAGGCCAGGAACGATGGATGGTTTATACCTGTAATCACAGTACTTTGGGAGGCCAACGCAGGAGTATTGCTTGAGGCCAGAGATCCAGACCAGCCTGAGCAACATAGCAAGGTTCCATCTCTACAAAAAAAAGTTTAAAAAAAAAAATTAGCTAGGCGTAGCGGCTTCATGCTACTTGGGAGGCTGAGGCAGGAGGATTGATTGCTTGAGCCCAGGGGTTCAAGGCTGCAGTGAGCTATGATCCCACTGCTGCTCTTCATCCTGGGTGACAGCGAGACCTTGTCTCTAAAAAAAAGTTTTACTGAAATTTTTACAATTTTTATGGAAAAATCTTCCAACTCAAAGACACATTTTAGTGAGAAGAATGACATTTTTGCACATCTCTTTAATGCATGGCTTGATAGAGAACAGCAAGAGTCTCACATCTCTTATATTCAGTTTGTCCTGAGATCACAGTGCAGTCACTGACAAGATAACAGTGAAAAAAATAGACTCTTTAATTTTGTATTATGAAAACAGTTTTCATAAGACAAAATTTTGTCTTATGAAAATAGCTTTCATAATACAAAATACAGATAGACACCTTGAAATGGTCTCCAGAACACCTATGGATCCTTGGACTACATTTTGAGAACTACTGTCACATCGTGCCTTGAGCTCAATGGCTGAGACTTAGCAAAATCAGGGCTGAGATTCCAGAAGGACTATCTGTGCCTCCAAGGAATAGGAAATAGACTTGTTCGTCTAGAAACAGCTTTGGTTAAGAGAAGATGCCCGAGACTACCATTGCCACGAGTGTAGAGGTTTTGTTTCTTAGGCTTCCTCCTCCTCTTCCTCTCAATCACACTGAAATCTTATAGGATGCTACACAAGGCCAATATTACATGCTCCCAGTGGGTGGGCCAAGCAGTGCATTGTCTGGAAAGGAAAGGATCCCAGTAGGTGTGAGCTTGCTTAAGCCAAGGAGTTTTTATCTGGCACTGTTACTTTGCTGCTTCCAACATTTGTAAGAAAAGATATATTCAAACCTTTTGAAAATGTTTGACCATAGAAAATCTTCAGACTTCAAAAGTAGAAAGTAAGTGTTAAGGAAGGAAGGTGGCCTGTATTTGCCTATTGCTGCTAGAATGTGTGATTTTAAAGCTCTGGCCAGGCACCGTGGCTCACACCTGTAATCTCAGAACTTCGGGAGGCCGAGGTGGGCGGATCACCTGAAGTCAGGAGTTCAAGACCAACCTGACCAACATGGTGAAACCCCATCTCTACTAAAAATACACAGATTAGCCAGGCACAATGGCACATGCCTGTAATCCCAGCTACTTGGGAGGCTAAGGCAGGAGAATCGCTTGAACCCAGAAGGCAGAGATTGCAGTGAGCCAAGATCATGCCACTGCAGTCCAGCCTAGGTGACAGAGCAAGCCTCCATCTCAAAAAATAAAAAGTTCTGTGATGCTCCCCCTAACCCACCACCAAAAAAGCATACCAGAATTTACTTTTAAGGTAATCATACTGTGACGTTGTACATATTCTTATTCCGACAATATTGCAATGGGTCAAAATAATTTTTGGAGGCTGGGTGCGGTGGCTCAAGTAATCCCAGCACTCTAGGAGGCTGAGGCAGGCAGATCACCTGAGGTCAGGAGTTTGAGACCAGCCTGGCCAATGTGGTGAAACCTCGTCTCTACTAAAAATACAAAATTAGCCGGGCGTGGTGGCGGGCGCCTGTAATCCCAGCTACCCAGGAGGCTGAGGCAGGAGAATCGTTTGGACCCAACAGGCGGAGGTTGCAGTAAGCTGAGATCGTGCCACTGCACTCCAGCTTGGGTGACACAGTGAGACCCTGTCTCAAAAAAATAATAATTTTTGATCTTTTAGAATTGCCCTGGAGACTCTGAGAAACATTCTTTAAAATATTATCTACTCTTTCTCATCTGCCTCCTGAGTAGACCATGAGCTCATGGAAAGGGCCACATTTATGTTGTTAATAGCACCAGCAGCTACCACTGTATTAGAGACTTAGTGAACTGGTATTAAAGGATATCCACAAGACGTGGTTTTAGTGTGAACAACCATCAGTATTCAAAAGTCTTCTAATTCTGTGCCATTTAATGCCTGTTTTTTCAAATGTCTCCTTCACTACTAACCAATATCTGTTACCTCAAGATCAATAGAAACTAGTCATCTCCATAAATTTTAAGACCCAGCAAGTAATTCAAATGTCAGCTTAGGAGGCTTACTTGCTATTTTTTCTCAGCGGCGCACAGTGGCTCAGGGCCTGTAATCCTAGCACTTTGGGAGGCTGAGGCTGGGGCTGGCAGACTGCTTTAGCTCAGGAGTTCGAGACCAGCCTGAGCAATATGGTGAAACCCCGTCTCTACAAAAAACTACTTGGGTGTGGTGGTGTGTGCCTGTAGTCCCAGCTACTTGAGGGGCTGAGGCAGGAGGATTGCTTGAGCCCAGGAGGTCGAGGCTGCAGTGAACTGAGATCATGCCACTGCACTCTAGCCTGGGTGACAAAGTGAAACCAACCTATCTAAAAAAAAAAAGGCTTACTTGCTATTTTTCACAGTCCAAAGAATGCAGTGGGAGACAGAGACAACAGCTTGGTATCACCGAATCAAGGTCAGTAACTTATCTGTGACTTAACCCGGTATTGCCCAAAGTGGCCACCTCACCCTGGAGTTTCTGGACCTAGTTACTCAAGTAAACTTTCTTAGTAGTGTTATTTCGTTAAGTGTGTAGTTCTGGCAAATTTGGAGGGCTCAGCTAGGGTTTCTCAACAGTGAATCCAGTAATCATACCCATGAAGCTCAAAACAACATTCTGTAGGCTGAGCACAGTGGCTCAAGCCTGTGTAATCCCAACACTTTGGGAGGCCAAGGCGGGAGGATCACTTGAGCTCAGAAGTTTGAGACCAGCCTGGGCAACATAGCGAAACCCCATCTCTATAAAAATAAATACATAATAAAAATAAAAAGCATTCTGTAAAGAAGGTCACTCTAAGCCAGTCTAGCCTGTCTTGCACGGCCATGTAGAATGAACATTCAACCTGGCATGTAAGCGTTTGTCTCCTGGTTTTTAAGTTTTCATTTTTTGCATCTTGGATATTTCCAAGAATTAAAAAAATCCCCAACTTTTCCTTTCGTTTCAGTCTCCTCACCTCCAGGCCACATTTCCATCAAGTCTTGTGTTTTCTGTATATTCCCACACTGTATCGTAACTACTTTTCCAGTTTTCACAGAAGCAGCTTTTCCATTGGTTGGGGCCTCTGCAGGAGGCTTCCCCAGGAAATTGGGATTTCTACAACAAATTCATACTCATATGGTGGTCTTTCTGTGTAGAGTGCACTGTGGATTCATTCTTTCATTTTACTCATGGATCCATGCTGTTAAATTCACCTATTTTAAAAATCTCAACCATTTTTCTAAGAACTAGCTGGGTGCAGTGGCTCACACCTGTAATCCCAACACTTTGGGAGGCAGAGGCAGGAGGATCACTTGAAACCAGGAGTTCAAGACCTTAGCCTAGTCAACATACTAAGACCCCATCTCTACCAAAAAATGTTTTAAAACCAAGCAAGGCATGGTGGCACATGCTTTCAGCCCCAGCTAGTTGGGAGGCTGAGGCAGGAGGATCACTTGAGCCCAGGAGTTTGAGGCTGCAGTGAGCTATGACCGAGCCACCACACTCCAGCCTGGGTAACAGTGAGAGACCCTGTCTCTGAAAGAAAAAAACAAAAAACAAAAAACTATGCTTTTCCATGTGTGCTTCCCTTCCATCACAAGCACTGCAGCCAGTTTGTTGTGGTTGTTTTTTAGCCTTTTGCTCCTTGTCCCATTCCCTGCAAAACACACATCATCTCACTTTACAAATAACTGTACTTAAGGAGACAGTGTTATACCATGTCTAAATGTGGAGGCTGGGGAGTCACTAAGCCTACATGTTATAGATGTCCCTATAACTTTAGGGACATGGTGGCACTGGACATACATCTGAGCTTCGGCAAAATGACAAGACCTCATACGCTGTCCTTCAGAGCTGCTTGGATATAGCCAAAGACATGAATGTTTGTGTAATCCATAAATGCTGAGAGTTGCAGTTCCTACGACGTTTTATGTAACTGAAAGTAGGGGAGTGCTTTAAGAAATGTTGCTGGCCAGGCGCCGTGGCTCACGCCTGTAATCCCAGCACTTTGGGAGGCCAACG
This sequence comes from Homo sapiens, assembly GCF_000001405.40. Lineage (NCBI taxonomy): Eukaryota > Metazoa > Chordata > Mammalia > Primates > Hominidae > Homo > Homo sapiens. The sequence continues at coordinate 160,070,958 of NC_000005.10, forward strand.
CGGGCAAATAGCTTTAGCCCAGGAGTTTGAGACCAGCCTGGGCAACATGGCGAAACCCTATCTTTAGTAAAAATACAAAAAGTTAGCCAGGCATGGTGGTACACACCTGTAGTCCCAGCTACTTAGGAGGCTGAGGTGGGAGGATCACCAGAGCCCAGGAAGTCAAGGCTGCAGTGAGCCAAGATGGCACCACTGCATTCCAGCCTGGGAATGAGACCCTGTCTCAAAAAGAAAAAGAGATGTTGCCGGGCTTAGTAGTTATTTCTGGTGCTCCTTTTTAGTCTCTGAGCTGGCCTCTGAGACTACTGGTAAGTAACATTTCACTCAACTTTCAAGCTAGAATCTAAGTTGGTGCAGGAAGACCCGGCGCAGGAGCTTTTTAGAGGCATTTTACTGCCTGAATAGATAGTGGGATGAGAAGCTGGCGGCAGGCGGCAGATGTAAACCTGTTGGAAGATACATCTTTGCAAGCATGGTCTGATCCCAAGAACTAAGCAGGCCTGCAAATCCTTTTACCACCAGTTCTGCAGAACTTGGGATGTCAAAGGGAAAGGCTATGATTAAGACAGTTGTGCAAGTGAATGGTTGCTTTAATCTTGGGAAAGATCTTTAAGAGGAAGAGTCCAATAATCCCCCAAGACCAAAGCGCAAATCTGAGACACCACGTAGGATGGGAAATATCTTGACGAGCCCTCATCCGTTTCCTCTGCTTGTTATCTGTGCTCTCTCCAGATTGCCCTTGGCTTAAGAGGAAAGGCTGGAGCTGTTGGCTCTCAGCTGCGCAGCCCCCATTCAGATGCAGCCTTATGAGCCTGCAGCTGATGGTCGCTGCCAGCTGGATTGTATGTTCCTTCCTGTTGTTTTCTGTGATCACTTCCCTTCATTACTGTGCCGGTTTCCTCCATATGCTCGTCCCTCCCCTTAAAAAATACAGGAGGGATGAGGATAGGGAAGAGAAACTCTTCCTCTGATCTTATCTGTGGATACTCTGTACTTGATACATACCCATACAATCTTAGTCAAATCTCCTTGAAGTGATTTCAGTTAGGATTCTTGCCAGCCTGCTTCCTCGGTACTTGATAGTAACAAGCTTAATCCTTCCATCACCTGGATTTCCTTTAAAAAAGTATGTGCGCATTCCACCAGAAGTGGCTGAAAAATCTGTTCCTTCAGTGAACTGCACAATTAAAAGCTGTACAGGGAAAGGAAGCTATAATTTGCAATCACTTCCTCCTGTTGTGTGCAGAGCTATCCTGACCTCACACTAAACCAGATCCATTAATGCTTCTGAAAATGAAAAATTGATTACTGTGCTTGCTTCAGCAGCACATATACTAAAATTGGAATGATAGAAGATTAGCATGGACTCTGAAAAAAAGTCAATTAAAAAAAATGGATTACTTGCTACCAGCCAGTTCAAGAGGTAGGGTGAAAATAACGTTAGCGCATGAGAATGACTGCTTACAACCCTTCAAGGGGCAGTTTATGAGCTGGGCACAGTGGCTCAGGCCTGTAATCCCAGCACCTGCGGGGGGCGAGGTGGGAGGATTGCTTTCGCCCAGGAGTTTAGAACTACCTGGATAACAGAGAAACCCCGTCGCTACAAAATAAATACTTTTTTTGTTAGCTCGGGGTGGTAGTGCACACCTGTAGTCCCAGCTACTCAGGAGGCTGAGGCAGGAAGACCACTTGAACCACAAGGTTGAGGCTGCAGTGAGCCATGGCTGCACCACTGCACTCCAGCCTGGGCAACAGAGCGAGACTCCGTCTCATAAATAAATAAATAAATAATAAAACAAAAATTAGCCAGGTGTGATGGCAGGTGCCTGCATTCCAGCCTGGGTAACAGAGTGAGACTCCGTCTCAAAAATAAATAAATGAATAAGTAAATCAAAAATTAGCCAGGCATGATGGCAGGTGCCTGTAATCCCAGCTACTCGGGAGGCTGAGGTGGGAGAATCACTTGAACCTGGGAGGCGGAAGTTGCAGTGTGCCGAGATTGCACCATTACACTCCAGCCTGGGCAACAAGAGCGAGGCTCCGTCTCAAAAAAAAAAAAAAAAAAAAAAAAAAAAATCCTAACATCTCCCCAGGGGTTTCGGCCTTGGCTGAGTAGGAACTGAAGAGCTTGGTGAGATGGATTTCTACACCTCATTTTGCCAATAAGGCTGCTGTGTGACTTTGCTGTCAAAGGTCATTGATAGAACTGATAACAGAATCCATGTCTCCTACCTCTTTAGACTAAGGCAGGTTATTAGTATAAAAACATTTCTTTTTTTTTTTTTTCTTGAGACGGAGTCTCACTTTGTTGCCCAGGCTGGAGTACAGTGGCGCGATCTCAGCTCACTGCAAGCTCTGCCTCCCGGGTTCACGCCATCCTCCTGCCTCAGCCTCCCGAGTAGCTGGGACTAGAGGTACCCACCACCACGCCCGGCTAATTTTTGTATTTTTAGTAGAGACAGAGTTTCACCGTGTTAGCCAGGATGGTCTCGATCTCCTGACCTCATGATCCACCCTCCTCGACCTCCCAAAGTACTGGGATTACAGGCGTGAGCCACCATGCCCGGCCAAAAACATCTTTAACATCACCAAGCCACTTTCCCTCCTTTAGACAGCTGCTTCTACAAACTTGCCTCACAAGGAAATAATGAAAGGGCTAACCCTGAAAGTACTCTTAACGCTTAAAGACAATGTCTTCCCACTGTTTGGCCAGCTCTCTCTTCTTCTGGCACAGTTTTCCTGAATCATACTCTCCTTTACCCCAAGCTCACTACCTTGTTGGTACCAAAGCAAAGGAATTGTTAAGGCCATGAAATTTCATTCCAAGCCGGGTGCGGTGGCTCACACCTGTAATCCCAGCACTTTGGGAGGTCAAAGCGGGTGGATCACTTGAGGTTGGGAGTTCAAGACCAGCCTGGCCAACATGGCGAAACCCCTTCCCTACTAAAAATACAAAAATTAGCCGGGCATGGGGGTAAGCACCTGTAATCCCAACTACTCAGGAGGCTGAGGAAGGAGAATCTCTTGAACCCAGGGGGCAGAGGTTGCAGTGAGCCGAGATCGTGCCACTGCACTCCAGCCTGGGTGACAGAGTGAGACTCCGTTTCAAAAAAAAAAAAAAAAAATTTCATTCCGATTAAGCAAAGATTTGGCAGCATGCTAATCACTAGAGAAAAGGATGCTTAAAAAATAACATATTCTGGCCAGGCAGTGGCTCACACCTGTAATCTCAGCACTTTGGGAGGCTGAGGCAGGTGGATCACCTCAGATCAGGAGTTCGAGACCAGCCTGACCAACATGGAGAAACCCTGTCTCTACTAAAAATACAAAATTAGCTGGGAGTTGTGGCACATGCCTGTAATCCCAGCTATTCGGGAGGCTGAGGCAGGAGAATCGCTTGATCCCAGGAGGTGGAGGTTGCAGTGAGCCGAGATCGCACCACTGCACTCCAGCCTGGGCAACAAGAGCGAAAATCTGTCTCAAAAAAATAAATAAATAAATAAATAAAGTCCAGGCACAGTTGTTCACGCTGTAATCCCAGCACTTTGCGAAGCCGAGGCAGGCGGATCACCTGAGATCGGGAGTTTGAGACCAGCCTGACCAACAGGGAGAAACCTCATCTCTACTAAAAATACAGAATTAGCCAGGGGTGGTGGCGCATGCCTGTAAACTCAGCTACTTGGGAGGCTGAGGCAGGAGAATTGCTTGAACCCGGGAGGCGGAGGTTGCAGTGAGCCAAGATCGTGCCATTGCACTCCAGCCTGGGCAACAAGAGCAAGACTCCGTCTCAAAAAAACAAAAAAAAAAACAAAAAAAACCTCTTTATTCAAATAATTTCTTATTCTGATAAAAGAATCATGGCCAGGTGCAGTGGCTCATGCCTATAATCCCAGCACTTTGGGAGGCCGAGGCAGGAGGATCACTTGAGCCCAGGAGTTTGAGACCAGCCTGGACAACAAAGCGAGACCTTGTCTCTATTATTTAAATTAAAAAAAAAAAATCTTTACTTGAAAAAGGAAAAATGAACTTACGCTTTCTTATGTGAAGGCCAGCATTGGTAAGATTTTCAGTTGCTTCTATTGGTTCCATCATTCATTCCCTCCATCTTGTAGGAGTTGTGTCTATAAATATACTGATACATGTATACATGACCAGGATCAGTATGAGTCTCCTGTAGGCCCTCTCAGATAATGAGCACATGGCTTGTTAATCTTCCCTGGTTCTCCCTGTTCCATTTTCATTAGTGAGAAATTTGAGAGAAAAAAGATATTAGCAGAGCCAGATTCCTGTGGTCTCTTTTTTACACTCATTTAAATAAACTGAAATGGGAGAATGTTTGAGATTAAAGCCTTCATGTACTCTGGAATAACAGGCAGCCAAAGGATTGCTTTTCTTGAACAGAAAAAAAAAGTACATTGACCTAAGTTTCTGGGTCAGTCCTGTGAACTGTCTGTAGGTTTTAAAAGGCTAATTTTTTCCTGATAACCAAGTGTTTCTGATTCTTAGGTCAAACCCTTGACCTCTCACTCAATGTGCTGGGCTCTTAAAGAAGCAACCATTTATCCATAAGGGCAGGATTCCTTAAAATTAAAACAAAAGAAAACAAGACAAACCCAGCAGCAGATATTTAATTACATCCAATTCTGAAGGGTAGGTTGTTTCTATCGAAAAGCTGTTATGTTTGTGCACAGGGTCCTAATTAAACTGTTCACCCTTCCTCCATCCTTCGTCATAAAGAGGTCCCATAAAATCTCCTAGTGATTAGAAACCTACAGGCTGTTCTCCTTAGGAAGCATTGCTACTGAAAACAGCTCCCTAAAGTACAACTAGTGATTGAATTCTAATAGTAAAAAAAAAAAAAAAAAAAAAAAAAATCTTTAAAAACTAACTCCTAAAAAGTAAACATAATTTTTAAATAACTAAATTTTTAAAAAATCAAAGACTTTATTGGATAAAGGTTACACAACATTCTTTAACATTTAAAACTCTGAGCATACTTAAGATGAGAAACAATTTTTATCATTCAAGTCTACAAAACAAAATAGGCTTATGAAGATTGAAATACAGACAAAAGGTAGCATGAAGCAAAGCTTAAATATTAAGCAACTAAAGCAATGAAAGTGAAATAGCAACATGGTAGGTGTAGGTTTTAAATACCACCAAGTCTCATTTTTTAAAAAATGAAAATCTGGTTTGTAACAAAACACCTTTGAGAATATGCCATGAGAAAAAAAAAATATTTATATACTTAAAACCTGATCTCTCCCAATTCTTTTGCTTTATATTATTACTTCTTGGTCATTTCCATCACTCTACACAAATAAAGAATTCTAAAGCTTAATTAAAAATCTTGATTATACACTTCATGTATCATGGTTTGGGAGAGTTATCTGGTTCTTGAAGTGAGCCCGAAAGTACTGCTGGTGTTATGTATCTGAAAGAACAAGACTGACCCAAACCAAAGCCCTAGGCCATATAGAGTAGGGCACCCCTATAGTATAGTTCATGTCATCTTTAGAACTCCCTGCTGCTACAGTTCCTGAGCTGACTTTTTCTGATTTGATAAAATATATAATGACTTCATAATATGTAATTTTCCAAACAGACAATTGTAGAATGCAATCAAAACTTTAAATTATTTGCAGTATAATTAGAATTTGCATTAAGCTCATTAGACACAAGACTGCCTGCCTTTTCTTCAAGTTGTAAAACAAATCATAGGTATATTAAATGTTTTAAAACTCACCCAGAACCTTCTGTTAATCCTGAGCCTGGGGTTATTAGGTAATTCCAAACTTACACAGTAACATTATGAAAAGTCTGACCACTTGAGCCAAGTGCTCAGTTATCTGTTACGTTGCTTCATATGAATTTTAAGGTTTTTTATTTTTTGGCATATTTTCCCTTTTTTGTAGTAAGTAATCAATATGGATTATCTTTCTGGTTTAAAAAATAAATCAGTATTGCCACTAAAAAACTTCAGTTTTATTATTATTAAAAGTACGGCACCATCAAATATAAAATGCCTTAAAAATGTAGTACTAACAGGTCCATCTGGTTTTCTCATGTTTTCTCCATTCATTAAAAAAGAAAAATTAAGGTCTTTTATATATTTACCAAAGACAAGAAAAAAACTACAGTCTCTATTAGTAAGAATTCATGCTCCATGCATGAGAAGTTTGACACTGTTTTAAAGGATCCTGTTCCTGCCACTTGTTGTCCCCCAGGGCCAAGTCCTACTGACACCTGTTGGAATTTCTTGCACTTAGGAGCGGCTCTCTATGGAGAGAGGTCCACATCAAAATTTAGACGTTGTCACCTTTTTTGAACTAGATAAAACCAGTAAGGATACAGACAATAATAAAAGGCTTTCCAACTCAGCAGAATTAAGAACTAGCTCTTGGAGTATATACATTTGCACTCCAATATCAACACTAGCCTATCCACTTTGAGTCAAAATTTGAAAGGTAAGAATGTAATTATGAAAATGTGCACAAAATGTTAAATACTAGTGGCAAATAAATATATCTTAATATGTTCTAACAAGCAAACATATATTCAAGATAATACAGCCCTGCTTTATTAAAGAAGGAAAAGATCCAAATTGTGTTTGTGGGGTGGGGCGGGGCACTTTGCCATCCTTTCAGCAGGATGTTATTTTCTGTTGTTTCTACTGGCACCTTGAAGGAAACATTGGCCTTGGCATATGTGACTATTGCTTTTCATAGAAGAGCCATTTTAGAAATACCTTTGCTCATATCTGAACTGATTAACCTAAACCTTGGAGAAAGCACAAAGTTTAAGTATGAAAAATAATTCAGCATTTCTGCATCATCCCATGCCTTTTAGGCCTGTCCAAACTGTACTGATAAGAACTTCACATTCCAAAGAAGTTACTGTCAGTGTTTCTTCATATATAAAATTCAAGTGAGTTCTTACGTGTGTAATTCACATCATTTTTCTCCTCATCTCATGCATAATTTATTGCAAGTTTATTTTTTATAAAATATTCCCTAATACCTTTTCTTCGGTTTAAGACAGCACAATTTGCAAGTGCCCCTTTATAGACTGTTGTTTTTAACCACTGCCTTAACATTTACTTCTTAGTGCAGCTTTAAAAACTCCAATTTCATTCAGTCCTGATGCTCTGGTGTTCTCTGTGTCATTGTGGTACAGGTCCATGAAACCAGCAGCCTGCTAATGTCTTTGTGCTGAAATATAGTAAAGAAAAGGAAGAAAATGTCGTTAAGCACAAGTAATTATATGAGGAAAATGATGTCCTTGTTGTTTAAGCCCTACATAGATTGTGGGATCACACCTGATTTTTTCTTTTAAATCGGTTAAACCTGACCGATGTTGTTTTGAGAAAACAACTTACTGCCACTCTAAACCAGCAGAAATATTCATGTTATTTCTGAAGTATTATCAGGCCAGTTTCCAACACAAGTAAAATGGCTGTCATCTTTACATAATCAATGTGCACTTGAGTGTTTTTTTAAAATACTTGCTTATAAATGCCTAGTAACAGGGGAATTTTAACTTTGTTCCTTATATCGCCATTTCACAGTACAGTGCTCTGAGAGTCAGCTTAGTTGCTGGGGACTGCTATGAAGCACCAACAGCCTTCTACTAGCACAGACTAGCCTACAGTTTTAAGGAACAAATTTATATACAGAGCCAGGCTATGTACAAATCAGCAGCAGGTCACACTGTCCACATACTTGCAAAGAGCAAAATAAGAAGGGAATGGAGGGTGCCTCCCCAGAAGTAGACACAGCACATCGGAAGGCATGAAGAGCACCATTTTGATACTAGAAGACAACACATGTACACTGGTTAGACGGACCAGTATCCCTTGTTACACCAGCAAACGTGATTCTCAGCAGAGGCCTCTTCACCATACCTCCAACAAGAAGCAGGACTCCAAGCGCACTGTTTATAAAGGGCAAGGCTTATACAAATTACTGCTAAATAGCATGACCAGAATGATCAACACTACTAACCTCCGTCTAATACTACGAAGTAGAAAGAAGCCCACTGAAACCCTCTACAATCCCTGATTATGCCTCTCAAACCTGGAAACCCAAGTACCAACACGAGTTTGAGTTCCAAAAGAGATGATCCGTGGAAAGAAAGATGAATTTTTGGTCAAATGCATACCAAAAATGGTATTTCAGTGGAATAATAACAAACACATCAAACACAATGCAACAAGGAAAACAGAAAAACCACTCCGTCCTTCCCATTATTTAACTTCCAAACATTTCACAGGAGGTACCTTCCCCATGATTTGACAGAACTGACTTGATTTTGTGTTGCCTTCCGGTGTTCCCATGCTTCCTTCGCTTACTAGATCAAGCCCTACAAAATACATTTCACTGGGTATTCTATCATGTTTCTCCTCAAGCAATGAAAAGTGACCTCTAGGGACAAATACTACACACATCAAGATGAAAGATGAATGTAGTCCTTGCTTCTGGAAAAAAAAAAAATGATTTACACTGTTTTAAAATTTGACATTGAGCTCAGTTTTTACTTTCTAAAACTAAGATACTGTACTAATATGATTGCAATACTAATAGATTAAGGCTCACACAGAACTTTGGAAGCAAATGTTCCCATTTTATAAACTGAAGGAAGAAAAGGTAAACACCCAATCCCATGTAAAATTCCATTTCCTTCTATTTATGACTCAATATTTGGCTTCAATTTTAGTGAGGCCTATTTAAGTTCAGTTAAAATCTATGGCAGGAAAGGCAAGGACTCAAACAGATCTTACTATTCCTATGAGAGGTGCAGAAAAATAAAAAACACTATTCCCTCAAGAGATACGCATCTTAAGGGTAGCTACCACTCCTACGCAGATAAGTGTCCAAAATCCCAGCTGCAATCTCTAATCCAAAATTTGCCATTCTGATCCAGCCTGCAAATTACAGCTTCCATGCAACTATACAGTTCTTCACTAGCTGTACAAACACCAGAGGGTTAAACAGCCTTACTTCAAGGAAGCAATAAAAGTAGTAAGTTTCAAAGCAGTGCAAACACACAGAAATCCCTGAACTTTTCCTACCCTATAAGGGCCCAAAATAAGCCTTTTAGGCCTTATCCAAGGAGTTATTAATAAATGTACTTAAAGAAATAGACTATATTTCAGCACTATCTTTTACCACCCTCTGGAATTTTGACTTGCTTTATGTAAATGACAATGGTTTTGTGACTAATTCACTAAGAATATATATACACATATGTGTTCACATATATATTCTTATATATATACAGTAAGAAGTAATGACTAAGAAGTTTAATGAATATAAAAGTGACAAAAAAAGACGGAGATAGTGAAAAGATAAAAGACATCCAGTATTTTTGACTTTCCATGGAGACTCAGTTGCTATTTGACATAATTCTGCAAGGTCACACCCAACTTCTACCACCCTAAGAGAATCTGCTCTCAATTCACAGAAGCTCACAGGAGACTCCTCTTTTTTGGCATGGCAGGTAGTATCAATGGAAAGTTATTTTCATTCATTAAAACTATCACCTACACGAGGCACACCCGGCTACCAAAGTCAATGAAAACTAAAGAAAAAGAACTAATGAATTCTTTTAAGTCTAGCCTAATCTACTTCAGGAATGATTAAGTGATGACATGATGCCCTCTTCACTTTGTGGCAGGGCTTAAAACAGACAGACCTGCCCGTTTCACTGTTAACTTCAATGCTCCCAGTCTGAATCCACAGTGGTCTGTCAGACACTGTAAGGGAGCAGCAGGACTCGTCACTGTCTGATGTAATAGCTGCCATTTGTTGAGACCTATGGTAGAAAAAACCAAGTTAACAAAAATAAAGCATTCGAGTTTTTTAATCCATCCATTTTACCAAAAAAATAGTTTTAAAATAAGACCAAAATTCAGGTGAATTTTCATAACAAATTTATTCTGGATAACTTGCTCGCTTCACAGAAGGAGAAGCTTTGGTACTAAATGAAAACAGACTTGAGAGCTGTGTAGACACAACAGCCTTTGCCAGGAGAGGGCACTCTCCGGCTCAAGTCAAATCCGCAGCAAGATGCAATGGGGCACACCAAGATTCTGCCCTCCAAGCAAACTAACAAATGAAAGGGGAAATGCTAACTCACACTGGATGTTCCTAACAAAAAATGTTTTACTAATCTCACGTTAGCCTATGTTGGAGAAGTCCTGATCTTCTCAGTCAGTATTCAAAGATAAGGCTGAACCGTCATCTCTGTCCACACTACATAATTAATGAGCTCAATGACCCCCTTTTTTTTTTTTTTTTTTTGAGACAGTCTCACTCTTGTTAGCAGGCTGGAGTGCAGTGGCACGATCTCGGCTCACTGCAACCTCCTCCTCCCAGGTTCAAGTGATTCTCCTGCCTCAGCCTTCTGAGTAGCTAGGATTACAGGCGCCCGCCACCACACCTGGCTAATTTTTTATATTTTTAGTAGAGATGGGGTTTCACCGTTTTGGCCAGCCTGGTCTCAAACTCCTGACCTCAGGTGATCCACCTACCTCGGCCTCCCAAAGTGCTGGGATTATAGGCGTGAGGCACCATACTGAGGCTCTTTTGACCCTTTTTAGCAAAATGACCAAAAACTGCCTCAACCCCTTTCCACTTTAATCCCAATAACCACACTTGCATACCATTCAGGACCTAAATTTACTGTGTGAGGTAATACCTCGTTGAAATAACAGTTATAACAAGATAAGCTTTTTTATGACACTTAAGCTTTCAAAACAGACTTCAAATACTAAGCGTAATTTAAATGAAGGACTGCTATCTTAAGCCTAATTTTTAAACATATTGGCTTGTTTGCTTACTTTCCTAACTATAAATAAAAAACAATTCACCTATCACATCAGTGTAGTCAACTCTGAGATCATTAGTTAGATAACATTCAGTCTTTATAATTGTTTTTTTAATGCTAAGTTAAATTAGAAGCAGCAGTATATAATGAAAACCTATTTATAAAAGGCTTTTCTGACACTGAAAAGATTTTGTATACACCTGATCTAGAAAAATAATTACTTCTGAATTTTAACTTGGGAAAATAATTTTTTAGGGTGAGATTTAATAATGAGGTATTTATCCTTTTGTTCATGGAAAAACTTAATATACTATCAACTATAACCCAACAGCAATCACACAAGAATAAGGGAATCTGAGTGCACTAAAGAAATTATCTGGCCGGGCGCGGTGGCTCACGCCTGTAATCCCAGCACTTTGGGAGGCCGAGGCGGGTGGATCACGAGGTCAGGAGATCGAGACCATCCTGGCTAACACGGTGAAACCCCGTCTCTACTAAAAATACAAAAAATTAGCCGGGCGTGGTAGCGGGCGCCTGTAGTCCCAGCTACTCGGGAGGCTGAGGCAGGAGAATGGCGTGAACCCGGGAGGCGGAGCTTGCAGTGAGCCGAGATCGCGCCACTGCACTCCAGCCTGGGCGACAGAGCGAGACTCCGTCTCAAAAAAAAAAAAAAAGAAATTATCTTTTGAACCTCTCCCTCTACAAGTAAAACTTGTTAGGTTTCAACAATCATTCTAGAGAATCTGCTTTTCAATTTTAAGCAAGGAGAGTCAAGATGTATCAAAGAATGATCTCATGTTTCCCTGTGCAATTCCTCACCTGCAACCCCCTGAAATGCCAAAATATTAACAAACCAGTCCCTGGTCCACAGTGCCTGGTTTGTGAGTCTTTTGTGCTAATGTTTAAGATAATCTTCCCCTCAATGCTTTTAGGATCTCGAGGCTTTTCTTTAGAATTTACCACTAGCACAGGATATCCATTAGGAAGAGCCAGGAGACCCAGCTGTGATGCAGTAAGTGGAGGGAGAGACCCATGAAAAGGCGGCAATTTCATCGGAAATTACTTATTTTGTCCTTTGAGAGAAAGCTTAAGTGCAACAATGGCAACTATTCTTGGGAAGCAGCAGAACTGTAATGGGCAAACCAGAACAGGGTAACCCTCAATCTCCCTCTTAGCGTGCACGAAAGAAGTAGAGTTTATGCTCTTAAAGAAAGCCCACAATTAAAAACTAAAAACTTAAGAGCATTAGACATTATCTCACTGAACACTCAAAATGAATTTTCTTAATACAGTAAAGCATGATGCAACATGAACAAGCAGGAAAAGCATCAACAGTATCTCATCTTACAATAGCCCTTCTGGCTTTCCAACCTTAGTGCTATTTTTCTAACCAGCTCTTTTAGACAAACTGCATGTAATTCTTCCCAGTATACCAGGACTCACACCAAGATGTGCCACACTCAGCCAGATTCCTTGCTAAAACTAAACTGTTGGGGGAGATGACAGATTTGTGATTAACAGCATCCCCAAAATGACCCATGGGTAAAAATGACTATCCTCTGGAAAATATGGCCAAACCACACACAGTTCAAGGCGTTGGAATGTGTGGCATTTCCCTCCTAGAAAGAGGAGACAATCTACTCAATCATACGAGCAGCAATAAAAACGAAAATGTTCAAATTAATCTCCACTTTTCCTCCATACGGCAAAACATTAAAATAGTAAAATGCTACGGTCCTAGGGAAGCACAGCATCTATGCAAATCAGCTAATTTACCCAAAAGCTGACAAATGTAGCTTTGTAGTTCTAACATCTTTGTGAAGTTCTCCTAATAGGACCTCCACTGCATTGGGCCCTACCAGCTCAGATACTTATGTGTCATGGAAAGGGTTCGGGATGTGTGGGGCATCTGAGATGGTCATCGGTCATTAGGACATGTCTGAACCAGAATTGCTCATCATTCATTCACAAGAAGACAATCATTTCCCCCCATGCCAGGCCCTGTGTTTGGCATAAGGGAGAGTAGAATAGGAAAGTGAGTACCAGATCACTGGAATTTGTGTGTTAAATAAATGAATGGGGCAAGAGTTGAAATATGTTAACACAGGTCTCCTTTAACCATAATCCTCATGACCTTCGATTCAGTTAACCTCTGCAAATGCCTATTAAAACTAGTGAGTCCATGCTACTTCCAGAGACTTGTGAATAATCATGCTATGATTTCTCAAAATTTTCAGGTACAAATAACATTGTTATATTTCCATTTATACTGAGTATATGTTGCAGAATGATAGTATCGAAAGCTACCAGAATTTACCGTGCAACACAAAGTGACTGCAGTGGTAGTAATGATGGCAAGTATTTATACAGCCTCATGCAAGACATTTTTTTTATTGCTTTAAATATTCTTTTAAATTCTCACAATTATCTTATGAGGAGATACTATTATTCTCCTTATTTCACATGTGATGATATTGGGAGTAACCTGCCTAAGATCACATAGTGTGTAAGTGGCTGATCAAAGTCAGGCTTTGAATCCAGCAAATCTGGCTCAAGAGCTTGTACTTTGAGCCATGTGCCTGAAAAGTGAAAGGGAATGGTTCTTTGCTCAATAAAAGCCTGCTATTAAGCACTACTGTTGCAAAAATCTTTTTTGTGTTTTGAGACAGGGTCTCACTCTGTCGCCCAAGCTGGAGTGCAGTGGCAGGATGATGGCTAACAGCAGCCTCAGCCTCCCAGGCTAAAGTGGTCCTCCCACCTCAGCCTCCCAAGTAGCTGGGACTACAGGCGTGCACCACCGAGCCCACCTTATTTTTTTGTATTTTTTGTAGAGACAGAGTTTCACCATGTTGCCGAAGCTGGTCTCAAACTCCTGGACTCAAATGATGCTCCTGCCTCGGTCTCCCAAAGTACTAGGATTATAGGCATGAGCCAAGGCACCTGGTCCTAAAAATGTTAATGAATGCTTAAACTCACCTGCATCACTGGCAAGTTATATATATATACTCCTAAGTATCCATTTCTTTCTTTTACACTCAACTCGATGACACTTTCACATTACAAAAAATTTTTCCACAGGCAATAAAAAAATTCTATCATATTTTACCTGACATCCCTAGGCTTTTTCAACAGCTTTTAAGTGAATCTAAATGAGGGACACTGAAGGGTACAAAATTACCTTAAATAGTAAAAAAAAAAAGAAAAAGAAAAACAAGAAGCCCTTGCTAACACCTGATATGCATTTTATTTATTTATTTATTTAGAGATGGAGTTTCACTCTGTTACCCAGGCTGGAGTGTGGTGGCACAATCTTGGCTCACTGCAACCTCTGCCTCCTGGGTTCAAGTGATTCTCCTGCCTCAGCCTCCCGAGTAGCTGGGACTACAGGCACCCACCACCATGCCCAGCTAATTTTTGTATTTTTAGTACAGACAGGGTAATCCAAACAGTACAGTACAGTAGAGACTGTAATCCAAGGTGCTAGGATTACAGGCATGAGCCACTGCACTCGGTCCCTGATATGCATTATAATTACAAGGTTTTTATTTGAGAAGAGGAAAAAAGTGTGATCATAACAGTCTAACACTTCAGCTATGAAGTATTTGGCTTTTCCTTGTAGATATTGACAACCAGGATAGAAAAAGTTATGAGAAGTTTTAATGATGGTTTCTGGTTAAGACTCAGATTTCCAAGTCAGTATAAGCAAGTAACTGTCACATTCTTTTTTTTTTTTTTTTTTTGAGATGGAGTCTCGCTCTGTCACCCAGGCTGGAGTGTAATGGCGCGATCTCGGCTCACTGCAACCTCTGCCTCCCGGGTTCAAGCAATTCTCTTGCCTCAGCCTACTGAGTAGCTGGGATTACAGGTGCGTGCCAGCATGCCCATCTAATTTTTGTATTTTTAATAGAGACGGGGTTTCACCACGTTGGTCATGCTGGTCTTGAACTCCTCACCTCATGATCCGCCCGCCTTGGCCTCCCAAAGTGCTGGGATTACAGGTGTGAGCCAACACGCCCGGCTGTCACATGTCATATTCTTTTTTTTTTTGTTTTGAGATGGAGTCTCACTCTGTCATCCAGGCTGGAATGCAGCGGCACAATCCTGGCTCACTGCAACCTCTGCCTACTGGGTTCACGGCATTCTACTACCTCAGCCTCCTGAGCAGCTGGGACTACAGGTGCCCACCACCACGCCCAGCTCATTTTTGTATTTTTAATAGAGACGGGGTTTCACCATGTTGGCCACGCTGGCCTTGAACTCCTTAACTCAGGTGATCCGCCTGCCTCAGCCTCCCAAAGTGCTGGGATTACAGAAGTGGGCCATCGCGCCCGGCCTTTATAACTGTCACATTCTTATGACACAAAGAAACTTCCATATTTAAATAATGACTGTTCTCAACTTCTTTTTAATGATACTTTACAAAATATCAGAAATGTGAAGAAAAAATATTTAGCTGGGCACAGTGGCTCATACCTGTAACCCCACCACTTTGGGAGGCTGAGGCAGAAGTTATTGCTTGAGCCCAGGAGTTCAAGACCAGCCTGGGCAACATAGTGTGACCCTGTCTCTATAAATAATTTTTTAAAATTGGTCAGGTGTGATGGTATGTGTCTGTGGCCCCAACTATGAGGCTGAGGCAGGAGAATCGCCTGAGCCCAGGAGGTCAAGGCTGCAGTGAGTCATGATTATACCCCTACAGTCTAGCTTGGGCGAGACTGAGACCTTGTCTCTAAATAAATAAATATATATATATATACACACATTTTTTTTAATTCACCTTTAAACCAAGTTTGCTATTGGTGTGTTTTTAACATCAAGGCTTTATGGGCCAGGCGCAGTGGCTCACGCCTATAATCCCAGCACTTTGGGAGGCCGAGGCGGGTGGATCACCTGAGGTCAGAAGTTGAGACCAGCATGGCCAACATGGTGGAACCCCATCTTCCTGCCTCAGCCTCTGGAGTAGCTGGGACTATAGGCATGAACCACCATGTTCAGCCTCATAAATAATTTGTCAATTGTGAATATGGAAGTCATTTAAATTAGTAATGGAATTAAACTACTTTCCAAGTTTTACATACCATCACACTTTTTGTCATATTTTAATAATATGTATACCATTTTTTGAAATTTACTTGCTTTTTCCACTTTTTATGTCAGTACAGTTAATGGAAAACAAATATGCCTTGATATAAAAGTTTATGTTACTGGAAGGGAACAGTTTTAACCAAAACCAACTAACTTCTAGGTAAGTGCAGTCACACTAATTCACCTAAAAATTTGGCAGTTACAGTTCTTAAAAATGGAGACACTGGCCGAGCACGGTGGCTCATGCCTATAATCCTAGCACTTTGTTGGGGGCCAAGACGAGAGGATCACTTGAGCCCAGGAGTTTGATAGCAGCCTGGGCAACAAAGGGAGACTTTGTCTCTACTAAACATTTTTTAAAAATTAGCCAGGCATGGTGACATACACCAGTAGTCCCAGCTATGGTAGGGGCAGGGGGCTTGAGGTGGGAGAACTGCTTGACCCCAGGAAGTCTAGGCTGTGATCTCGCCACTGCATTCCAGCCTGGGTGACAGAGTGTGACCCTATCTCAAAAAAAAAAAAAAAAAAGGAGGGGCTGGGGCACCAATTAGCATTGTAAGCTACAGTTATTTCCTTGTATAGGACTACAGGTTGATCAGGAAGGAATCCTGGAAGTGGGGTAATGCCAGCAGCATATTCCAATCACACCACTGACCAAGAAAAACACTCTTGTAACTTAATTTCCAACACCTTCTAGCAAGTGCCATCCTAATTTAAAAAATTTCTATCAAAACTAAATTACAGATGGAAGGTGGTGATGGTTGAACAACACTGTGAATGTATTTAATGCCACAGAACTGTATAATTAAAAATGATTAAGATGATAAATTTTACATCTATTTAACTACAATTTTTTAAATACCACACAAAAAAATCACAGTGCTCCATTAATATAACAAGGAGAAAGTGATTTCCATACATGCCACAAGGAAAGGAAAACAAAAATCCTGTTTGGATCTATAAACGTTAGGTCTCTTACTTGAGTAAAGATAAGACAAAGAGTTGTTTATCTTATATTAGTGTCAATTATCCATGGTAAAGACACCAAAATACCCTGGAAAACTAAAAATATACAGATCAGCTATATCACTGTGACTTTAAACTTCCTATTCCTTCGTTCAAAAATAGCACAACAAAGCATATTACTATTAGCTAATGCTTTCATTTTTTAATCCTGTTCTTTTGTTGAATGAAGGAATACAGTAAATCTACACAAACTGTAAATTTGGAATATGAAGGGCCTATTAACTAAATCAGAACCAGGTAAAAGTAACTAATGCACACTCGCCATTTTATTTTCTCCTCGAAATTGGCATGGCATCCTATTTCTGAATTCCCTTATGTCCGGCATGTTTTTTGTTTTGTTTTGTTTTTTGGGAGAGTCTCACTCTGTCACCCAGGCTGGAGTGCAACCTCCGCCTCCCGGGTTCAAGCAATTCTCCTGACTCAGCCTCTCGAGTTCAAGCAATTCTCCTGACTCAGCCTCTCGAGTAGCTGGGATTACAGGCGTATGCCACCATGCGCAGCTAATTTTTGTGTTTTTAGAAGAGACAGGGTTTAATAGAGACGGGGGTTTCGCCATGTTGGCCAGGCTGGTCTCGAACTCCTGACCTCAGGTGATCCACCTGCCTCAGCCTCCCTAAGTGCTGGGATTACAGGCATGAGCTACCGTGCCCAGCCATATCCGGCATTTTTTAAGAGATTGTTTTAATAGCTGTAATATAAGAAGAATACCAAAACAAAAACTAAATTTGCCCCAACTTAGAAACTGAGTCTTCATTCTCTCTGGAAAATTCCCTATTGGAGGCCATCACTAGGCACAAATTCCTGAATCAAAACATTAATTTTTCTAGACATTTGCCCATCTCTTTGGCTGTAAGTACTAATAAAAGTGAAAGCATGCAGCACAAACCATAGAAAATTAACAACTTAAAAGGGAAAACCTAATTTTAGATACAAATTATAGACTTAAGGTATTTCCAATTCCCAATTCAGTTATTCTAGACTTGTGACCTTTTAAACATAAGCAATTTTTAGAAAAGTACAACCTGCTTAAATAGGAGTGTAACTCAATTTAATATGTTGCAATTTAGATACTCAGGCTCACTAGTGAAGATATATTCATTTTGTTGATTTTAGTATCAGTTCCCTGTTCTTTGCCTCCAGTCTGTTTTCACATCAAAATTCCTGCCTATTCAACTTAGTACTAATCTACAATTACTATTTACAGATTTTTTTCCCCATCAAAACCATCTAGGGACACACCACCACGTTATGCAAAAAGGCTCCAGACTAGTGAATCCCAGTTTCTCTATCACACTGATATATAGGGTTTTTTTTCAGAGCCAGGGTCTCACTCTTGCCCAGACCAGAGTGCAGTGGTGTGATCATAGCTCACTGCAGCCTCCAACTCCTGACCTCAAGCCATCTTAGCCTCCCAAGTAGCTAGGATACAGGCGAATAGCTGGGACTATAGGCGTGCGCCACCATGCCCAGCTAAGTTTTTATTTTTCTGCAGAGATGGCAGCGGGGACGGGGGTCTATGTTGCCCAGAGTGGTCTCGAACTCCGGGCCTCAAGCAATCATCCCACCTTGGCCTTCCAAACTTCTAGGAATATGGGAATGACCCACCGCACCTGGCCTCTCACAGATAATTGTTTGGTCTTTGGTTCCACATCTGTAAATGAGAGTTGAATGGATGTTCCTTCCAAATGATTAGTCAGCTTCCTGGTCTATAAATTCTAGAAAGTAAAAAGGGAAAAATACTCTGATGCTTTACATTTCTGAGAATTTCCAGAAATAAAGACATTCTTAGCTTTCACAACTCTTCCTTCACTTGGTTTCTCCCCTGGCCAATCCTTTGTTTTAGCCACGACTCTTACTTAAGCCGCAGATTTGGTCTAAGCCAGTTTACTCCCACTCCAAGGGGAAAAAATACCCACTTCTGTTATCTCCATATCAAGAATAAGTGCCTTTTATCATTTCAAAGAGAAATATAAAGTGGCTACAACTACCCAATTCAACTCTATCTCCATCTGCAGTAGATACTGGACAAATTTATCTAAGACATTTCCATTGGAATAAAAGTTTTTAATATTCAGCTATTAGAGTTTAGAATACACATTTAAGATTAGAGAGATTCTTTAAAACTTGCTTCCCTACTGAAACTGCAAATGAAATATGCCAGACTGCCAGTTTAAAACGAAGGGGTCATTTGGCATATCATTTGTGATATGCTCAACCTTTTCCTCAAAGGTGTGTTCTACAAAACTGATTGTTATTTTTATATTCAACAATCATGTTTTTTTTTTCTTCTCTTTCCCCATGGCTTCTGAAACAAATCCAATTTGGTTTATGCCACAACAGCACATTTACCAAGCACTTGACCATATCAGTAATGTCTACTTCAAACTACTGTTAAAACTCACCCAGATCATTACACAAAGCCTTGGAATTACATATTTTGATGACTTTTAAGTCTTTCTGAACTTTAGATTTCAAACTTTTAAAAACACCTGATTGAACAAGTTCATTAATCTGAAACAAATACTTGGAAAATCTTTTAGGATAGTTCCTTATAACTTCTCAACCACACTGTGAATTTCAAAGAATTTTTTTTTTAAGTATAGTTGTTTCTGTTTGCAGGAAAGAATATGTTCTACTCAAGTGAAACATGTTTTCAAAATGTGTGTTTATTATAATCAAAAAGCATTGAGTGAGTTCCCCATAAGAAATTCTACTTGCTTCTGCAAAAATTCGCAATCAGTCAATAACCTTAAGAAAGCTGACAAGACTATTGATTTTCAATCTCCATTAATCTTTTCATTATGAGTTCCATAGTAACTACTTCAAATTGGATTTAGAAATCCACAAAAAACTGCTAAATTTTAAATTTCTAAAAGTATTGAAATTAGATATCCAAAAGTTAAGACACAAAGTATGAAAGCAACTTTAAAAATCTTGAGATAAACTTGCCTCCACAGCCAATCAGATATATTTCTCACTACTAATACAAAGCTAAAAATGGAAAATAAGAAATCAAATCTTAGGGACAGATGGACCATGTAGAAAAATAGTAAGCTAAGTTACTAGCCCCAAAAGCAGTGATACATGAGGCAGAAAACCAAACAGAAGAGACCGGTTGTAATTACCCGAATGTAAAAAAAGGAA
Source organism: Homo sapiens (assembly GCF_000001405.40). Classification (NCBI taxonomy): domain Eukaryota; kingdom Metazoa; phylum Chordata; class Mammalia; order Primates; family Hominidae; genus Homo; species Homo sapiens. Next base: position 160,091,040 of record NC_000005.10, read on the forward strand.
GCATGTGATGAAATATTAAGACTAAAAATTAAAATTCACACATTTATGAGAAATTGGCAGGAAGGGGATATCAAATCTAAAAGCATTATCAAACCTCTATACTACAAAATCTTATTTTGAGAATATACTGATTCATCTCTCATTATTTGAAGTTTTCTTATCTCAGATAATATATTCCCTGATAGGGCAAATAGCAAAATAAAAGTTTGATTTTTCATCTCTTCTAAACACTCTTACAAAGAATAATTTTCTACCATCTTGAAATTTTTCAAAGCTTTTTGAGAAACACACACAAATAATTTGGATTTAGTTGATTTTATTTACAGCTTTTTTTTGGTTTTTTTTTTTTTTTTTACATTTCAGAGCATTACACAATTACATTTTCTCATTTTCTGACCTGCAAACAGATACCTTAAACGGAAATTATTTTGTTTTAATTATCAAATTAGGTACATCCAAAATGCAACAATTACACATATGACAATTAATTCACAAAGTATAATTTTACTGGGACATATCCTAAGAATTTAGGAACAGCCAGTCAGGAGAAATCTGACCAAATTTAGCAATCACTATTTACAAATCCAAAATCAAACCTATCTAAACTCCCAAACCAGAAGCTTGAAAGTATTTATTAAATCCCCACTGGACGAAAGACAGTGATGACTAACACCTATCCAGTCTTGACAGTTTTAATCCCAAACACTGGGCTATTTCCCCAGTCTGTAACTGAATTGCAACCATCTGTTTGTCAAACACCTAACCATCTAACTTTTACACCATTATGCGCATAGAAAGGCTAAGTGTTCATTATTTAAAAAACAAGTAGTCATTAAATATCCACTATTCCCCCAGCTCACCAAGCCCTTATTGCAATCCCAAATATGCAATCTGTGTCACACAGTGACAGGCTGTATTTCATATATATATATGTGTATATATACATATATATGTGTGTATATATACATACACGGATATATATATATACACACACACACACGTATATATATGTATATATACAGTATTAGGTACAAATGGCAATTAACAGTCCCTACAAAAATTCAATTTCAGTTGAGGCTATGGCTCCTATGCCTTGGGATGGTTTCGAACTTCAAAACTGAAAAATACTGCTAAAATCTCACTTCCTTAACACAAAATTTGATTATATGTTCAGTTTAAGCTCTCAGTCTAAAAATGGCTATAAGGTAAGTATTAAAAAGCCAGCCAACTGAGTGCAACTTCTCTCTCCAATCTGGCCACGCTATTTTGTAGAAATTATTCCTAACTAGACTAGAAAATCTGTGGTGACTTCCAATGGTCTTGCCTACCTTACTGCCCATGTTCACGTTTCAAACTGTGTCAACAAAGCCCGCACTTCGGGGGTCAGCTGCTTGGCAGCCTTAGCTGCCTCTGTGATAGCCTTGCGATACAGGCCCTTTCTCTTCTTATTAAAGCGTGACTGGAAGTTTTCTAAAAAGGGGGAGAGTTGTGAAAGAGCAAGGAAAGATGTTGTTGGAGACCCAAACCATGAAATACGGGCCTCCTGTCGGACTAAAAGGCCGTTATCTTTCCGGCTCACAGTTATAGTAAGAATACGGGCTGGCCACCAAGGGAAGCCATATATCTTGGCCCAAACAATGTCCCCTACACATATGGTCCTGCCATCTGGTGTGACGCATTTAGAGACGTTTTTGGAAAAGACTTTCATTTTCAAGGAATTACTGAGCTTTTTCTCTTCCTTTGAAGAGGAGGAAGTGGAGGAGGTGGAAGGTGCATGCATACTGCCTGGAGGAAAATCAAAGCTTTCAGAAGAACTACACTCAGAGTTGGAAGATTTCAAATCATCTGTGCTATCAATGCTACACACTGAAGCACTGGAAGAGTCAGATTTCTTTTGATTTAGGGTCATATAAACAGAGATATTGTTTTTGCTGCCCTTTTTGCCCAATGTCTGTGGTTCATCCTGATCACCAGGCACATGCACTTCATTTGTGTCCTGAACCTCACTGCTGGCCTCTTCAGGGCCTTTTGAGGGACTCTGATTTTCTGAAGGGGCCTCACCTGCTGAGCGGGTAGAGGTGCAGCGAGACTGGGGCTTGGGTGCCATCTTGCCACTCCGCATTTTCTCAAGTCCTGTCTTCAGAGAAGAGTCATTTTCTTCATTCCTGTACCTCTGTGGTTTTAAACGAACCCGGGGTGGAAGGGAACCTGAGCTAGGATTCTGATATCGACGTGTGAAATGGACTTTTGAATGTGCATTTTTGGAAGTAGAGGTTTCATTTTGCTTCTTTTGTGCCTTTTCTTTGGCAATTTTTAACACTTCCCGAGCTTTCGCATGATCCATGTTCTTACTCTGGAGAACTTTTTTAGTACTTAACTGAGCTTTTGATGTATTTGCCTGAGCAGAAACTTTTACTACTCTGCCTCTGCTGTGAGCAATATTTGAAACCTTAACCACAGCATTTCTTTTCTGGCTTTCATTTTGGTTTTTCCCATCCACTTTATGGTCAGTTTTCAGTTTTTTGTTCACAGTAGTTACACTTTCATTTCTCCGTTTTTTATCTTCATATTTAGAAGAGTCAGTTGCACTACTACCTTTTCTAATTTCCTTTTTTTCAGCAACAACACTGTTTTTACATTTATCACACAGAACTTGCCTGGGTCGTAGTTTAATAGCATTCATTATTGAAGTGGGTTCTTCCCTGTACATTTTTCGTTTGGGTCGCTTAATTTTCCGAGGAGGTGGCTGAGGTATTGATTGGTTATATGTGTCCCTGATAAACAAAGGGGGAGGATAAGGTGCTCCTTCATGGAAGAGAGGTGGTGGTTTGGAAGTCCACAGGCTTTCAGCCAAGCTCAGCTCGGGATGCGGGACAGGAGAAGGGTCATCGGGAACAGCACCATTTGCTTCACACTTGACTTCTGTCCCTTCTTGGAATGTATTACTTTGGAGCGGCATGGCTTCTGGTTTATCCTTATATTCCCTTTTGGGAAATACTGTCACAGGGATACCATGGGGCCCAAACCTTTGAAAGAAATGGAAGAAAAAAAGAAGACATTAAGTTAACATCTATAATTCAATTTCTTAAACGTAAACAACATCTGATGCTTATTTATATAACCTTTCCCGAAAACTATTTCATATTAAAAAACAAGACTACAAAAATCTACTATCTCTTCCCCCAAAAGTTCAAAGACCTTCATTTCTTTAGGTTCTACATTTTTGGTAAAAACAAACAGCTGCCCTAAGCAATGACAGAATAGTTGACTATACTTAAAGTAGATATTTCCAGTCTTGAATCAGAATGTTTTCTCAGATAGCTTTATGTTAAGCATCACATACATTACATTCACTGAACCATATACAACATTTTCAGTAAATGCAGCTACAACTTTGTGAAACACACATATATTTCTTCCTCTGGTTATAACAGCTTTCAAAACCTCCACAAAGCAAATTCAGCCTTAACTATCCAAAACTACTTAATGAGTAAAATCCCATCTCAACTTTATTGGTTAATCACTGAAGATTCAAAGAAAGTTGCTCTTTTACTCTTGCATCCTAACTAGTTACCTATTCTGTCTCCCAAAACACAAAAATATCAAGAACTCAGATACTCAAACTACTTCCAAAGCAAACAGTTACAGAGCTGTGGCTTTCTTTTTAAATCATCTCACATTAAGAAATATATTTGCATTGCAATCCAATAAAAACACTTAGGAATGGGCCGGGTGCAGTGGCTCATGTCTGTAATCCCAGCACTTTGGGAGGCCGAGGTGGGCAGATCACGAGGTCAGGAGATCGAGACCATCCTGGCGAACACGGTGAAACCCCGTCTCTACTAAAAATACAAAAAGATTCGCCGGGCATGGTGGCAGGCGCCAGTAGTCCCAGCTACTCGGGAGGCTGAGGCAGGAGAATGGCGTGAACCCAAGAGGCAGAGCTTGCAGTGAGCTGAGATCACACCACTGCACTCCAGCCTGGGCAACAGAGCAAGACTCTGTCTCAAAAAAAAAAAAAAAAAAAAAAAAAAAAAAGACTACTTATGAATGTATACATGCATCCATATATACATAAATACACACACTTAAGCAAAAGTTTCACCAAGTACTTAACCTTGTATTTTGTGATACATAATTTCTTTTCTACTCTGGCCTACTTCATTTGCTTTAAGGCTAGTCAGACCCATTAAACTGATTTGAAAACTCCATTACGGGTCCAGACTCTGTTTGCAAACCATGGTATCTAATACGAATCTTTAAAATTCTCAGTTTCTAATAACCTTATTTCATAAATAGAGTTAGAAATAACAGTGGCTTAACGTGCCTGGGCTGAATATCAAGAACCTGATCCTTAAAATAAACTTGCTATACTAAGTTTTCTTCACATAAAATCAAATCACACTACCAAATAATTTCAGCATATAGGTTAGCATGTTGACTATATGCACTATTTGATTCCAACAATATCTAACACAATACAACTGTAATGCCAATCCTGTAAGGCAAAGGGGCTTAGATCTAAACCCAAAGATTGGCTTCAGGTAGTCAGTCACGTGGAACCTTCAAAACTAGATGCCAGTGTTTTATATATGTCTATATTTTCTACACTACAAATCTTCAGTGCTCAGATTCTCCGAAATGTTCTTTTTTTTTTTTTTTTTTTTTTTTAAAGACAAGATCTCACTCTGTCATCCAGGCTGCAGTGCAAGTGGTACCATCACAGCTCACTGCAGCCTCGACCTCCTAGGCTCAAGCAATCCTCCCGTCTCAGCCTCCCAAGTAGCTGGGACCACAGACACACGTCACCATGCCTGGCTAATTTTAGTATTTTTTGTAGAGACAGGGTTTCACCATGTTGTCCAGGCGAATGCCTGAGCTCAAGCAGTCTGCCCACCTCAGCCTCCCAAAGTGCTGGGATTACAGACGTGAGCCACCGTGTCCAGCCAGAAATGTTCTTATGCTCCCAAAAAGGTTCAGAATACCTTTGCTAGGAAGAAATCTTGATATTAGGTACTAACAGCTGTGGACAAACCTAAACGTGGGCAGGATTTACAAAGAGCCAGCATACACCAGGTATTATTCTAGCACCTGAATACTTTTTTCCCAAAATTCTTTGTTAGTCTGGCTACCACAAACCAACAACTTACAGCAAATACTTACAAAACATAAAAAGGAAAGGCTTTTTTTTTACCTACGGTAAGACAAGATTAGGTCTCGGATAGTCCAAAAAGGAAAGGTACCTCCTATTGTATCAGACTGCACAGAAAGTTGCTTTCTCCATTCTAACTTCTGGTAACCAAGTGTTTGCTTCCTGACTACTTAACTCAAAGTAACTTTAAGCATTTAACCCTTTCTTACACAGTACATAGGTGCTCATTAACCACTTTTTCAAAAGATGACAGGACAAAAGAGGTGCTTCTTGTGTTTTAATGCAGAACCAACATAAACAATGTGACTTATTTGATGTGATATCACTACTTGCATTAACAATAACATTTTCTAACTTGTAAGAAGGCATAATTTTGCCCCCATCACATGTTCACGTTTCAATACCTGAATGAAGAGAAGTGCCCTTCCTCTTACTGATTTATAAAATTTTTTTATAGAGACGGTGCCTCACTCTGTCACTCAAGCTGGAACGCAGTGGTGCAATCATGGATTGCTGCAGCATCAACCTCCTGAACTCAAGCAATCCTCTCATCTCAGCCTCCCAAGTAGTTGGGACTACAGGCACCTGCCACCATGCCTGGCTCCCTTCCTTTTATTAGGACTAACTAAACCATACTTATCTTAATGTTTGAGGTGAAGTTTCACAGCTGTCTTTTATCAACTGTTTGTATCCTCTAAACTCATTTTTGCATGTGTAAAATGAAACACTATTTCTGACCTTAAAAGGATTCAGATAAAGATCAATAGGTGAATACGCGGCAGCCATTTTCCTTGGTTAATATTTACTTTATTTAATTTGCTTCATGTAAGTGATTTAATCTTATTTTCAAACTAGTAACTTACAGCCTGATGCAGTGGCTCACGTCTGCAATCCTAACACTTTGGGAGGGTGAGGTGGGCAAATTGCTTGAGCCCAGGAGTTTGAGACCAGCCTGGGCAACATAGGAAGACTCCGTGTTTCTACAAATAGGAAAAATTAGCCTGGTGTGGGGGTATGTACCTGTGATCCCAGCTACTTGGGAGGCTGAGGTGGGAGGATTGCTTGAGTCTGGGAGGTCAAGGCTTCAGTGAGCCATGTTCGCGCTATCGCACTCCAGCCTGAGCAAGTGAGTAAGCCTTTGTCTCAAAAAAAAAAAAAAAAAAAAAAAAAAAAGGCCAGGCACAGTGGCTCACGCCTGTAATCCCAACACTTTGGGAGGCCTGAGGTCAGGAGTTCAAGACCAGCCTGGCCAACATGGTGAAACCCCGTCTCTACTAAAAATACAAAAATTAGCTGGGTGTGGTGACACGCGCCTGTAGTCCCAACTACTCGGGAGGCTGAGGCAGGAGAATCGCTTGAACCCGGGAGGTGAAAGTCGCAGTGAGCCGAGATCGCACCACTGCACTCCAGCCTAGCAACAGAGAGAGACTCCGTCTCAAATAACATAACATAAAAATAAATAAAACAAATACAAAAACAAAAAACACCTAATAATTTACTAGAGGTTTTTTTTTTGGGGGGGGGGGCGGTTGTTTTGTTTTTTTGAGACAGACTCTCACTGTCGCCCAGGCTGGAGTGCAGTGGCACAATCTCGGCTCACTGCAACCACCGCCTCCTGGGTTCAAGCTATTCTCATGCCTCAGCCACCTGAGCAGCTAGGATTACAGACGCGAGCCATCACGCCTGGCTAATTTTTGTATTTTTAGTAGATGGGGTTTCATTATGTTGGCCAAGCTGGTTTTGAACTTCTGGCCTGAAGTGATCCACCAGCCTCAGCCTCCCAAAGTGCTGGGATTACAGGCGTGAGCCACTGCAACCAGCCAATTTTGCTAGAATTTAGGCTCCTTCCCATGTCTTTAATTTATACTCTCAATGCAAGTATGGCCCAGCCAATTATTTTATAGCTGTTTATATCAAGTAATGGAATCTGGTATGTTTATCTTTATGAAGTTCAGTAAGAATGTTAATATTTCGCAACTGGATTGTTTTTATTCTCTGCTGTTCCCACATAAGCATACAAAATACTCAAGCGTTAAATGCTTTTAGTAACATAGGGAAGAAGCACCTAATTGTGTAATGATGAGTGAAAACTACAATAAGGGGGAAAAAGGGGAAATAAAAATGGTAATTGTGTGTGGGTAGTGAATGCCTGGCAAAGCGGAAAAATATTTCAAAATAATAATAAAACATCCTCAAAGGACCAAAAAGATAAATCACTTTAAGAAGAAATGGGGATCACATGTCTGTCTTTGCTTCATTTCAGTAACCATGCTGTCACCCTTACACAGATAACACCTAGGGCAGTGTTACCAAACTAAGGATGGAGACATTAATTTTGAAATCAATTTCAGGGGTCACACTATGATTAAAATAAAATCAGAGTTAAGAGTAGAAGTAAATATCTGTAACTGCAATGAATCTGTTTCACACATGTATATAAGGATATATGGATCCAGATGTAAAACAGATTTTCTAAGTAGGCTAAAATGTTTGAGAACCACTAACCTATGAAACTATAAACTTAATAAGAATATAAAGTAGAAACAAAACTATGGTCCCTTAAAAACCCTAATTTCTCCTAGCCTGACCAACATGGTGAAACCCCGTCTCTACTAAAAATACAAAAATCAGCCAGGTGTGGTGGTGCACGCCTGTAATCCCAGTTACTCAGGAGGCCGAGGTTGCAGTGAGCTGAGATCACGCCACTGCACTCCAGCACTCCAGCCTGGGTGACAGGGCGAGACTCCACCTCAAAAAGAAAAACAAAACAAAACAAAACCCTAATTCTTCAAGTACAGTCTGTGAAAAAACACATCACAACTCCTCGGAGTGTTTGCAGTGGAAATTCCTAAGTCCTGCCCAAAACATAAATCATAAAACTTTCCTATAGTGGAACTGGAATCTGATATTTTAGCAAGCACCTTTGCTTTAGCTTTTTCTAAGGGAAGACATTTACGTCTCATGTGAATGCTCACCAAGATTTTATTGAACAAGTGTTTAGGTGAAAGGCTGAAAAGGCTGACTGGTATCCCTTGCTTTAAGTTTTCCAAAATAACTTTCTACAAATACTCCCAAGAGTTGAGTAATAAGATACCCTACCCAATTTGTGCAGCATAAAGGCATGTGTTAACGTATTAGTGACTCCTAACCCTTATCCACTTTCAGTCTTTAACCACTACCCAAAGATTCTAAACTAAAACGATTCAGGTATTACGGCTTAATTAAAAATACTGCAACTGTCTGCAAATCTGCAATTCCTTGAAAATAAAACTTTCTGTGAATCTGTAATACTATTCAAAAAGAAAATTTCTTTTTAATAGAGACGTGGTCTCCCTATGTCGCCCAGAGTAGTCTTGAACTCCTGGGCTCAAGCAATCGGCCTGCCTTCCATAGTGCTGGGATTAGAGGTGTGAGCCACCACAGTCGGCCCCAAAATTCTTTTAAAATAAATATCTTAATAATTTAGGAGTAAGTGCCAAAAAAAAAATTTTTTTTTTTTTTTTGGAAACAGAGTCTCACTCTGCTGCCCAGGCTAGAGCGCAGTGGCCTGATTTCAGCTCACTGCAACCTCCACCTCCCAGGTTCAAGCAATTCTCATGCCTTGGCCTCCCAAGTGGGTGTGTGCCACCACGCCCCGCTAATTTTTGTATTTTTAGTAGAGATGGAGTTTCGCCATGTTGGCCAGGCTGGTCTCAAACTCTTGGCCTCAACTGATCTGCCCTCCTTGGCCTCCCAAAGTATTAGGATTACAGGCGTGAGCCACTGCACCTGGCCAGTGCCAAAATTTTAAGGGGGAAGAACACTAGGGTTTAACAGTTACTTTGTGTTGCTGGGCACAGTGGCTCACGCCTGTAATCGCAGCACTTTGGGAGGCCAAGGCAGGCGGATCACCTGAGGTCAGGAGTTCGAGACCAGCCTGGCTAACATGGTGAAACCCCATCTCTACTAAAAATACAAAAATGAGCAAGGCATGGTGGCGCACACCTATAGTCCCAGCTACTGGGGAGGCTCAGGCAGGAGAACGGTTTAAGCCTGGGAGACGGTGGCTGCAGTGAGTCAAAATATCGCACCACTGCACGCACTCCAGCCTGGGAGACAGAGTGAGACTTCATTCTCAAAAAATAATAATAAAAATAAATAAATAAAAATTAGCTAGGCGTGGTGGCACATGCCTGTAGTCACAGCTACTTAGGAGGCTTGAGGTGGGAGGATTGCTTGAGCCATGATTGGACCAATGCACTCCAGCCTGGGTGACAGAGACCCTGTCTCAAAAACAAAACAAAAAAAGGCCAGGAGCAGGAATGGTGGCTCATGCCTATAATCCCTGCACTTTGGGAGGCCAAGACAGGAGGATAGCTTCAGGCCAGGAGTTCACGACCAGCCTGGTCAACATAGCCAGATGGTGTCTCTACAGAAAAAGGAAAAAGAAAAAAACAATAATATCCAGATTCATTTTATTTTGAGCCAATGATTTTAGAAACTACCTTGCCTTACAAACAGCAGCAAACTAAATCACGGAAGAGGTAAAACTGAAGCAAGCTTATTGTGGTTCATATTTCATCTCTTTGTGAGACTGGTTACGATGTCAAAGTTTAACCTGAGAAAAAATGAAATAGCTAAATGCAAAAGAAAATTTTACAAAAAGTTAAAAATGGAATTACGATACAATCCAGCAATCCCACTTCTGGGTACATATCCAAAAGAATTGAAAGCAGGATCTCAAAGAGATATTAGCCAAAAAGGTGGAAGGTGGAAGCAACCCAAGTGTCTACTGACATATGAAAGGACAAAGTATGAGCTAGACAGATAGAGATATATAGATATACAAATATATTATACAAAATAATAGTTTCAGTCTTAAAAAGGATGAAATCATAGGCTGGGTGTGGTGGCTCACACCTGTAATCCCAGCACTCTGGGAGCCTGAAGCAGGCAGACTGCTTGAGGCCAGGAGTTCAAGACCAGCCTGGCCAACATGGTGAAACCCTGTCTCTACTAAAAATACAAAAATTAGTGGGCATGGTGGTGCATGCCTGTAATCCCAGCTACTGGGGAAGCTGAGGCACAAAAATTGTGTGAACCCAGGAGGCAGAGGTTGCAGTGAGAAGAGATCACGCCACTGCACTCCAGCCAGGGTGATAGAGTGAGACTCTGTCTCAAAAAAAAAGGAAATCATGGCACATGCTACAACATGAATGAGTCTTGAAGACATTAAGTAAGCCAATCATAAAAAGATATTGTATGAATCCACTTACATGAAAAGTATCTAAAGTAGTCAAATTCACAGAAGCAGAAAGTAGAATGGTTGACAGCAGGTGGAGAAGCAGAAATGGGAAGCTGTTGTTTAAAAACTATTGAATTTTAGTTTTGCAAGATGAAAAACTTCCGGAGATCTGTTTCACAACAATGTGAATGTACTTAACACTATTGAACTGTATCCTTAATGGTTAAAATACATTTTGTTATTTTTTTTTTTACAATTTCAAAAAACTTTTAAAAATGTGCATCTAAGACAGGCATGCCCATAGTCCAAAGTATTTAGGAGGCTAAAACAGAAGCATCACTTGAGCCCGAGTTCGAGGCCATCCTGGGCAACATAGAAAGAACCAACTATTAAAAAAAAAAAAAAAAATGCGTGGCCGGCCACTGGGGCTCATGCCTGTAATCCCAGCACTTTGGGAGGCCAAGGCAGGTGATCACCTGAAGTCAGGAGTTCGAGACCAGCCTGGCCAACATGGCAAAATCCAGTCTCTACTAAACATACAAAAAGTAGCCGGGCGTGGTGGCATGCGCCTGTAATCCCAGCTACTTGGGAGACTGAGGCAGGAGAATCACTTGAATCCAGGAGGCAGAGGTTGCAGTGGGCCAAGATCACACCATTGCCCTCCAGCCTGGGCAATAAGAGTGAAACTTGGTGTCAAAAAAAAAAAAAAAAAATGCAGCCAGGTGTAATGGCTCACGCTTGTAACACTTTGGGAGGCCAGGCAGGTGGATCACCTGAGGTCAGGAGTTCAAGACCAGCCTGGCCAACATGCTGAAATCCCATCTCTACTAAAAATACAAAAAATTACCCAGGGGTGGTGACAGACACCTGTAATCCCAGCTACTTGGGAGGCTGAGGCAGGAGAATCACTTGAACCAAGGAGGCGAGTTTACAGATCATGCCACTGCACTCCAGCCTGGGCAACCAGGCGAGACTCCATCTCAAAAAAAAAAAAAAAAAAAAAAAATGCAGCCAGGCATGGTGGCTCAAGCCTATAATACTAGCTAATCAAGAGGCTGATCACTTGAGGCCAGGAGTTTAATTAAGTCCAGCCTGGGCAACACAGTGAGACCTGATCTCATAATTAAGTAAAAAATTAAAATATGAAACAATGAAAAAAATAAATGTATATCTAGCTAAATATAGAGGGGAAAGTTTTATGAGAAGCAGTACATTGGTAAAGAATTATTAGTGCAAGGGAAACAGTAATTACATAGCGGAGAAACAGGACAACACCCTAACTTGAGGGAGAATCAAAGTACACATTGCCAATGAGGGCACATGGCTATCATGGGCCTGCAGATGTGGTGTTCCGAGAACACAACATTGCCTGCATAACCTAAATCTCTCAGGAGTAAATATCAGGCAAATCCAAATTGAGGAACAGTCCTTATTACATAATTGCTACATAATTATATTGCAAGTAAATGTAATACATAATCATTTACTAGAGAATAAAAAACACATTGAAGGAAATTTTTATCGGAAAAATTGAAGAAATAATGAAACATGAGATACAAAGTAAAGTACTCTATCAATGTTTCTTTAATTTGAAAACTATACTGTGGCTATAGTTTTCCTTTGATCTTAGAAAAGAAATGCTCCAGCATAAGTAAAGGAGAATGATGTCTTCAACTCAGTCTCAAACAGTTCAGGAAACAAATTTATTTACATAGAGAATGACAAATTAAATGTGGCAAAATGTTACAAATGAGTGACTCTAGAAAGAGTTTCCAAGAATTCTCTGCTATGTTTCAAACTATCTAAAAATAAGAAGCTAAAAAAGTGTTTTTTAAAAGCATGAATTCAGTTTACTTAGTTCCACCAATACTTCTATGCAAAGAAAGCACACAAAAAAGAAAATCTATCCAACTTAAGTGGTAAATGCCAGCAAATTCACCTCAATTATCACTAAGCATAAGTCTATATGAAACACAGTGAGACCCCCATCTCTTAAAAATAAATAAAATGTTTAAAAAACAAGTATGCTAACTGGTCTGATAGTATAAAACAGTCTCAGCCCTAGGACACAGCTTCAGTAGGTGAGACCAGAATGTACCAGTCAATGCCAAATGAGGTTACAGTCTTCGGAAGGAAATAAATCACCGTGGATTAGTGATCAGGAAATGGGCTTTGCAGGGAATGGGACCTAGAAAGGCTCAAGCAGATTAAGTGAAGAGCAAAACAGGGAGTGGTAAATGGTGAAGACTAGTTATCCATTCTGAATATTATTAAGGATTCAGAGGCTTACATAAGCAATAAAATAAAGGTGATCCATCTGGCAGAAAAAGAGGAGGGCATGTTGGTGAGTGTGCCTGAGTGGAGAGGGCTGCCAGTTTAAGAGTATGATAGACGGAGAATAACCAGTCTCTTAATAAGAAGGCTGGCTGGGAGCAGTAGCTCATGCCTGTAATCTCAACACTCTGGGAGGCCGAGGTGGGTGGATCACTTGAGACCAGGAGTTCAAGACCAGCCTGGCCAACGTGGTGAAACCCCACCTCTACTACAAATACAAAAAAATTAGAAGGGCCTGGCGGTGTGCATCCATAATCCCATCTACTCAGGAGGCTGAGCCAGGGTAATGGCGTGAACCTGGGAGGCGGAGGTTGCAGTGACCCGGGATGCACCACTGCACTCCAGCCTGGGCAACAGAGTGAGACTCTGTCTCAAAAAAAAAAAAAAAAAAGAAATGAAAAAAGAAAAAGAGGAGACTGGCTGAGAGTGATAGCAATGGCTCATGCCTGTAATCCTAGCACTTTAGGAGGTTGAGGCCAGGAATTTTGAGATCAGCCTGGGCCACACAGGGAGACCCTGCCTCTACAAAAAATTAGCTGAGTGTAGTGACACACGCCTGTGGTCCCAGCTACTTGGGAGGCTGAGGTGAAAGGATCGCTTGAGCCCAGAAGGTTAAGCCTGAAGTGAGCCATGATGGCACCACTGCACTCCAGGCGGGATGACAGAGCAAGACCTTGCCTCTAAAAAAAAAAAAGGACAGAGAGAGAGGCTAGTGAAGTCTTCTGTCTAGTGATGTAATTAAATGTATCTAAATTACTTTGTTAAAAACGTGGCCAGGCACAGTGGCTCACACCTGTAATCCTAGCACTTTGGGAGGCTCAGGCGGGTGGATCACCTGAGGTCAGGAGTTCTAGACCAGCCTGGCCAACATGGCAAAACCCCATTTCTACTAAAAATACAAAAAAATTAGCCAGGCGTGATGGTGGATGCCTGTAATCCCAGCTACTCATGAGGCTGGCGCAGGAGAATTGCCTGAACCCAGGAGGCAGAGTTTGCAGTGAGCCAAGATCGTGCCACTGCATTCCAGCCTGGGCGACAGAGTGAGACTCCCTCTCAAAAAAAACAAAAACAAACAAACAAACTTAAAGCACAGCTATTCTAGTCTGATCCCATCATTTTAAAATTACAAAGAAGAACACAAAAATAATTCCCTTTCCCTTACATTCTCAAATATGAGCCCTTTTCAATAATGTTTAGAAAGCATACTGGTGGCCAGGCCTTGTGGCTCACGCCTGTAATCCAAGCATTTCTGGAGGCCAAAGCAGGAGTATCGTTTGAGCCTAGGTGTTCAAGACATTGTTGTTACTAAAAATAAAACAATTTACTAAAAATAAAACAATTAGCCAGGTGTGGAGGCACAGGCCTGTAGTCCCTGCTATTCAGAAGGCTGAGGCAGGAGGATCACTTGAGACCAGGAGTTCAAGGCTGCAGTAAGCTATGATCATGCCATTACACTCCAGCCTGAGCAACAGAGACTCTGTCTCTAAGGCAAAAAAAAAAAAAAAAAAAAAAAAACAGGCTGGGCGCGGTGGCTCACAGCTGTAATCCCAGCATTTTGGGAGGCTGAGGAGAGTGGATCACAAGGTCAGGAGATGGAGACCATCCTGTGAAACCCTGTCTCTAATAAAAATATAAAAAATTAGCCGGGCACGGAGGCACACGCCTGTAGTCCCAGCTACTCGGGAGGCTGAGGCAGGAGAATCGCCTGAACCTGGGAGGCAGAGGTTGCAGGGAGGCAGAGGTTGCAGCGAGCCGAGATCGCGCCACTGCACTCCAGCCTGGTGACAGAGCGAGACTCCATCTCAAAAAAAAAAAAAAGAACAAAAATGGAAAAAAGAAAGCAAGCATGCCAGAAGGGGACTATAGGGACAAAACTTACCTACTAAAAGACTATAACAATTTCCTCATAAGCCATCAGCCCCAGGTGCTAATGAGAGAAAGAGAAAAAGATTAAGAAAGAGGTTACAGTGAGCCAAGATCGCACCACTGCACTCCAGACTGGGTGACAGAATGAGACGCCATCTCAAAAAAAAAAAAAAAAAAAAATTCCTCAAAGAAAGGTTACCTAACAACTTATTTTAGTCTGAAATCCTTTTCAAATTCAGTCATCCAGCACTTACTAAACACTGACCTGTGCTTAACAGGCTTCAAAGCTGACAATTTGTACTTCCTCTTATGAACAAGTAGGTTTCACTACTGCCAAATCCAAGCCAATCAAGGCAAAACAGCATGCTATCTAATTTAAGACCCAGGACCATGTAGAAGAAATATGATTTCCAAAAATGTCCAAAGTTCACTATATTGAACTGAAGAGCAATTTATGTTTACAGCAAATAGCTGTTGCCTGGTTGAGTGAGGAACAGAGAACTCTTATTTCTAACTGCCAGGTTAACTCCCCAGCAAAACTATAAACTAAGTGGTATGGCGAAATATAGTTAAGTACATTTTAATTAGAACAAGGTTTTCAAACCCCGGAAAATTTTGTATCATTCAAAAAGGCATCTTGAATATATCTACTATTATCTACCATTTACAATTTTAGGCAATTTTGCTTAAGTAACCTCTGAGCCTTGGTGTCTATCTATGAAATGGGGATTAATAGAATTTACTTCAGCAGATTTGCCAGAGTTAAATGAAACAATGTAAACAAAGTATTTGGCACAGGACTTAGCACAGAAATTGAAAATACATAGTAGCTACTATAAAACACAGAAAGTAAAACTTGGCAACCTTCTTAGATTAAATATGCAGGAAAAAATAAACAAAAATTTAAAACCTCACACATTAAAAAAACAAGAAATATGCAAAAAAGTGAAATTAAGTATTATAGGGATTATGAGTTTTAAAAGGCTAAAATCCACTATTCTATAGTAAGTCAACTACATAAAATTGGTTCAAGGGTAAAGAAATGAAAATTATGGACTGCTTAAACTTATAGATTCAGGAAATCATTTGCAAGACTAATCACCAGCTCTACAATAAGGATTTAGATCAGCCACCCGAGTTGCCCATCCCCACATGATACATTGCTTAGTTTGTAATTATGTCTCATTGTTAACTAACCATTAACCTTTTTTTTTTTTTTTTTTTTTTGAGACAGAGTCTCACTCTTTCACCCAGGCTGGAGTGCAGTGGGGAGATCTCAGCTCACGCAACCTTCACCTCCCAGGCTCAAGTGATTCTCATGTCTCAGCCTCCCAAGTAGCTGGGATTACAGGCACACACCACCACGCTCAACTAATTTTTTTGTATTTTTAGTAGATACAGGGCTTCACCATGTTGGCCAGGCTGGTCTCAAACTCCTGGCCTCAAATGAGCCACCCACCTTGGCCTCCCAAAGTGCTGGGATTTATAGGCATGAGCCACCGTGACCGGCCTTAACCGGGAACCTTTAAAACAGGCTTAACAAATTGATTGTTCTATTAAATACTTTGGCAAACTACCCCCTAAAAATCAGTTATCTCCAAATATGGTCCAAGAATCTTCTGTATCAGAATCACTTTGTTTAAAATGCAAAATGATGGAATGAAGCTCAGAAATCTATGCACATTTCTTTTGACAACCACTGCCCAAAAGTGTTTAGTAAAGGCATTCTATATTAAATCTACCTAGAATATAACTTAATCTCCAATTACTTTCTTGCAATACCTGCCACTACAACAAGCTTCTGTTCTGGTACTGTGTGTCTGAATTTACTCAAGAATTTAGGGAAAACAGGGTAAATAAATACCAGGAAATAATGATGCACTTTATAGACAAAAATAACTACTAACACATCTTTCATTTTTTATCAATATGAAATTAACTCAGCCATTACAGTGAAGATAAGCACATAATATATAAACTCTTTAGTAGTCCCACAGAAAACCTGATCTTAGGAAGATTAGACCTTGTTTCAACAAGAGCTTTACTTTAAAATAGTACACAGTAAAGTACAGTCTTATTTACAGTAAGAGGTTGAAAACCTCATCAGAAACCCCAAGTCCAGGCCAGGCGCGGTGGCTCATGCCTGTAATCCCAGCATTTTGGGAGGCCGAGGCCAGGAGTCCAAGAGCAGCGTGGCCAATATGGTGAAACTCTGTCTCTACTAAAAATACAAAAATTAGCCGGATATGGTGGCAGGCACCTGAAATCCCAGCTACTAGGAAGGCTGAGGCACAAGAATTGTTTGAACCCGAAAGGCGGAGGTTCCAGTGAGCCAAGATTGCACCATTGCACTCTGGCCTGGGCGACAAAAGCGAGACCCATCTCAAAAATAAAAAAAAAGGAAACCCCAAGTCCAATAAAACATGCCTAGCATAGTTTGTGTATAACACATCTAGTGTATAAAATATATTTTTAAGTTTTATTTTTAATTCCATAATTTGTTACAGGATTATTTTTTTTTTCTTTTTTTTCTAGAGTAGCTTCTCCATAGACAGAGCAGGGCTACCCCATAGGCAGAGTGGCCCGGAGGATTCTTTAGACTCAGAATGAAACCAGGTTTAATGCCCAACTAATAATCACTTCTGAAAAAGATCATATTAATGCAACATGCAATGGAAGAGCTCACTCTCAACACATACTGCACAGTAGTGGGCGTCCTAAAGCTGTGTGGGTCAGGGAGTGACTGGCACTTGCCTCTTCTCTGTTTCACTGTGTAAAGCCTTTATTGACATCTTGGCATATAAGCAGAATAATCACCAAAAAAATATTACTTATAATGTACCACAACACAATCATTCAAGCATACTACTTGAGGGCCTAAGTTCTCAACCTGGACACTGTAGTATAAGCTACTGATACCACTACTCACTGCTTCACCAGAATGGCTGTATATTTTTCCCACCAAAAGTAGGGCTATTGCACCATACGTTTCATGGTCTCTGTAAAGAAAAGAAATCATTGTCTTGGTTTATATTTCCTCAAAAAACACGTAAATTTTCTACAAATTGCTTTCAAGAACTTAGTGAAAACTGAAGTTTCCTAAGGAAATCATCAATTATTTTTAATCCAACAGTACCCCCATGTACACACACACAGTATTTGTAAAAACATCAATTCTGAAATACAGCTAGCTACCCCCTTTAATATGCACATACCACAAAATTAAAATGCCCAAGCATTTTTTTAAGAGATGGGGTCTCAGTATGTTGCCAAGGCTGGTTCAAACCTCAGGGTTCATGTGATCTTCCTGCCTCAGTCTCCCAAAGTGCTGGGATTACAGGCAAGAGACACCATGCCCAGCCACACAAGTTTTTATTTTTTGTCTTCAGATAGAGTCTCACTCTGTCACCCAGGCTGGAGTGCAGTGGCACAATCTCAGCTCACTGCGACCTCTGCCTCCCAGGTTCAAGCAATTCTCGTGCCTCAGCCTCCTGAACAGTTGGGATTACAGGTGCACACCACCACACCCAGCTAATTTTTGTATTTTTAGTAGAGATGGGGTTTCGCCATGTTGGCCAGGCTGGTCCCAAACTCCTGGCCTCAAGTGATCCACCCACCTCAGCCTCCCAAAATGCTAGGATTACAGTCATGATCCACTGCACCCAGCTACACAAGCATTTTCGAGCATAAACCCTTACTTCATGATTCCTTATTTCCTGTCACATCCCCTGCTCCAAAAAAAAAAAAAATGATTCAGAAAGACCTTTCAGGATTTTTCACTTTTTTCCCCCCATTTAAAAGCTTCTGCAAGAAGATTTTTAAGGATTTCCAGGTGGCTTTATAACTATGAGGAGTGAAGAACTACCTCTTCAGAAGCCTGGGCTGAAGGCTTTTGCTCTTTGCAAATAGTCTTGAGTGGTTCAATTTTCTTATGTCTGCAATACTAAACTTAGGACTGTGTTTAAGGGATAGACCTAAAAGTTTGCCAGCAGGTAAGACATCCATAATCATTTCTACTGACCCAAAACAAGGAGAGGCTTTGAAGAGAGGCCTTGATAAGGCTGTGGTTCTTGCCCTTTCAGTTTGTTCCTGAGGGACAATAACTATTTTAAAACAAGGAAATGCAAGAGGATGCAACTGGGAAAAAAAAAAAAAAAAAATATATATATATATATATATATATATATATATATAAAATAATATAATAATATATATATATATATATATCCAGAATGTAAAAAATTCTACAAAGTCCATGGATTAACAGTAAATTGCAAGTGAATAAAAGTAACAGCAGAACTACAGATGAAAAGGACAAGAAAATTAACCAATTGCAATGTATGAGCTTTATTTGGATCCTAATTTGAAAACTGAACAGTCTTGAGCTATTAATTTTGACAGTCCTTTTTTTTTTTCTTTTTTTGAGATAGAGTCTTGCTCTGTCACCCAGGTTGGAGTGCAATGGCACAATCTCAGCTCACTGCAGCCTCCGCCTCCCGGATTCCAGTGATTTTCTTGCCTCAGCCTCCCGAGTAGCTGGGATTACAGGCACACACCACCACAGCCGGCTAATTTTTTTAATTTTTATAGCAGAGATAGGGTATCACCATGTTGGCCAGGCTGGTCTCAAACTCCTGCCTTCAAGGGATCCACCTGCCTCAGCCTCCTAAGGTGCCCGGCCAACAGTCTGACATTTTAACAGTGACTGAATATTTGATGATATAAAAGGATTACTGCTATTATTTCAGGTGTAATAATGGTAGTAAGATTGTTGTTTTTAAAGTCCTTATCTTTTTAGATATCTGCACTGGCCGGACGTGGTGGCTCAAGCCTGTAATCCCAGCACTTTGGGAGGCCGCGGCAGATGGATCACCTAAGGTCGGGAGTTCAAGACCAGCCTGACCTACATGGAGAAACCCCGTCTCTTCTAAAAATACAAAATTAGCCAGGTGTGGTGGTGCATGCCTGTAATCACAGCTACTCGGGAGGCTGAGGCAGGAGAATTACTTGAACCCAGGAGGCAGAGGTTGCGGTGAGCCGACATCATGCCATTGCACTCCAGCCTGGGCAACAAGAGCGAAACTCCACCTCAAAATGAAATAAAATAAAATAAAAAAATAAAGTTCAACAAAAAGGCTGGGTGCAGTGGCTCACGCCTGTAATCCCATCATTTTGGGAGGTCAAGGCAAGCAGATCACCTGAGGTCGGGAGTTTGAAACCAGCCTGGCCAACATGATGAAATCCGTCTCTACTAAAAATACAAAAATTACCCGGGCTTGGTGGTACAAGCCTGTACTCCCAGCTACTCAGGAGGCTGAGACAAGAAAATCACTTGAACCTGAGCAAGACTCTGTCTCAAAAAAAAAAAAAAAAAAAAAATGACACACCAATGACTTATTATTTTGCCTATAATAATCACTTAGGCTGGGTGCAGTGGCTCATGCCTGTAATCCTACCACTGTGGGAGGGCAAGGAGGGAGGATTACTAGTCACTTGAGGCCAGGAGGTTGCAACCAGCCTGGGCAACATAGCGAGACCCAGTTTCTACAAAAAATATATATATTTTTTTGAGACAGAGTTTTGTTCTTGTTGCCCAGGATGGAGTGCAATAGCATGATCTCAGCTCACTGCAACCTCTAACTCCCGGGTTCAAGCGATTCTCCTGTCTCAGCCTCCCAAGTAGCTGGGATTACAGGCACATGCCACTACGCCCGGCTAATTTTTGTATTTTTAGTAGTGACAGGGTTTCATCATATTGGTCAGGCTGGTCTTGAACTCCTGACGTCAGGTGATCTGCCCACCTCGGCCTCCCAAAGTGCTGGTATTACAGGCGTGAGCCACCGCGCCTGGCACTTTTTTTTTTTCTTAACTCGCCAGGCACAGCGGCATGAGATTCTAGTCCCAGGTACATGGGAGGCTGGGGTGGGAGGATCACTTGGACCCAGGAGTTCAAGGCTACAGTAAGCTATGATCACACGACTGCACTCCAGTCTCTGTGATAAAGTGAGACCCTATCTCTAAACAAATAAAATAATCATTAAGACAGTTTAGAATCCTGAAGGAATGCTTACTATATATCAAAATTTAAAAAGCTAAGATTAAGGACAAAATGAGAACAGGAAAACCCAAACTGAATTTGTAGGGTTAATTGATTATTCTCATCTGCTAGCATTTAGACTATTGTCATTAGACGTTGCTAATGAGCTCAGAAGCAGACAGGTAATTTAAACTAAGAGAGCTGGGTATAAAACAACAGTGGCCAGGTGCTGTGGCTTACACCTGTAATCCCAACACTTTGAGAGGCCCAGGCGGATGAGCCTGGGCAACAAAGCGAAACCCTGTCTCCACCAAAATGACGCAAATTAGCCAGGCATGGTGGCATGCACCTGTAGCTGCAGCTATTTGGGAGGCTGATGTGGGAGGATTGCTTGAGCCCAGGAGGTTGAGGCTGCAGTGAACTGTGAGTGTGCCACCGCATTCTGGCCTGGGTGACAGAGCAAGACCCTTTCTCAAAAAAAAAAAAAAAAAAAGGAAAAAAAGAAAAAAGAAAAAAAAAGAAAGAAAAAAAGAGCACAAAGTAAGCTAGAGAATGCATGCTTCACTTAAAGGCGTCCAGTTCTTTTTAGAAAGAGCCTCTCTCTGTCATCCGGGCTAGAGTGCAGTGGTGCGATCTCGGCTCACTGCAGCCTCCACCTCCCAGGTTCAAGCAATTCTCCTGCCTCAGCCTCCTGAGTAGCTGGGATTATAAGTGCATGCCACCACACCCAGATAATTTTTTGTATTTTTAGTAGAGACAGGGTTTTGACATGTTGGCCAGGATGGTCTTGAACTCCTGACCTTACGTGACCCACCCACCTCAGCCTCCCAACTTGCTGAGATTACAGGCATGAGCCACCACACCCGGCCAGGCATCCAGTGTTAAGTAAATACAATGCTCAACAAAATCTGATTTTAACCAGATACTAAAAATATCCTCAAAATTACTGTGTCATTTATGGGCC
The DNA here is from genome assembly GCF_000001405.40 of Homo sapiens. NCBI lineage: Eukaryota > Metazoa > Chordata > Mammalia > Primates > Hominidae > Homo > Homo sapiens. Next base: position 160,112,617 of record NC_000005.10, read on the forward strand.
AAAGAAAGCTACCTAGAAGATAGAAAGGAGGACATAACAAACCAGGGTAGTACAGGGAAAACCAGGCCACCTGGTCATTCTGTTCATTTTACATATAAACTGAGGCGTAAAGTTTGTTTGCTTGTGTCTAAGTGAACTGCCCAAAGCTAAATCAATTAGCCTAAGAACTAGGAAATGGAGCTTAGTAAGGCACAATGATTTGCCCAAAGGCACAGTGCTAATAGGAGAGGCTAGTACCAATATTAGAAATTAAAGCCCAGGCCAGGAGTGGTGGCTCACACCTGTAATCCCAACACTTTGGGAGGCCGAGGAGGAGGATTACCTGAGGTCAGGAGTTCGAGACCAGTCTGGCCAACATGATGAAACACTGTCTCTACTAAAAATACAAAAAAATTAGCCAGGCTTGGTGGCGTGCGCCTGTAATCCCAGCTACTCAGGAGGCTGAGGCAGGGAACTGCTTGAACCACGGAGATGGAGGTTGCAGTGAGCCGAAGTCCCGCCACTGCACTCCAGCCTGGGTGACAGAAGCAAGACTCTGTGTCAAAAAAAAAAAAGAAAAAAAGCCCAAGCACCTAACACTCTGTCCAGTCAATAATTTACTATTTAGTACCACTTTCTTTTCTTTCTTGAGTTATGTATGTCCAGCTCCTTTTTTTTCACAGAATGATTCTCCTCAAAAATGTGTTCTCCAACCAAATAAATCTGAAAATAATGCAAAAAATAATAATACAACAGGGAGGGGAAGCATTTCAAATGATTACAAAAGCAGACTCTTAGTCATCCACACATATATTAAATCCTGTGTTCTAGACTCAAACACCTTTTCCACACAGTAGACAGCTCTTCCAATTTTACAAAGACATTTCTGTACCATGCATAACGTCAAGCATAAAATATGGAAGAAATTTATAAAAGCAATAACTAGTCCTTTTGAAGACTGAAGAAAAGCACAAATACATTACACATTTAGTCTCCCAAATGTTAATCTCATTGGAGGCAAGAACTAAAACTTCAGAGCTTACTATGTATTCCCCGGTATTCAGCTAAGGAACTAGTGGAGTCTCCGGAGCCAGGTTTCACAGCTTTTACCCAACTAAAGAATCTGCTTGGCTCCAACAACTATATCCTTTATATTATCTCCACAGAGGCAATGAAATCAAGAGAAGCACTAACTTTCAGAAATACGCAACTTTCAGAAACATGCCATTCTTTACTTTCTGCTTAAACTAAAACTTAGCCCAACTAGCTTTCTAATATGCAAGTAGAAAAAGCAAAGGTTTTAGAATGGGATCAACCTACATCTGAATCTTGCTTTGCCACTTACAAGTTAACTGGCCAAATTAAATGAGCCTCCATTTCCTCCTGTGTAAATTAAAAACATTACCAAGGTTATAAAAAAACTAAAGCATGAGGTACAATGTCTAGCATATAATGGACCCTCATAGAAAGCTCCTAATTTTTACCTAGAGGTTGAATTCAATGGCCAAATAAGATACAAATTACTTTAAAGCAACTGATGAATATGGCCTTAGTAGAGTCTAAAGTATCTTGGCTGAGTGCAGTGGCTCACACCTGTAATCCCAACACTTTGGGAGTGTAGAAATGGGAGGATGGCTTGAGGCCAAGAGTTCAGACCTGGCGCGGTGGCTCATGCCTGTAATCCCCAGCACTTTGGGAGGCCGAAGCAGGAGGATCACTTGAGGTCAGGAGTTCAAGATGCGCCTGGCCAACATGGCGAAACTCCGTCTCTACTATAATCCCTTGAACCCTGGAGGCTCAGGTTGCAGTGAGCCAAGATTGCACTACTGCACTCCAGCCTGGGTGACAGAGCGAGACTGTCTCAAAAAAAAGAAAAAGAGTTCAGGCCAGGCACAGTGGCTCATGCCTGTAATCCCAGCACTTTTCAGAGGCCAAGGCGGGCGGATCACCTGAGGTCAGGAATTCAAAGACCAGCCTGGCCAACACAGTAAAACCCCGTCTCCACAAAAATACAAAAATTTGCCCAGCGTGGTGGAGCATGCCTGTAATCCCAGCTACTTGGGAGGCTGAGGCGGAACAATCACTTAAACCCAGGAGGCCGAGGTTGCAGTGAGCCGAGATTGTGCCATTGCACTCCAGCCTAGGCAACAGAGCGAGACTCTGTCTCAAGGGTAAAAAAAAAAAAAAAAAAAAGAGTTCAACCAGCCTGAGCAACATGGTAAGACCCCCATCTCTACAAAAAATTTTAAAATTAGCCAGGTGTGGCCGAGTGCAGTGGCTCACGCCTATAATCCCAGCACTCTGGGAGGCCGAGGCGGATCACGAAGTCAGGAGTTCGAGACCAGCCTGGCCAATATGGTGAAACCCCATCTCTACTAAAAAATACAAAAAATTAGCCAGGCGTGCTGGCATGTGTCTGTAGTCCCAGCTACTCAGGAGGCTGAGGCAGAAGAATCACTTGAACCCGGTGGGGCGCAGAGGATGCAGAGAGCTGAGATCATGTCACTGTACTCCAGCCTGGGTAACAGAGGGAGACTCTGTCAAAAAAAAAAAAAAAAAAAAAAAAAAAAAAGAGCACAAACTCAGTAGCCCTGAGTTCCAGCCTAGTCTCTGAAACGGACTGGCAGTCATCATGTCTGTGCTCAATCTCAAGGTTTCATTTGGATGAAAATATAGCTGGCTGGCTGCAATGGCTTATGCCTGTAATCCCAGCATTTTGGGAGGCCAAAATCAGAGGATCGCTTGAGCCCAGGAGCACGAGATCAGCCTGAGCAACACAGTGAGACCCTCATCTCTACAAAAGATACAAAAACAGGCTGGGCACGGTGGCTCATGCCCATAATCCCAGCACTTTGAGACGCCGAGGTAGGCAGATTACCTGAGGTCAGGAGTTAGAGACCAGCCTGACCAACATGGTGAAACCCCCGTCTCTACTAAAAATACAAAAATTAGCCGGGCGTGGTGGCGGGCACCTGTAATCCCAGCTACTCGGGAGGCTGAGGCAGGAGATTCACTTGAACCCAGGAGGTGGAGGTTGCACTGAGCTGAGATCATGCCACTGCACTCCAGCCTGGGTGACAGAGTGAGACTCCATCTCAAAAAAAGGAAAAAAAAAAAAATTAGCCAGGCGTGGTGGTATGCGCTTGTAGTCCCAGCTATTTGGGAAGCTGAGGTGGAAGAACGCAGTGAGCTACGATCCCAGCACTGCACTGCAGCCTGAGCAACATAGCGAGACCCTGCCTCCTAAAAACAAAAACAAAAAAAAACACTGTCTCCTGGATCCATCAGTAAACCCCAAAACTGCACAGGAAAGTGTGCAATCAACATAAGTGCGAATTACAAAATATACTGGCAGGTCCATTTTTCCAGATTAAACTGTAAAAAAAAAAAGGAAATCCAACTAGTCAATCATTAGTCCAATAATAATTCCTTGAATTGCTAAATTTTAGTGTTTTATTTCCTCAACATTTCCACAATTTTTTTTAAGACAGGGTCTCATTCTGTCACCCAGGCTGGACTGTGTGATCTTAGCTACTGTAACCTCCACCTCCAGGGCTCAAGAGATTCTCCCACCTCAGCCTCCCAAGTAGCTGGGACCACAGGCACAAGCCACCACGCCCAGCTAAGTTTTATATTTTTTTCGTAGAGACAGGGTTTCACCATGTTGCCCAGGATCCTCTGGAACTCCTGCGCTCAAGTGATCTGCCTGCCTTGGCCTCCCAAAGTGCTGGGCCCCTGTAATCCCAGCTACTCCGGAGGCTGAGGCAAGAGAATTGCTTCAGCCCGGGAGGCGGAGGTTGCAGTGAGCCGAGATCGCATCACTGCACTCCAGCCTGTGCGGCAGAGCAAGACTCCGTCTTGGAAAAAATAAATAAATAAATAAATAATAGTAATAGGATCCTTTCACTTCAGAATATTCAAATGGAAAAGGTTCATATTAGGAATAGCTCCTCCAACAAAAGAAATTGCTGTTTCTAAGCACTGATAGCATGAGACCAAAACTCAATAGCAATTCTCCACTAAAGAAAATTTTTTAAAAATAAAGCACTAACACAATGAGCACTTATCCATTCCATTTCCAAAAACAACTTACCTTCTGCACCTTCCTTTTGCAGATTTGAAATCCAGATTCTCACACAATCACTGGCCATCTCTTCTGTTTCATTCAACAGCATACACACCAGAGTGTCTCTTACTATTATATACATCAGTAGAGGCCGGGCGAGGTGGCTCATGCCTGTAATCTCAGCACTTTGGGAGGCCAAGGTGGGTGGATCACCTGAGGTCAGGAGTTTGAGACCAACCTGACCAACATGGTGAAACCCCATCTCTACTAAAAATACAAAATTAGCCAGGCGTGGTGGCACATGCCTGTAATCCCAGCTACTTGGGAGGCTGAGGTAGGAGAATCACTTGAACCAGGGAGGTGGAGGGTGCAGTGAGCAGAGATTGTACCACTGCAGCCTGGACAACAAGAGCGAAACTCTGTCTCAAAAATAAATAAATAAATAAATAAATAAAATACATCAATAGAAAGCACACTCACCTTATTCTGCTTTCTAATTATGAAAACAGGAGTGCAGGCCGGGCACAGTGGCTCACGCCTGTAATTTCAGCACTTTGGAAGGCCAAGGCAGTAGGATCGCTTGAGCCCAGGAGTCTGAGACCAGCCTAGGCAGCACAGCAAGACCCTGTCTCTATTAAATAAGTAAACAAACAAACATAAACAGAAGTGCAAATGCCCTAATCCAAAATTATTTTTAAAAAAGATACTTGAGGCCGGGCACGGCGGCTCATGCCTGTAATCCCAGCCCTTTGGGAGGCTGAGGCGGGTGGATAACCTGAGGTCAGGATTTCAAGACCAGCCTGGCCAACATGGTGAAATCCCGGCTCTAGTTAAAAAATACAAAAATTAGACCAGCATGGTGGCGCACGCCTGTAGTCCCAGCTACTTGGGAGGCTGAGGCGGGAGAATCGCTTGAACCCAGGAGGCGGAGGTTGCAGTGAGACGATATGGCGCCACTGCACTCCAGCCTGGGTGACAGAGTGAGACTCCGTCTCAAAAAAAAAAAAAAAGATATTTGAGATTAAATAATACAGAATAACTGCTCTCATCTTTCCCCTCAAACACCATACTTCAATATGAAATTTTAAATGGCTTTTTTCCCCAAATGGGAAAGAAGGATTCCTGGGTCTTGATGGGAGAGCAAGCAAGTTTAAGAGTAAAACATACTAATAAGCCATTGCAAACAGGTGAGATACGATCAGAGCGTGTGCTGTTGCAGGAAACAGAATGGAAAGCCGTGAATGGGAGTCTCTGCACTTCATATCTGCAAAAGAAGAGAATAAAAAGGTTAACTCCAGACTTAGAACAGGTTCTCTTCCCCTGTTGAAAGCAGAGCCCAAAAACATTTTAAATCAAAAAATGAAAATGTGGTTAAGCCAAATTTGTAGATGAACTCAACCTTCTTGTCCTTAATACATAAACTGAATCCCAGGTGTTAGAAGTTACTTGAACATTTTTATGCTACACCACCTTGACATTAAAGGATTTTTTAAAAATCTCCAATCTCTTCTTTAAACTTTTCTTAAACTATCATTAAAATTAGCAAAATATGCTTCTCTGTTGAATGGTTAACCTAACGGGAATGACTTCTAACCGTAAGAATTACAGTTAAAAGGTTCATTTTAACAAATGCTCTTCCCCCTGTAAGGAGTGACAGGTAACCTTTTGGGAACCCCAATGTACACACCCCTTTCTCCAATCCCGCTAAAGTTAAACGTTAGAGGACAGACAAGTGCCTCCTCGCAAGCAATGCCCCCCGCCCCCCCGTCCCCCCGTCCAACACTCCGTTCTCTGCAAAAATCCATCTGCATCTTGCATTAACCCACCCGCCCAGTGACGGTGACTCCAGGCCAAGTCGCAGAAGAAGACCAGGCGTGAGGGGTGAGACCTGTGAGCCCATCTGCACCTGCACCCTCCCACCTGGTGGCACACCTGCCCCGCAGGCGCCCACCTGGGGCCGGGACCGCCCTCTCCCGGTCTCGCGCGCCTGCCCCACTCGGAGCGCGCGCCACGCGCCGCGCAGGACCAGAGGGCGGGGCCCCGGGCAGCGGGGAAGCGAGGGCTCGGGGAGAGGGGGCCGCCCGGGCTCACTCCCTCCCTGGGGACCCAGCGGACCGGAGGGTGCTGGGGGCGGGCGCGGTACCTTTTGGACAGATCCATGAGGACCCCGGAGAAGAGCTTCTCCCCGAAGCGGAACGACACGACAAGCGCGTCCTCAATGATGTGGTCCAGCGTGACCCGCACCTCCGAGCCCGGGATCAGTTGCGACACCGTGGAGTCCCCGCCCGCCGGCGGCACGAGCGCCGGGGCTACGGGCTGAGGCAGCGGCGGCTCCTCGCGCTCCTCGGGAGCCGGGGGCTGCTCCGGCGGCGATGCAGGAGAAGGTGGAAGTTCCGGCCCTCCCTGAGGCGCGGCTGCCGCCGACTCCGCCACCCGAACGGACAGTTTCTCCTCAGCCTCCAGCTCCGGCCCCACCGCCTCTGGGCTGCGGGCGAGCTCCCCCGGCGGCGGCGGTGGCGGCGGGAGCGGCGGCTCGTCGGCCTGAGGAGCGGATTGCTGCCCGTCAGTCTCGCCATCCGGCACAGACGCTTCAGTGGCCGTGACCGGGAGGGGGTCAGTGCCGGCCTCACTGCCGGGGATGGGCTCCATCTCCGGCTCGGCCTCGCCGGCGCCCCCCTCCCCGGGGGACGCTGCAGTCGCTGCCGCCTCTGCAGCCACGGCCGCCATTTTCTTCCTAGCTTCTCCCTCCTCCAACTCCGGCTGCAGCGGCGGCGGCGACAGCGCTGCTTGGTTCCCTGGGCCTTCCCCTCCCTCCCGCGAACACTTTCGTCCCGCCCTTTCCCTGATGCTCGTTTCTGGCACCTCGCCATTGGTTGCATTCTACACCCCTCCCGCACTTTTGATATTCCATTGGCCAGGGATGGACGTCTATCATCTAGTCAGTCCATCCTTCCCACGCAGAGTAGGAACTTCTCATTGGCCAGATGTGTTGTCAAGTGTGGAATCTGAGTGGAGGAATAGGGGGCGGAATCAAAGGGGGCGGGGGAAGTCACAAAAGAGGAGCCATATACTCATCGCCTCTTGCTATTGGCTGGAAGAGGAAATAAAGTTTTATGGTTGGCCTACGCTCCTGCCCATTATCAGCCAGGTCTTTGGAGGTGGGAGAAAGGATGGAATCATGTGGCGTGCCACTTCTTTCAAAGGCGGCCGAGGGGAGGAGTAACAAGGGAATGCGGGAGGGGAACCGCTTCCCAAGAATCTCTGCGCAGAGATCCTTAGAATAAATGTTATTTCTAGGCGCGGACTTCTTGCGGCCGCGTGTGGGCACGACAGGCTTCTTTGGGAAAGACAACTAAAGTTTGAAATACAATCCTACAGACACTTTTTGAGTGCCTACTATGCTAGTCACTGCACTAGGTGCTGGGGAATGGAATGTTCAAGACGTTCTCCATAACCTCATAGCAGCGGGCTCCAGCGGCCATGAGGAGTACGAGGAGTATTTTCCTTGACTTCTAGGAGTATGATGAGTATTTTCCTTGACTTCTCTCCACTTCCTAGGAACAAAGCACCTATTTATTAATATTTCAGAAATAGGAAAATGCTCATGAAAGAAGAGAGACACCATCCTCACTGGATTAAACTGATGACTGTTCCAGGAAGGAGTCTTGAGACATTGCTGGACTGATATGTGAACACTGCTTGTTCTCTCCAAATCCACTTGCAAAGTGGACGCACCTGGTCCCTGCTAAAGCCTTTTTCTTTCCTGGCTTCTCCAATGCCACGAGAACAAAAGATCTCTCACTTCAGTGTCCTGACGCCCCTACTTCTCTTACTTCCACATCAAGTCTTTTCGTTTGTCATCTCTGGAAGAATCTACTGAACCTATTTCTCTCAAATGGCACCACAGAGTCAGCCTTTTTTCTGGGAGAATGCCTGCAGGAGAGAGGGTAGAAAAACTGCTAGCAATGAAAGTAAAAAAAATAAAGTCCTGAAGAATAATTACAGCTAGTGTCTTTTGAGTACCATGTACCAGGCACTAATACAAACACTATAGCATATCATCTCAATCCTTAAAATTTTGAGGCACAAAGAGGGTGCCCAAGGTTACTCGGCTGGTAAATTGCATAGTCAGAATTTCAGTTTTACATGGAAAAGACTGAAAATAGCAATAAACAAATATCACCATATGCTCTGCCTATTTCAAACCAAGTGGCTCGTGGGGAAAGGCCAGTAGAAGATCCCAATCAGGGAAGTTTCAGAATATCATTTAAAAATACAGAAAGAAACAAATGTACTTAGTGTTCATTTTGTACCAGAGATTTTCCCAAAACTCTCACTTAAAATCCTGTGACTTAAATCTTCTCCCTTTTTTACAGATGAGGAAGCCAAGCCTTAGCCATGTTAAACATCCTAAGCGGGCCAAGCGCGGTGGCTCAAGCCTGTAATCCCAGCACTTTGGGAGGCCGAGGCAGGCGGACCACCTGAGGTCAGGAGTTTGAGAACAACCTGACCAACATGGTGAAACCCCATCTCTACTAAAAATACAAAATTAGCTGAGCATGGTGGCGCATGCCTGTAATCCCAGCTACTTGGAAACCTGAGGCAAGAGAATTGCTTGAACTCAGGAGGCGGAGGTTGCAGTGAGCCGAGATGTGCCCACTGCACTCCACTCTGGGCAACAAGAGTGAAACTCCGTATCAAAAAAATAAAAATAAAAAGATAATAAGATCTTAAGGGTCATACAGCTAGCTAGCAGCAGATCCTATCTAACCTGGGTCCTTCCAAGTACATGACTTTCACTCAATCATTCATTCATCAAAGAGTTATCTCCTTCAGGCTAGATACTTGCAGTAAGCAGATACAGATTCTGCCTTATAGGGTTTTCACCATAATATTTTGTCTACAGTTCACCATAATCAACTAATTAAACACAACATAGAGTCTATGAAATGCCTAGACCCTAAGGTCTCACATTGTATAATCTCCCACAGGGAGAAAAATATAGTTCGGGTCCTGGGACCTGATTACCTCTTGTAGTAATTCATTACAAGATGCTGCAATGAGTAATTTACATTTCAGCTTCATAATAGATTGTGGCATACCAAGTCATTGTCCTAAGCCACCATTTCATTCTGTAACTCAAGAGCTTCTACTGGCTCCCAATGCTCACATGGAGTGTACCTTCTTCTGCTTGGCTTTCAAAGCCCTCTCTGTGTTGTCACCTTACCTTTCAAGGTCTCTTTTCCACTACTCTTCAAGCCTCCTAATACTAGAAAGATTTGGTCTTATATTATTCATTCACTTATTCATTCATTCAACAAATAAATATTAAAGGGGCCGGGCGCGGTGGCTCATGCCTGTAATCCTAGCACTTTGGGAGGCTGAGGCGGGTGGATTACCTGAGGTCAGGAGTTCAAGACTAGCCTGGCCAACATGGTGAAACCTTGTCTCTACTAAAAATACAAAAAATTAGCCGAGTGCAGTGGCACGCACCTGTAATCCCAGCTACTCAGGAGACTGAGGCAGAAGAATCGCTTGAACCCAGGAGGCGGAGGTTATGGTTAGCCAAGATTGTGTCACTGCACTCCAGCCTGGGTGACAGAGCAAGACTTTGTCTCAAAAAAAATTAATAAATAATAAATAAATATTAAAGGACTACTGTGTTTCAGTGACTGGACTAGTCAGGCAGAAGGCATGAAATAAAGAATACAAAAGATATCACTTGAGTTCAGGAGTTCAAGACCAGCCTGGGCAACACAGGGGTTTCACTGTGTTGCCCAGGCTGGTGAATATATATATATACGAAAGATTTAGTAACTGCCCTCCTGAGGATTATTTTTCTAGTTGGGGAACTGTAAAATGAGCATACAATGAATAAAAAGATGATCACAGATGTAAGCAATACCATGAGAGAAATAAACAGGGTGAGAGAATAGAAGTAGCTGGCAGAGGGGCTGAAGGGTGTCTCCTCTAGATAAGGTTGTCACAAAAGCCCTCTCTGAGGATTGGACATCTTAACTAAGATGCAAAGGAAAAGGCAACCAGCTATTGATATTGCTGGATGAACATTTGGATGAAAAGGAACAGCAATTGTTTGAAGTTCTGAGGCAAAAGAGGGCTTGGCTTGTTCCAGAAACAGAAGGAAGACCAATCTGGTTGAGGAATGAGCAAGAAGTTGAGTAGATGAGGTTGAAAAGGAAAACAGGACCCAAATCATGTTTTGTACTGCAGATACAAAAGCAAGGGATTCTGCCCTCAGGGAGCTCCAAATCTAGTGGAAAGCCTGGGCCAGCCATAGTGGCTCATGCCTGTAATCCCAACATTTTGGGAGACTAAGGCAGGAGGATTGCTTGAGCCTAGGAGTTTGAGGCTGTAGTAAGCTATGACCATGCCACTGCACTCCAGCCTTGCAAGACGGTGAGACCCGAACTCAAAGAAAAAAAAGAAACCTGGCTTTTACATTTGCTTTTGTAATCTATTCACCTCTGCATTCAGCCTCCTCCTGGCATGGAATTGGTATGGAGGATGCCTTTGATATTTGTTTAATGGATGGCCACATGATATTTGTGGCTGACTAGGTGATTGGATGGATGGTTGATGGATTGGATGGATAGTTGGAGAACTGAACAGACGGTTGAATAGATGAATGGATGGTTGAATGAATAGATGAATGGCAGGGATAAGGAAACCAGCTGATTGCTGAAACAGATCCTCACTTTCATGAGCATACTTTCATCTCAAGCTCTGCAAGATACTATAATATGGTGGCTAAAATTCAGTTGAAGTAAATAAACCTGTAACTGGCCAGGCTCAGTGACTCACATCTGTAATCCCAGCATTTTGGGAGGCGGAGGCAGGCAGATCACCTGAGCTCAAGAATTTGACACAAGCCTGGGCAACGTGGCAAAACCCTGTCTCTACAAAAAATACAAAAATTAGACAAGCATGATGGTGTGTGCCTGTAGTCCCAGCTACTCAGGAGGCTGAGCCCGGGAGATTGAGGTTGCAGTGAGCCATGATTTTACCACTACACTTCAGCCTGGGCAACAGAGTGAGATGCTTTCTCAAAAATAAAAAATAAAGCCAGGCGCGGTAGCTCATGCCCATAATCCCAGCACTTTGGGAGGCCGAGGCTGGTGGATCACCTGAGGTCAGGAGTTCAAGACCAGCCTGGCCAACACAGTGAAACCCCATCTCTACTAAAAAAAATTAGCTGGAAGTGGTGGTGCATGCCTGTAATCCCAACTACTCAGGAGGCTGAGGCAAGAGAATTGCTTGAACTACTCAGGAGGCAGATGTTGCAGTGAGCCAAGATCGCGCCATTGCACTCCAGCCTGGGCAACAAGAGCGAAACTCCGTCTCAAAAAAAAAAAAATAAGCCAGGCATGGTGGCTCACGCCTGTAATCCCAGCACTTTGGGAGGCCGAGGTGGATGGATCACCTGAGGTCAGGAGTTCGAGACCAGCCTGGCCAACATGGTGAAAACCTGTCTCTACTAAAAATACAAAAATTAGCCAGGCATGGTGGCATGCACCTGTAGTCCCAGCTACTGGAGAATTGCTTGAACCCTGGAGGTGGAGGTTATGGTGAACCGAGATCGTGCCACTGCACTCCAGCCTGGGTGACTGAGCAAGACTCCGTCTCAAAAAATAAAAATAAAAAATAGCGCCGGGCGCGGTGGCTCACGCCTGTAATACCAGCACTTTGGGAGGCCGAGGCGGGCAGATCACAAGGTCAGGAGATCGAGACCATCCTGGCTAACATGGTGAAACCCCATCTCTACTAAAAATACAAAAAATTAGCCAGGCGTAGTGGCAGGCTCCTGTAGTCCCAGCTGCTCTGGAGGCTGAGGCAGGAGAATGGCATGAGCCCGGGAGGCGGAGCTTGCAGTGAGCCGAGATCGTGCCACTGCACTCCAGCCTGGGCAACAGAGCGAGACTCCGTCTCAATAAATAAATAAATAAATAAATAAATAAATAAATAAATAAATAAATAAAATAATATAAATAATAAAAAAATAAATAAAACTGTATCTGACTCCCCAGTCATCCTCTGACTACCTATATGATCTGAGCATGATCTTAGGCAAATCACTTAACCTATTTCCTCATTTGTAAAACATCTTAATAATAACTACTTACCAATAGAGATTACTAGGGGGGTTTTTGTTTTGTTTTTCAAGGCTGAGTCTTGCTCTGTCGCCCAGGCTGGAGTGCAGTGGTACAACCTCAGCTCACTGCAACCTCCACCTCCCAGGTTCAAGCAATTCTCATACCTCAGCTACCAGAGTAGCTGGAATTACAGGCACCCACCATCATGCTCAACTAATTTTTTGTATTTTTAGTAGAGATGGGGTTTTACCATGTTGGCCAGGCTGGTCTCAGACTCCTGACCTCAAGTGATCTGCTCACCTCAGCCTCCCAAAATGCTGGGATTACAGGCATGAGCCACTGCACCCGGTCTGTTTTTTTTCTTTTCTTTCTCTCTCTCTCTTTTTTTTTTTTTTTTTTTTTTTTTTTTGAGACAGTCTCACTCTGTCACCCAGGCTGGAGTGCAGTGGCACGATCTCAGCTCACTGCAACCTCCACCTCCCAGGGTCAAGTGATTCTGCCGCCTCAGCCTCCCAAGTAGCTGGGGTTACAGGTGCCCACCACCATGCACAGCTACTTTTTGTATTCTTAGTAGAGATGGGGTTTCTCCATGTTGGCCAGGCTGGTCTCAAATTCCTGACCTCAGGTGATCTGCCCACCTCAGCCTCCCAAAGTGCAGGGGTTATAGGCATGAGCTACTGCACCCAGCCTGGTCTGCTTTTTTATTTATGTAACATATATAAATAATTAGCGTAGACCTTCAATTATAGCAAAAATAGTTCAATAGTTGTTAGCAACTAAGTCCAAAAACTCATTCTTGTATCTGTGGTTGATCATACTCAAGGGGTGCTGATCCTCAATAACCAAACTTGAGTAAGTCTAAGTAAAAACCCAAACACAAGGGTATTGGTCCCTGGAGAGGAATAACTATGGCTAAATATGGCTTAGTGGTTATCTCTGGGCCTGGTTTCTCAGGAAATAGAATTATAGACAGAAGATAACATGGGGAACATGGCCATCAAACCATAGGGGCTGAGTGAATTGCTCCTCGTGTTCTGGGCCTATTTCTGATGAGGTAATCAATATTTCTCTTCTAGGCCAGGCGTGGTGGCTCACGCCTGTAATCCCAACACTTTGGGAGGCTGAGGCAGGTGGATCACCTGAGGTCAGGAGTTTGAGACCAGCCTGGCCAGCATGGTGAAACCCCGTCTCTACTACAAATACAAAAATTAGCCGGGCGTGGTGGTGGGTGTCTATAATCCCAGCTGCTCAGGAGGCTGAGATGGGAGAATCACTTGAACCGGGGAGGCAGAGGTTGTGGTGAGCCAAGATCACGCCATTGCACTCCAGCCTGGGCAACAGAGCAAGACTCTGTCTCAAAATAAAAAAAAAAAATAAAAAAAATAAAAAATTATCTTCTGGAATTAGATCACCTGCTCCCAGACCAAGGCTGTGATGGGTAACTAATGACAAATATGTCATTTGTCATCTCTGCCTCTGCCTCTGTGTGTGTGTGTGTGTGTCAGTCAGTAGTTCTGAATGTATCATGTATAGGGGGAACTCTCTGAGAATCTGCTAAAAAGTTATTTTGTGCATATTATATGATTTTTTTTTTTGAGACAGAGTCTTGCTCTGTCACCCAGTTTAGAGTGCAGTGGTGTGATCTCAGCTCACTGCAACCTCCAGCCCCTGGGTTCAAGTGATTCTCACGCCTCAGCCTCCCGAGTAGCTGGGATTATAGGTGCTTGCTACCGCGCCTGGATAATTTTTGTATTTTGTATTTTTAGTAGAAACAGGGTTCCACCATGTTGGCCAGGCTGGTCTTGAATTCCTGACCTCAAGTGATCTGCCCACCTTGGCCTCCCAAAGTGCTGGGATTACAGACATGAGCCACTGTACCTGACCGATACTATTTATATATGGTACAAAACCAAACAAAACAAATTTATGCTGTTTGAAGTCGGGATGGGGGTTACTCTTGATAGGAGATGATGGGGAGCAGCACAGCTAGTGACGGAAAGAGAATATGAATGGTGCTTTCTGGGGTTCTGATAATTTCTGATTCTTGATCTGGGTACTGGATACACAAGTATGTTCAGCTTGTAATGATTCATCAAGCTCTGCACTTACGTGTACTTTTCTGTAAGTAAATTTATATCAGTTATCTATATCTGCTAGTGGTATTAGTGTCTTAACAACATACATTTATTTCATCACCATGCTCAGAGTGAGAAACCTAGGCAAGGCTTAACTAAGTCCTCTCTCTTCTTTTTTTTTTTTCCTGAGACGGATTCTCGCTCTGTCACCCAGGCTGGAGTGCAGTGGCACGATCTCGGCTCACTGCAAGCTCTGCCTCCTGGGCTCATGCCATTCTCCTGCCTCAGCCTTCCAAGTAGCTGGGACTAAAGGTGCCCGCCACAATGCCTGGCTAATTTTTTTGTATTTTTAGTAGAGACAGGGTTTCACCATCTTAGCCAGGATGGTCTCGATCTCCTGACCTTGTGATCCACCTGCCTCAGCCTCCCAAAGTGCTAGGATTACAGGCATGAGCCACTGTGCCCAGCAAAATCCTCTCTTTCAGTCTCTCACAAGGCTACATATCAAGGTGTCAGCTGGGGGTGTGGTTTCATCTGAAAGCTTAACTAGGGAAGGATCCATATGATGATTAATTTTACGTACCAGTTTGACTGAGCCAAGGGGTACCCAGATTAAACCATATTTCTGGGGTGTTGAGAGAATGTTTCTAGATGAGATTAGCATTTGAATCAGTGGACTCAGTAAAGTGGATGGCCCTCAGCAGTGTGGGTGGGCATCATCCAATCTGTTGAGAGGCTGAATAGAGCAAAAGGCAGAGGAAGAAGGAATTCACTTCTTTTGCTGCCTGCCTGCCTGCCTGTTGGAGCTGGAACATTAGTCTGCTCCTGTCCTTGTACTGGGATGTACATCATCAACTCCCCAGATTCTCAGGCATTTGGACCTGGACTGGAATAACACCAGGCTTTCTTGGGTCCCCAGCTTGCACATGGCAGTTTACGCAACTTCTCAGCCTCCACAATCAAGTGATCCAATTCCTTATGATAAATTTCTTCCAAAATATTTATATTTGGGCATATGTATTTTGAAAGTCCATTTCCAAGGTAACTCACATTTTCATCTACAGCAAGCTTGTTCAACCAGCGGCCCATGGGCCACACGCAGCCTAACGCAAATTTGTAAACTTTCCTAAAACGTTATGAGATTTTTTTTGTGGTGTTTTTTGTTGTTGTTGTTGTTGTTGTTGTTGTTGTCGTTGTTCTTCAGCTTTTGTTAGTGTAGTGTATTTTATGTGTGGCCCAATTCTTCTTCTTCCAGTGTGGCCCAGGGAAGCCAAAAGATTGGACACCCCTGATTTATAGGATTCAGTTCCTTGGTGGCTGTTGACCAGAGGCTGCCCTCAACTAATTGCCACGTGGGTCTGCTCCATAGGACAGCTCAAAACATGCAACTTGCTTTGTCAGAGTAAGCATACAAGAAGAGCCAGAGGAAAAATTGGTGTAAGCAAGAAAGAAGTCGCAGTATTTTGTCGTGTGATCTCAGAAGAGGCATCCCAGCACTTTTGCTGCACTCTGTTCAGAAGCAAGTCACCAGGTCCAGCTATTTACAAGGAGAGAGGATTCCACAAGGGCATGTATGCCAAGAGGCAGGGATCACTGAGAGCAATTTCAGAAACTGATACCACACAACTTAAAAGTTTGAAGAAATGAAAACAAAAGATTTCAAATGGGCTGGGCACGGTGACTCATGCTTGTAATCCCAGCACTTTGGGAGGCTGAGGCAGGCAGATGACCTCAGATCAGGAGTTCGAGACCAGCCTGGCCAACATGGTGAAACCCCATCTCTACTAAAAATGCAAAAATTAACCAGGCGTGGTGGTGGGCGCATGTAATCCCAGCTACTGAGAGGCTGAGGCAGGAGAACCGCTTGAACCCAGGAAGCAGAGGTTGTGGCGAGCCAAGATCACGCCATTGCACTCCCGCCTGGGCAACAAGAGCGAAACTCCATCTCAAATAAATAAATAAATAAATAAATAAATAAATAAATAAAACTTCCTGCTCTATATGGATACCACACATCCCTTACCACCTGCTTCTGATAACAGATTCTCACTTCACACCACAGGTGAAAGAGCCATCATATTACAAAGGTAAATTTCAATATTAAGGACAATCTCCATAATAAGAGCCAACATTAATCCAGCCATTTATGAGCACTATGTGTCAGGCAGAGACAGCCACCAGATGAGCTTGGGGGAATCAAGTAATAAAATGTGGGTCCTATCCTGAAACATTTTGCCCATAGTCTTCGGGTGTCCTTTCACACAGCTCCCCCTTTTTCTTTGTATATTCCTAACAATTCCCATGTCAACATAATTCCTCAAAAATTGACCCCACAGGCACCACTGTGGAGGGGGTGGTTCTAGGTGAACCATTTGGTTTGCCTGGGACTGAGGGGTTTCCTGGCATGCAGGACTTTCAGTGTTAAAAGTGGGATGCTGCTGGGTGCGGTGGTTCACGCCTATAATCCCAGCACTTTGGGAGGCCAAGGCAGGCAGATCACGAGGTCAGGAGTTCGAGACCATCCTGGCCAACATGGTGAAACACCGTCTCTACCAAAAATACAAAAAAATTAGCCGGTGTGGTGGCACATGCCTGTAGCCCCAGCTACGTGGGAGGCTGAGGCAGGAGAATCCCTTGAACCCGGGAGGCAGAGGTTGCAGTGAGCCGAGATCATGCCACTGCACTCCAGCCTCACAATAGAGTGAGATTCCGTCTCAAAAAAAAAAAAGTGGGCCAGGCTTGGTGGCTCACGCCTTTACGTAATCCCAGCACTTTGGGAGGCCAAGGCGGGCAGATCACAAGGTCAGGAGATCGAGACCATCCTGGCTAACACAGTGAAACTCCGTCTCTACTAAAAATATTTTTTAAAAAAATTAGCCAGGCGTGGTGGCGGAAGCTTGTAGTCCCAGCTACTCGGGAGGCTAGGGCAGGAGAATGGCGTGAACCCGGGAGGCAGAGCTTGCAGTGAGCCAAGACCGCGCCACTGCACTCCAGCCTGGGCGACAGAGCGAGACTCTGACTCAAAAAAAAAAAAAAAAAAAGTGGGACGATGCTGGGTAAATCGTAATGGTTGGCCAGGCTTCATGCAATGTGTCTTGCAGAAATGAACACTAATCCTTGCAACAACCCAGCAAGGAACCGACGCCTCAGAGAGGTCAAAGAAAACTTTGAAAGCTGGAGATGGAGATTAGGATGGGACTAGGCCTGTCAGTCTCCAAAGAATGTACTCTTGGCAACTTTGATCTTTTGGCTATTTTTTTGTTTCCTTAGTCATCCCCTGGGACAGGATCCTTGGGCAAATGGCTTATTGGTGTGCATTTTTTGATCAAACCTTCTAGTTCCAAGCCCACAAGTCAAATCTGACCTTAGATTCTAAACATCCCTGATTGTACCCATCCCCTTAAAAAAAATTCTAGGAACATTTATTTACTTGACTTTCTTCTCAGCTATTAGATTGTTCTTTTTTTATTTTATTTATTTATTTATTTTTGAGACAACGTCTCCCTCTGTCACCCAGGCTGGAGTGTGGTGGTGCGATCTTGGCTCACTGCAACCCCTGCCTCCCAGGGCCCAGGTGATTATCCCACCTCAGCATCCTGAGTAGCTGGGACTACAGGCACATATGACCATGCCTGGCTAATTTTTGTTTTTTTCTGTAGAGACAGGATTTCACCATGTTGCCCAGGCTGGTCTCGAACTCCTGAGCTTAAGCAATCCACCTGCCTCTGCCTCCCTAAGTATTTTGGGAGGCCAAGACAGGAGAATCGCCTGGCCAACATGGCAAAACCCCATCTCTACAAAAATACAAAAATTAGCTGGGCATGGTGGCATGTGCCTGTAATCCCAGCTACTCAGGAGGCTGAGGCAGGAGAATCGATTGAACCTGGGGAGGCAGAGGTTACAGTGAGCTGAGATTGCACCATTGCACTTCAGCCTGGGTGACAGAGCAAGACTCCATCTCAAAAATAAATAAATAAATACATAAATACATAAATAAATAAATAATCACAAAATTGCTGGGTCCAGTCGCTCACGCCTATAATCCTAGCATTTTGGGAGGATCGTTTGAGCCCAGGAGTTCAAGACCAGCCTGGGCAACATAGTGACTCCTCATCTCCCTCTTCTCTACAAAAAATTAAAAAATTAGCCAGGTGTGGTGGCATGTGCCTATAGTCCTAGCTACTTGGGAGCCTGAGTGGGGAGGATTGCTTGAGCCCGGGAGGTTGAGGCTGCAGTGAGCTGTGATCATGCCACTGCACTTCAGCCTGGGTGACAAAATAAAAGAATCACAAACCTGAGATCATTTTGATAGAATTGCTTCTCTGCCATCACAGTTATTCTCTGTCTCAGTTTCCCTATCTGTAATATGGGAATGATAAGTCATTTCTTTCTTTTTTTTTTTTTTTTTTGAGATGGAGTCTCACTCTGTCACCCAGGCTGGGTGATTCTCCTGCCTCAGCCTCCCTCCTAGCTGAGATTACAGGTGCCCGCCACCACACCCAGCTAATTTTTGTATTTTTAGTAGAGACGAGGTTTCACCATGTTGGCCAGGCTGGTCTCGAACTCCAGTACTCAGGTGATCTACCTGCCTCAGCCTCCCAAAGTGCTGGGATTACAGGCATGAGCCACCACACCTGGCCAATCTACTTCAAATACTTGCTGTGAAGTTTATGTTAAATTAGATCACACATGTGAGCCAGTAACTTTTCTCATTATCTTTTCCAAGGGTCTGGAGGCCTGCGTAGGAGTGTGGACATCACCTGGTTCAGCCAATGTAAATTCTGAGCCAGGAACTGGGGCCCAGGCACCAGTCTTAGCATTTACTTCATAGCCATTCACTCCCAAGCAGCTATTTCCATGTTTACCTCCAGTTGTTTCTTTGACTACATAGACAAACACAAACTGACCCGAATATTTAGTTCTAAGTTGCTTTGGTTCAATTTTATACCAAATTCCTATTCTCTACCTTATTTTTATTTGTTTAGTTTTAGAACAGCAGAGATTTTTTAGGAAGGTATGTGTGTACAGTTTTATACAGAAAAAACTCCTTGTAAGACCTGCCTTGTTCATCTCTGTACCTCTATTCCTAGTACAGTGCGTTGCATATGATAGGCCTTCAAAAAAATATTTGTAGGAGGGCTGGGCGCGGTGGCTCACGCCTGTAATCCCAGCACTTTGAGGCCAAGGTGGGCAGATCACCTGAGGTCAGGAGTTCAAGACCAGCCTGGCCAACATGGTGAAACCCCGTCTGTACTAAAGATACAAAAATTAGCCAGGTGTGGTGGCACATGCCTGTAATCCCAGCTACTCATGAGGCTGAGGCAGGAGAATTGCTTGAACCCAGGAGGTGGAGGTTGCAGTGAGCCAAGACTGCACCAGTGCACTCCAGCCTGGGTGTCAGAGTGAAACTGTGTCTCAAAAACAAAACAAAACAAAACAAAACAAAACAACAACAAAAAAAGCCGGGTGCAGTGGCTCAAGCCTGTAATCCCAGCACTTTGGGAGGCCGAGGTGGGTGGATCACCTGAGGTCAGGAATTCCAGCCCAACCTGGCCAACATAGTGAAAACCCATCTCTACTAAAAATACAAAAATGAGCTGGGTGTGGTGGAGCATTCCTGTACTCCTAGCTACTTGGGAGGCTGAGGCAGGAGAATCACTTGAACCCAGGAGGTGAAGGTTGCAGTGAGCTGAGATCACGCCATTGCACTCCAGCCTGGGCAACACAGCGAGACTCCGTCTCAAAATATACTTATATCTGTTTGTAGGCCCGGCACAGTGGCTCATGCCTGTAGTCCCAGCAACTTGGTAGACTGAGGTAGGAGAATTGCTTGAGCATGGGAGGTCGAGGCTGCAGGGAGCAGTGATTGCGCCAGTGCACTCCAGCCTTGGCTACAGAGTGAGACCCTGTCTCAAAATAAAAATAAATCATAGAATTTATAAACAAATGACCAAATAAGTAAACGGTTATTTCTAGGTGGTAGGGTTAATGGGGAGTTTCTTTTCTTTTTGGCCATCTACATGTCTCAATTATCCTAATTTTCTAAATTTTCTACAGTGAACATGTATTTCTTAGGGGGGAATCTTCGAATTGTTTTTTTGGCAAATAAACACATAAATAAGTGAATAAAATAGGGCCTGGTCGCCTTGTAATAGGAAGATCCCAAACGTGGGTTTTCTAGACAGGGTGTGCAGAAGAATAGGCGTAACTGGGTTCCCCAGGATCTGATGGGTTGGAGAGACAAGAGAGTTCCCATATGAGAAGCCAGAGCTCCACTAGCCTGGACATTTTGTTCTCCTTTGGGTCATGACACATTCTTTTCTGCCCTGGTATCTCTGCTGGGTGAAGGAGAAAAGCAAGTCCCAGGAGAGTCTTTCATGGACTTTAAATGATTCATAAGGCGCTTTCCTCCTCCAGCGTTGGCGAGGCCTGGGTCTTGGCTGTCTTTGTGGCGCTGCAACGGAGATGGTGCTGCTCCTACCCCCGCCCTCAGCCCCCGCCCACCCACTCCTGGCCTGGGAACCTTGAGAGGTAACCCCCTTCCGTATGAGCTGGTTCCTGTATTCAAATCCGAATTCCGCTCGGACTCAGCCCACTCCATCCAGCTCTGTGGATGCGGACTAGGAAGGGAACAGATGAAGCCAATTTAGTTGCCCTTTCTTTGTTCCCGTGACCTTGAGGCACTTAACTCAGCGGAGCTCGCGGTGCAGGGAGCCCGGCAGAGCTCTGGAATGAAAGGCAGGAGACCTTGGAGGGCTCTTGGAGCCTGCACTCTTTCGTTGTGCTTTGGTCACCATAGTGACTTCTGTCTGAAGCCTCAACCCTGCGGTTATTGCTCGATATTCATTC
Organism: Homo sapiens; assembly: GCF_000001405.40. Lineage (NCBI taxonomy): Eukaryota > Metazoa > Chordata > Mammalia > Primates > Hominidae > Homo > Homo sapiens. The sequence continues at coordinate 160,133,697 of NC_000005.10, forward strand.
ATAATAAGGCCACCCCTGAGTTTTCCGCCCACTGGGGGACCGAGTACCACGTGCATTGAAGTCACAAGGCGGAGGCGCCGGGGCCTTTAAACACTGTGTGTCAGGGAGGGTGGGGCGGGTCGACGCTGGGCACAGCTCAAGTGTCAGAACGCGGAGGAATTCACATTGTATCTGGTCCTCTTCCCTCAGTTTACAGAGAAGGGACTTGCCCAAGGTTTCTCAGCCCTTCCGAGGGACAGCAGGGACTAGAACAGGCACCCCCCGCCCCCGCCCCCCCCCCCCCGGTCTCCTGGCCTGTTGTTCACTGCATTCTATCACTCAGGGCCGTGCAGGGCCCATGGTCCTGGTCCAGGTTTTCTAATTTCTTGAACTCTTGGGCTAAGCACGGGGCTCACAGTTTCCATGATTGTCACTAAAGGTAATGGGAATTGATGGTAATCAGCTCATAAACCCTTAGTGAAAGGCCTAAACTAGAACTCCCTTAGCCAGTCAAAAGACTTCTAGTTCCGGTACAGATTTGCAAGTAAATTAGCTCATTTAATCCTCAAAATCACCCTGCAAGGTGACTATTATTATTCCTTTTTAAAGTGAGAAACCTGGGACTTCAACATGTGTTTGAATAGATCAACTTGGAGTCAGAAGTGAATATGAATCCTCACTCCAGCCCAGGGGACAGAGCGAGACTCCATCTCAAAAAATAAAAATGAAAAGAGGTGAATGTGAATCATGTGAATCCTAACTCTGCAATTTACTAATGATAAAGAATTGCCTAAGAACTCATTAATAAAGGCACTGCCTTCTGACTCAGGGAAATCAAGTCCTACCATTTCCTTGCTGTGTGACTTTGGACAGGATACTTGACTTCTCTGAGCCTGTTTTGCTCCAGATGTGAAAACAACATAACAATAGAACCTACTTCATAGGATCATTGTAAAGATTAAACAATGTGTGCAAATCACTTAGCACTGTGCCTGGCACTTCATAAGTAGATTCTATTATTTCAATATTTAAAAGTCAAAGACAAAAAGAGAAAGTCTGCATCCCACTCCAGACTCACCCAGAGCCCAAGGGCTTCCTTTTTGTCAGCCTAGGAACCAAGTGCTTGGAAAAAAGGACATTCCAAGGTGAGTAAAGTGAATTGGAAAGATTATTTTCATAGCTTGATTTTTGTTTTGTTTTTTGTTTTGTTTTGTTTTGTTTTGTTTTGTTTTCTTGAGACCAAGTCTCACTCAGTAGCCCAGGCTGGAGTGCAGTGGCGTGATCTCTGCTCACCGCAACCTCTGTCTCCCGGATTCAAGTGATTCTCCTGCCTCGGTCTCCAGAGTAGCTGGGATTACAGGCGCACGCCACTGCACCTGGCTAATTTTTTGCATTTTTAGTAAAGCGGGGGTTTCGCCATGTTGGCCAGGCTGGTCTTGAACTCCCGACATCAGGTAATCTGCCTTCCTTGGCCTCCCAAAGTGCTAGGATTACAGGCGTGAGCAACCGCGCCTGGCGATTTTTGAGTTTTTAAGAGACTCAAAACAGGAAAAGAAAGGAAATAGTTGAGTCAGTGTCTCTCTATAGCTTAGCTGTCAATACCTTCCAGAGCTATGCTGCCCAACACAGTGTCCACCAGCTCTGCGTGAGTATCGAGCACATGAAATGTTCCTATCCAAAATGAGATGTTCTGTAAGTATAAAGCCCACATCAGATCTTAAAAATTAGTGGGAGAAAAATATTTCAAAATATCTCATTGGCCTGGCATGGTGTCTCACTCCTGTAATCCCAACACCTATGGAAGGCCAAGGCGGGTGGATCGCTTGAGCTCAGGAGTTCAAGTCCAGCCTGGGAAACATGGTGAAACCCCATCTTTACAAAAAATGCAAAGAAAATTAGCCAGGTGTGGTGGCGTCCACCTGTAAGTCCCGGCTACTTGTGGGGCTGAGAGGGGAGGATGGTTTGAGCCCAGGAGGTTGAGGCTGCAGTGAGCAGTGTTTGTGACACTGTACTCCAGCCTGGACAACAAGCAAGACCCTGTCTCAAAAATAAAACAGAACAAAACGAAGCATTGATTTTTTTAAAAATATTCATTACATATTGAAATACTCATTACATATTGTATTTTAAATAAAATACATTATTGGCTGGGCACGGTTGCTCATGCCTGTAACCCCAGCACTTTGGGAGGCCGAGGCAGGTGGATCACCTGAGGTCAGGAGTTCGAGACCATACTGGCCAACATGGTGAAACCCCATCTCTACTAAAAATACAAAAAATAAAAATAAAAAATAAATAGCTGGACATGGTGGCTCGTGCCTGTAATCCCAGCTACTCAGGAGGCTGAGGCAGGAGAATCGCTTGAACCAGGGAGTCGGAGGTTGCAGTGAGCCTAGATCATGCCACAGCACTCCAGCCTAGCGACAGAGCTAGACTCCGTCTCAAAAATAAATAAATAAATAGGCTGGGCACGGTGGCTCACCCCTGTAATCCCAGCACTTTGGGAGGCAAAGGTGGGTGGATCACCTGAGGTCAGGAGTTCGAGGCCAGCCTGACCAACATGGAGAAACCCTGTCTCTACTAAAAGTATAAAATTAGCCAGGCTTGGTGGCACATGCCTGTAATCCCAGCTACTTGGGAGGCTGAAGCAGGATAATCACTTGAACCCCGGAGGTGGAGGTTGCGGTGAGCCAAGATCACACCATTGCACTCCAGCCTGGGCAACAAGAGTGAAACCTCCTTTCAAAAAACTAAACTAAATAACTAACTAAATAAATAACTAATAAATAACTAAATAAATTAATTTAAATTAAATTAAAAACATTATTAAAATTACTTCCACCTATTTCTTTTTATGCTTTTAATATGGCTACCAGAACATTTTCAGTTACATGTATGACTTACGTTATTTTGCTACAGGACAGAGCTGGTGTAGAAAAGTCTGATTCTAGGCCGGGTGCAGCGGTTCATGCCTGTAATCCCAGCACTTAGGGAGGCCAAGGCAGGTGGATCACCTGAGGTTAGGAGTTGAAGACCAGCCTGGCCAACATGGAGAAACCCTGTCTCTACTAAAAATACAAAAATTAGCCAGGTGTGGTGGTGGGCACCTGTAATCCCAGCTACTTGGGAGGCTGAGGCAGGAGAATCACTTGAACCCAGGAGACAGAGATTCCAGTGAGCTAAGCTCGCACCACTGCACTCCAGCCTGGGCGACAGAGCCAGATTCTGTCTCAAAAAAAAAAAAAAAAGAAAAAGAAAAATCTGATTGCATCTTAGCCAGCCTGTGTTGGGCACCTCTGCACATTTCTCTCCTTTAGTTCTTCTTTTTTTTTGAGATAGAGTCTCACTCTGTCACCCAGTCTGGAATGCAGTGGTGTGATCTTAGCTCACTGCAACCTCCAACTTCCAGGTTCAAGCGATTCTCCTTCCTCAGCCTCCCGAGTAGCTGGTATTACAGGCACCCGCCACCACACCAGACTCATTTTTCTATTTTTAGTAGAGATGGGGTTTCACCATGTTGGCCAGGCTGGTTTCGAACTCCTGACCTCAAATGATCCACCCACCTCGGCCTCCCAAAGTGCTGGGATTACAGGCATGAACTACCATGCCCACACTCTCTCCTTTAATTCTTACAACACTTTTGTCTGGAAGGTATTGTTTATCTACATTTTGTTCCTGAAGGACAAGCTTGGAGATGCCAACTCTTCATTTTGCCAGGTAAGGTCACCAAAAACCCCCTGTTATTATGTACTATTATTATTTTATTAAAAATATGAGTTTTTCTCTTTCTTTTTTTTTTTTTTTCTGAGAGGGAGTCTCGCTCTGTTGCCCAGGCTGGAGTGCAGTGGCATGATCTCGGCTCACTGCAACCTCCACCTCCCAGGTTCAAGCAATTCTCCTGCTTCAGCCTCCCGAGTAGCTGAGATTACAGGCGCCTGCCACCAGGTCTGGCTAATTTTTGTATTTTAGTAGAGACAAGATTTCACCATGTTGGCCAGGCTGGTCTTGAACTCCTGATCTCACTTTTAATACCAATAAAATTTAAAAGGTCAACTAGGCCGGGCACGGTGGCTCATGCCTGTAATCCCAGCACTTTGGGAGGCCGAGGTGGGCAGATCACGAGGTCAGGAGATCGAGACCATCCTGGCTAACACGGTGAAACCCCATCTCTACTAAAAATACAAAAAAATTAGCCGGGCATGGTGGCGAGCGCCTGTAGTCCCAACTACTCCGGAGGCTGAGGCAGGAGAATGGCGTGAACCCGGGGGGCAGAGCTTGCAGTGAGCCGAGATTGTGCCACTGCACTCGAGCCTGGGCGACAGAGCGAAACTCTGTCTCAAAATAAAATAAAATAAAAATAAAAATAAAAGGTCAACTATGGAAAACAGTGCTTTGCCCAGATAAGAGCAGTTGACATTTCTTTTTGAGATAGAGTCTCACTTTTTTGCCCAGGCTGGAGTGCAATGGCGCGATCTCGGCTCACTGCAACCTCCGCCTCCCGGATTCAAGCAATTCTCCTGCCTCGGCCTCCTGTGTAGCTGGGACTACAGGTGTGTGCCTCACGCCTGGCTAATTTTTTTGTATTTTTAGTAGAGACAGGGTTTCACTGTGTTAGCTAGGATGGTCTTGATCTCCTGACCTCGTGATCCGCCCCCCTCGGCCTCCCAAAGTGCTGGGATTACAGTCCTGAGCCGCCACCCCCGGTGACATTTCTTAAGAACATACTACCCTGCAGATACTGGGCTAATTTATTCTTTGTTCTGTTCGGTTCTGTATAGCCCATGAGGCCAGTGCTATTATTATCTCCATTTAACAGATGAGGAAGCTGAGGCTCTCAGAGCCACTTGGCTAATAAGTGGGGGCTGTGGGATTTGTACCCACATCTGATAAACTCTAAGGCCTATTTTTTTTTTTTTTGAGATGGATTCTTGCTTTGTCGCCCAGGCTGGAGTGCAGTGGCATAATCTTGGCTCACTGCAAGCCCCTCCTCCCAGGTTCACACCATTCTCCTGCCTCAGCCTCCCGAGTAGCTGGGACTACAGGTGCCCGCCACCATGCCCGGCTAATTTTTTTATTTTTAGTAGAGATGGGGTTTCACCACGTTAGCCAGGATGGTCTTGATCTCCTGACCTCGTGATCCGCCCACCTCGGCCTCCCAAAGTGCTGGGATTACAGGCATGAGCCACCACGCCCGGCCGTAAGGCCTATTCTCTATAAATTCTTCCTCCCCATAATTGCCCCAAAGAGCGATTGCAGTTTGCATTTGGGTAAAAATTTGATGAGATTTTAATTCTTTTAGAATCTTATTATAGATTCATATCCTTTCCTCACCCTCCTCACCCCACTCTGTTCTTGAATTTGGGAAAAGGTAATTACAGTTGAAGTGACACAAGTACTTAAAAGGAAATCAACACATCTGCCTTCATTCTGCATGAATATGGAAGAGAGATTTCCATCTACCCACCTTTCTCATTTTCCCTTCTGATGGGAAATGTCAGGAAGCTCTGGTGCTTGAATCCAGCCCATAGAGAAAAACTCCAGTGCCCCATATCCAGTGGAGGCCACGGCTATATATACTAGGGCCACTCCAAGGCTTCATCTGCATCTTCCAGGCAGTGCTCAAGGCCCCGGGAGACCAGGGTCTGCGGTGGAGTTACCACTCCACTTCCTCCTCTTTCCCACAGGACAGAGGATTTAGGACTGAGCTTACCATGTCTGAGTTAAAATGTATGTATTTATTTATTCTGAAACAAGGTTTTGCTTTGTTGCCTAGGCTAATTTTTTAATTTTTTTCTGTAGAGATGGGGTCTTACAGCCGGGCACGGTGGCTCACGCCTATGATCCCAGCACTTTGGGAGGCCGAGGTGGGTGGATCATTTGAGGTCAGGACTTGGAGACCAGCCTGACCAACATGGTGAAACCCTATCTCTACTAAAAATAGAAAAATTTAGCCAGTCGTGGTGGCGCATGCCTGTAGTCCCAGCTACTCAGGAGGCTGAGGCAGGAGAATCCCTTGAACCTGGGAGGCAGAGGTTGCAGTGAGCCGAGATTGCGCCACTGCACTCCAGCCTGGGCAACAGAGTGAGACTGTCTCAAAAACAAACAAACGAAGAGATGGGGTCTCAGTATGTTGCTCAGGCTGCTCTCAAATTCTTGGGTTCAAGCAATCCTTCTGCCTCAGTCTCCCAAAGTGTTGGGATTACAGGCATGAGCCATTACACACGACCTCAGTTGATTTCTGACTTGTCCACCTCCTGGCTCACTTTCAGAAGCTCAGCCCTCAGAGAAATCATGCCAGATTTCTTTTTTTTGAAACAGTGTCTCACTCTATTGCCCAGGCTGGAATGCAGCAGCATGATCATAGCTTCCCTAATTCCCCATCTTCCAAATCTGCAACTTCAGGATTTGAATTTGGAGGTGGAGAAGATTAGTACTGAGCATGTTTCCTCTTAGGCATTAGAAGTCAGGCATGGGCTGGGCGCAGTGGCTCACACCTGTAATCCCAGCACTTTGGGAGGCCAAGGCGGGTGGATCACTTGAGGTCAGGAGTTCGAGACCAGCCTGGCCAACATGGAAACCCCATCTCTACTAAAAATACAATAATTAGCAGGGCGTGGTGGCAGATGCCTGTAATCCCAGCTACTCAGAAGGCTGAGGCAGGAGAATCGCTTGAACCTGGGAGGCGGAGGTTGCAGTGAGCCAAGATTGCGCCATTGCACTCTAGCCTGGGCAACAGAGTGACTCTGTAACAAAAAAATAAAAAAAGAAAGAAAAGAGAAGTGACTTGCCCAAGGTAATACAGCCAGTAATGGCTGAGCCAAGGCTGCAAACCTGATTTGTCAGACTCCATAGCTTAGAACTGTGATCTAGTTTCTTCAGGGTCATGTCATAACTAGTAAGTGATGGAGCCAAATTCCAACTGAAACAAAAAGGAGAGACCATGCTCTCCCCCAGGAAATGCTAGAGATTATAAATGACAAAAATAGGCCGGGCGCAGTGACTCACACCTGTAATCCCAGCACTTTGGGAGGCTGAGGTGGGTGGATCACCTGAGATCAGGAGTTCGAGACCAGCCTGGCCAACATGGTGAAACCTCGTCTCTACTAAGAACACGAACAGATGTGGTGGTGGGCACCTGTAATACCAGCTACTCGGGGAGGCTGAGGCAGGAGCATTGCTTGAACCTGGGAGGCAGAGGTTACAGTGAGCCAAGATCATGCCATTGTATTCCAGCCTGGGCAACAACAGTGAAATTCCATCTCAGTAGTTCAAAGGAAACTTCCTGAGAAGAGAATTTAATTTGAAAATATCTCCGTTCTACCTGGCATGTGATATAAGAAACATTTGGCAGTCTGCCGTGGGTCAGGATTTCTTTTTTTTTTTAATTATTTTTTTAAATTATACTTTAAGTTTTAGGGTACATGTGCACAATGTGCAGGTTTGTTACATATGTATACATGTGCCATGTTGGTGTGCTGCACCCATTAACTCGTCATTTAACATTAGGTATATCTCCTAATGCTATCCCTCCCCGCTCCCCCCACCCCACAACAGGCCCCGGTGTGTGATATTCCCCTTCCTGTGTCCATGTGTTCTCATTGTTCAATTCCCACCTATGAGTGAGAACATGCGGTGTTTGGTTTTTTGTCCTTGTGATAGTTTGCTGAGAATGATGGTTTCCAGCTTCATCCATGTCCCTACAAAGGACATGAACTCATCATTTTTTATGGATACATAGTATTCTATGATTTCTATAATAAATCATTCCCATTGCCAATCTTACCAAAAGAATATTCTATTGTTATACAAAAAAGCTAACAAAAATAACTACCATGTTCGGGATGTTTACTACATGGCAAGGACTACATTAATAAGCATTTCTTGTATATTAATATCATTCCATCTTCATGATAGCCCTATGGGTAGATATTATTATTTTCATTCTATACGTTAAGAAATTGAGTCTCAGGCCGAGCACAGTGGCTCACGCCTGTAATCCCAGCACTTTGGGAGGCCGAGGCGGGTGGATCACGAGGTCAAGAGATCGAGACCAGCCTGGACAACATGGTGAAACTCTGTCTCTGCTAAAAATACAGAAAATTAGCTGGGTATAGTGGCAGGCACCTGTCATCCCAGATACTGGGGAGGCTGAGGCAGGAGAGTCATTTGAACCTGGGAGGTGGAGGTTGCAGTGAGCCAAGATCGCACCACTGCACTCCAGCCCCGGTGACAGAGTGAGACTCTGTTTCAAAAAAAAGAAAGAAATTGAGTCTCAAAGAGGTTAAATAACTTGCTCAAGGTCACCCAGATGGAGGGTGGTAGAGCCAGAGTTCAAAATGACAATGCTATTGTTTTCATCCCTGGCTAAGCATGAGAAAAATGAAGATTACCAGGCCCTACTTAAAGCCACCAACTTGAGATTTCCCAGGGATGTGGCCCTGGGATGTATTGAAAAGTCTCCACAGGTGACCTGAAGCCCACCAAAAATTGAAGACCTAGCCCCCGTTAGGCCTTAACCCAAAACTCACCCTTATAACTGCTCACCTGCCTGGACCCAGTACTAATCATATTAGTCGCTGTTAGAGAAGAATGTCTGTTTGGTAAAACCACTGATGGCCTTTGTGAAGGCTTTGGTTTAGTGATTAGCTTTCAAGATGCAAACTTTGTCCTTGGAATAGTGGAAAACAGCACGTAGGCTTAGAAATTCTTTTTTTTTTTTTTTGAGATGGAGTTTCACTCTTGTCACCCAGGCTGGAGTGCAATGGTGAGATCGCAGCTCACTGCAACTTCTGCCTCTTGGGTTCCCTGGCCTCAGCTTCCCAAGTAGCTGGGATTACAGGCGCCCACTACCACACCTGGCTAATTTTTTTATTTTTAGTAGAGATGGTGGGTTGCAGGGGAGGGGGTCTCACCATGTTAGCCAGGCTGGTCTCTAACTCCTGACCTCAGGTGATCCACCCGCCTCCACCTCCCAAAGTGCTGGGATTACAGGCATGAACCACCACGCCCGGGCTAGGCTCAGAGATTCTGAGAGGAAGGGTCTCAAAAACCCAGATCATCTAATATCTTCAGAGACAAGGAAGATGCCTTTCACTCTGCCTGGAACATTGTGCCCTCTCCTCACCTCATTAGCGACTTTCAGATCACAATTCCCTTACCTAGCCATAGGAAGCAGGTACTCCCACATAGCTTTCTCTAGTTGTTTTTTTGTCTTTTGTTTTTTTTGTTTTGTTTTTTTGAGACAGAGTCTAGCTCTGTCACCCAGGCTGGAGTGCAGTGGCTCGATCTCAGCTCACTGCAAGCTCCACCTCCTGGGTTCACGCCATTCTGCCTCAGCCTCCTGAGTAGCTGCGACTACAGGCGCCCGCCACCACGCCCGGCTAATGTTTTGTATTTTTAGTAGAGACGGGGTTTCAGTGTGTTAGCCAGAATGGTCTTGATCTCCTGACCTCGTGATCCGCCCGCCTTGGCGTCCCAAAGTGCTGGGATTACAGGTGTGAGCCACCGCACCCAGCCAGCTTTCTCTATTTGTGTGTGATTATTTACTTCTTGTTTCCTTCTTAACTAGACAAGAGAACAAGGAGCACATCTTGTTTTGCTCATCTCTAAATGCAAGCCCCATGCGTACGATATAGAAGGCACTCAATCAGTAATACCTAATCTTTGTGTACCTTCTTCTATGCACCAGTGACTGTGCTGAGCAGTTCATATGTATTATCTCACTTAATTGTTACAACAGTCCAATCTTCATTTCACAGATGAAGAACCCAAGGCATAGAAAGACGAAGTGGTCACTTAATTTTTTTTTTTTTCTTCTTTTAAAAAATTTATTCTTCAGGCCGGGCGCCGTGGCTCACGCCTATAATCCCAGCACTTTGGGAGGTCAAGGCGGGCGGATCACCTGAGGTCGGGGGTTCGAGACCAGCCTGACCAGCATGGAGCAACCCCATCTCTACTGAAAATACAAAATTAGCCAGGCGTGGTGGTGCCTGCCTGTAATCCCAGCTACTCGGGAGGCTAAAGCCGGAGAATCACTTGAACCCGGGAGGCAGAGGTTGTAGTGAGCTGAGATCTCACCATTGCACTCCAGCCTGGATGACAAGAGCAAAACTCCATCTCAAAAAAAAAAAAATTATTCTTCAAATGACAACTTTTAAAAAAATTATAGATTCAGAGGGTATATGGGCAGGTTTCTTACATGGGTATATGTTATAAATCTGAGGTTTGAGCTTCTAATGAACCCATTACCAAGAGTGAACATCGTCCCTCGCAGGAAGCTTTTCATCCCTTGCTTTTCTCCCTCCCTCCGCTCTTTTGGAGTCCCCAGTGTCTGTTGTTTCTACCTTTATGTCCCCGTGTACCTTTTGTTTAACTTTTTGTTACCTAATTGGTTTTCTGTTCCTGAGTTAATTTGCTTAGGGTAATGGGCTTCAGTTGCATCCATGCTGCTGCAAAGGATATGATTTCATTTTTTTCTTTTATGGATGTGTAGTAGTCCATGGTGTGTATGTACCATATTTTTAAAATTTAATCTATCATTGACAGTCAGGTTGATTCCATGAGTTTGCTACTGAAAAGAGTGCTGCAATAAATGTACGAGTACAGGTGCCCTTTGGATAAGATGATTTCTTTTCCTTTGGGTAGATAACCAGTAGTGGGATTGGTGGGTGAATGGTAGTTGGTTTTTTTTGAGATGAAATTTTGCTCTAGTTTCCCAGGCTGGAATGCAATGGCACAATCTCAGCTTGCTGCAACTTCTGCCTCCCGGGTTCAAATGATTCTCCTGCCTCAGGCTTCCAAGTAGCTGGGATTACAAGCATGTGCCACCATGCCTGGCTAATTTTTTGTATTTAGTAGAGACAGGGTTTCACCATGTTGGTCAGGCTGGTCTCAAACTCCTGACCGCAGGTGATCCACCCGCCTCGGCTTCTCAAAGTGTTGGGATTACTGGCATGAGCCACTGCGCCCGGCCTGTTTTAGTTCTTTAAGAAATCTCCATACTGTGTCTCATAGAGGTTGTACTAATCTACATTCCCATCAACATTGTAAAACTGCTCCCTTTTCTCTGCATCCTCACCGTCTGCTATTTTTTTACTTTTGTTTTTTGTTTTTTTTTTTTTGAGATGGAATTTCACTCTTGTTGCCCAGGCTGGAGTGCAGTGGCATGATCTCTGCTCACTGCAACCTCCACCTTCCAGGTTCAAGCGATTCTCCTGCCTCAGTCTCCCCAGTAGGTGGGATTACAGGCGCCTACCACCACGCCTAGTGTCTAGAAGGTTTTTATAGTTTGAGGTCTTATATTTAACTCTCTAATCCATCTTGTGTTAATTTTTGTGTATGGTAATAAGTAGGGGCCCAGTTTGCCCAGTTTCATTCTTTTGCATGGCCAGTCAGTTTTCCCAGCACCATTTATTGAATAGGGGGTTATTTCCCCATTGTTTATTAGTGTCAGCTTTGTCGAAGATCAGTTGGTTGTAGGTGTGTGACTTTATTTCTGGATTCTCTATTCTGTTCCATTGATCTGTGTGCCTATTTTTGTACCACTGCCATGCTGTTGTGGTTACTATAGCTTCGTAGTATAGCTCGAAGTCAGATAATGCAATGTCTCTGACTTTGTTCTTTTTGCTTAGGATTGCTTTGGCTATTCAGGCTCTTTTTTGGTTCCATATGAATTTTAGAATTGTTTTTTCTAATTCTGTGAAAAATGACGTTGGTAATTTGATAGGAATTGCCTTGAATCTGTAGATTGCTTTAAGTAGTATGCCATTTTAATGATACTGATTTTTTGTGCTTAAAAGGCTCAATATCGCACAACTAGTAAATCCAGGCTGGGCACAGTGGCTCATGCCTGTAATCCTAGCACTTTGGGAGGCTGAGGCGAGCAGATCACCTGAAGTCAGGAATTTGAGATCAGCCTGGCCAACATGGGGAAACCCCATCTCTACTAAAAATACAAAAATTAGCTGGGCGTGGTGGCATGCACCTGTAATCCCAGCTACTCAGGAGGCTGAGGCAGGAGAATTGCCTGGGCCCACGAGATGGAGGTTGCAATGAGCCGAGATCGTGCCACTGCACTCCAGCCTGGGTGACAGAGCAAGACTCAGTCTCGGAAAAACAACAACAACAACCAAAAAAAAAAAAAAACCCAGTAAATCCCAGGCAGTCCAACTCTAAAATTTAAACATTCTATTAGTTCATATTAGGGTGGCTGATAAATTAATGGTTTAATGAGTGGTCTGTGAAGCAGCCATACCCACTTAGCAGCCAAGTCTGATTTACCTGCAGGAGAACAGAGCTAATGCCTGACCAGGCAGGGCTAATAAGAGTGTCCAGGCAACATGGCTTGAGCACTAGCCCTTAGAGAGATGCAAGAATCCTGGAAAATAATGGGTTTTTGGGGTAACCTTGAAAATACATCCTAGCTTCATCATTTATCCTTTTTGGGGCTCTCTCTGGGCCTCAATTTTTCAATCTGCTATGTGGGTTAATAATTACTGCCCTCAAGAGTATTATGAGGCTGGGCATGGTGACTCACGCCTATAATCCTAACACTTTGGGAGGCAAGACAGGAGGATCACTTAAGCCCAGGAGTTTGAGACCAGCCTGGGCAACATAGCGAGACTCTGTCTCCACAAGAAAATTTAAAAATTAGGCATTGCCGGGCATGTTGGCTCACACCTGTAATCTCAGCACTTTGGGAGGCTGAGGCGGGTGGATCACCTGAAGTCAGCAGTTCGAGACCAGCCTGGACAACATGGTGAAACCCCCATCTCTACTAAAAATACAAAAATTAGCTGGATGTGGTGGCAGGCACCTATAATCCCAGCTACTCCGGAGGCTGAGGCAGGAGAGTTGCTTGAACCCGGGAGGCAGAGGTTTCAGTGAGCCAAGATCGCTCCACTGCCCTCCAGCCTGAGTGACAAAGCGAAACTCCGTCTCAAAAAAAAAAAAAAAAAAAAGTTAGCCAGGCGTAGTGGCAGGTGCCTGTAGTCCCAGCTACTCAGGAGGCTGAGGTGGGAGGATCGCTTGAGCCCAGGCTATCGAAGCTGCAATGAGCCATGATTGCACCACTGCACTCCAGCTGAGACCCTGTCTCAAAAAAAAATAATAAAAAAAAGACAAAAAAGAACTGTTGTATGAAGATTAGATGATCCGAAACAAAAACCACAATGCATCATACCATCATACCTGGCTGGCAGCAGGCATAAAACAGATTTATTTCCTTTCTTTAATGAATCTCTCTCTCTCTCATCTCAACCTGAAGGCTCTCTAATAAGGCCCAGCTGTAGCGAACGTTCTCCAGCTGAGGTGCAAAAGCAGCTATGACCTTTACTCACATCTGCCTCCTCCCACACCAGACACTTCTTCCTTTCTATTTCTAGCTCATTGTTCACCAAGGTCCTTTCCCCTTTTCCAAGGTAGCTAGGATACAGGCTTGTTAGGCCTGGCTCCCAAATTCCCTGATGTGGCCAAGGCAAGGCCTTAGACAAGTGGACACAGGGGAAGCCGGAAAGAACATAAGCAATGGAAAAAAAATGTATCTTGAGAGTGGAGGTAAGGCTCACAAAGCCCTGTCCCATGACAGTAGCTCAGAAGCAGAAAGATGAACCAGCCAGGTTGGAGAAACCTGAACCAAGTCCCAGTGGGGAGGGCCAGGGTAAAGGGGAGCAGGGAATTAGCAGCAACCTTTATTCTGTGAGCAAATTAGGTTACATCTTTCTTTCTTTCTTTCTTTCTTTCTTTCTTTCTTTCTTTCTTTCTTTCTTTCTTTCTTTCTTTCTCTTTCTTTCTTTCTTTTTCTTTCTCTTTCTTTCTCTCTCTCTCTTCTTTTCTTCCTTCCTTCCTTCTTTCTTCTTTTTCTCGCTTTCTCTCTTTCTTTCCTAGTTTATTTAGAGACAAGTTCTTACTATATTGCCCAGGCTGGTCTCGTACTTCTGGACTCAAGCAATCCTCTCACCTCAGCCTCCTAAAGTGCTGGGATTAAATGCATGAGCCACGGCACCCGGCCTCTTTCTTGTTTGCTTTTTTTCTCTCTCTCTCTCCCTTTCTCAATCTCTCTCTTTCCCTTCCTTCCTTTCTTTCTAGATAAAGGTCAGGGATTTTTGTTTGTTCATTTGTTTGTTTCTTTGAGATGGAGTCTCACTCTGTCGACCAGGCTGGAGTGCAGTGGTGCGATCTCGGCTCACTGCAACCTCCGCCTCCCAGGTTCAAATGATTCTCCTGCCTCAGCCTCCCGAGTAAATGGGACTACAGGTGCACATCACCACAACCAGCTAATTTTTGTTTTTGTTTCTGTTTTTTTGAGACGGAGTCTCGATCTGTCGCCCAGGCTGGAGTGCAGTGGCGTGATCTCCACTCAGTGCAACCTCTGCCTCCCGGGTTCAAGCAATTCTCCTGCCTCAGCCTCCCAAGTAGCTGGGATTACAGGCATGTGCCACCACACCTGGGTACTTTTTGTATTTTTAGTAGAGAAGGGTTTCACCATGTTGGCTAGGCTGGTCTCAAACTTCTGACCTCAAGTGATCTGCCCTCCTCGGCCTCCCAAAGTGCTGGGATTACAGGCATGAGCCACCGTGCCCAATCTGTATTTTTAGTAGAGATGAGGTTTTACCATATTGGCCATGCTGTTCTCGAACACTTGACCTCAAGTGATCCGCCTGCCTCGGCCTCCCAAAGTGCTGAGATTACAGGTGGAAACCACTATGCCCAGGCAAGTATTTTTTAAAGGACTGAATGATTTGGGACCTCAGGTGACCTGGTATTAACTGGGATCCATGACAGGCTAGGAAGGACATTGTCTTGGTAGGGGCAGGCTGTTGTAGCTTTTTTTTTTTTTTGAGATGGAGTCTTGCTCTGTCGCCAGGCTGGAATGCAGTGGCGTGGTTTCAGCTCACTGCAATCTCTGCCTCCCAGGTTTAAGCGATTCTCCTGTCTCAGCCTCCCAACTAGCTGGGACTACAGGTGCGCACCACCATGCCCAGCTAATTTTTTGTATTTTAGTAGAGACGGGGTTTCATCATGTCAGCCAGGATGGTCTTGATCTCCTGACCTCATGATATGCCCGCCTCGGCCTCCCAAAGTGCTGGGATTACAGGCATGAGCCTCTGTGCCATGCCTGTTGTAGCATTTTTAAGCACAAGGAAAAATCAGAATACAATGTAGTTTCCTATGGGTCCTTGGGAGAGAGTAAGCTTCCTGTTTAGCAATGCAAGCAACTGGCAGAGCCTTACCTGCTAGGGTAATGGACCACTTGACTTCTGAAGTCACTTTCCCAAACATCAGTGAGAAGGGAGAGTGGGTACATGGAGAGCGTCCAAAGATCTAGGTTCAAATGTCCTTATTTATAGGCAGGGCATCTGATTTTTTTATTCTTTGTTCTTCTGATTAAAACTTTTTTCCAGCCAGGCACACGGGCTCACGCCTGTAATCCCAACACTTTGGGAGGCCGAGGCGGGTGGATCACCTGAGGTCAGGAGTTCGAGACCAGCCTGGTCAACATGGTGAAACCCTGTCTCTACTAAACATACAAAAAATGGCCAGGTGCGGTGGCTCACGCCTATAATCCCAGCACTTTGGGAGGCCAAGGTGGGCGGATCACAAGGTCAGGAGTTCGAGACCAACCTGGCCAAGGGTGGTGAAACCCTGTCTCTACTAAAAATACAAAACTTAACTGGGTGTGGTGGCAGGCGCCTATAGTCCCAGCTACTTGGGAGGCTGAAGCAAGAGAATCGCTTTAACCAGGGAGGTGAAGGTTGCAGTGAGCAGAGATTGCACCACTGCACTCCAGCCTGGGCAACAGAGTAAGACTTCGTCTCAAAAAATAAATAAATAATACAAAAATTAACCAAGCTGGTGGCGTGCACCTGTAATCCCAGCTACTCAGGAGGCTGAGATAGGAGAATCGCTTGAACCCGGGAGTCAGAGGTTGCGTGAGCCAAGATCGCGCCACTGCACTCCAGGCTGGGAAACAAGAGCAAAACTCCATCTCAAAAAAAAGGCCAGGCGCGGTGGCTCACACTTGTAATCCCAGCACTTTGGGAGGCTGAGGCAGGCGAGTCACCTGAGGTGAGGAGTTTGAGACCAGCTTGGCCAACATGGTGATACCCTGTCTCTATTAATAATACAAAAATTAACTGGGCATGATGGCACACGCCTGTAATCCCAGCTACTCTGGAGGCTGAGGCAGGAGAATCACTTGAACCCAGGAGGTGGAGGTTGCAGTGAGCCAAGATCACACCATTGCAATTCAGCCTGGGCAACAAGAGTGAAACTCTTGTCTCCAAAAACAAAAAGAAAAACAAAAACAACAACAACAAAAAAAACTCAAAACTTTTTCCCAATGAATAAATGTACATAATGAACAATTCACACTGTTTAGGGAATAGAGTTAAAAGTAAGCCCTCTTTTCATACTAGTTCTCAGGTTCTTGAGTACAACTACAGTCTTCTTTCTTCAATGCATTACATAACCTCAGCTCCCCTAGTTCAAACATTTCCCTGAATTATTTTAATCAGGAAATATTTATTGAGCTCCTTCTATGTGGTAGGCACTGGGCCTAACACTGGGGATGACTTGGTAAGCATAGAGACACAGCCGCTGGCCTCAGGGAGCCTTCCCTCTAGCAAGGAAGGGAGTCAATAAACAAGTAATTGCATATGCATAATTATTTAACTATAATTGTGAACACTACATAAAGAAAAATTACAGGGGACTGTGAAGCCATATAAGATCCCTTGCCAAGGAAATGACATTTAAGCTGAGGCCTCAAGGATGGGTAGGAGTTAACAAAACCAGAGGGAAAATATTTTCCTGCCAGCAGGAACAGCACGTGCAAAGGCCCTGCAGAGGGAAGGAGTTTGGCAGGAAGGATTGAGAGAAGACAGGTGCAACTGCACAGAGTGAGAGGGAGGGAGGAGTTGAGGTTCAAAGGCAGGCAGGTCTGGGCTCACACAATAATCTGGAAACTTGCTCAAGTGATCCGCCTGCCTCAGATCACCACCACCAGCAACCAGTCTAAAGATGTCAAGAGTTGTTACCTTGACAAGGCCACGTGCCAAGTGTTTGCAGGAATCAAATACTTTCCAGAAGTTACTATTAAAAAAAAAGTAGGTCGGTCGCAGTAATACCTGTAATACCTGTAATACGCCTGTAATACCAACACTTTAGGAGGCCAAGGCAGGCAGATCACAAGATCAGGAGCTCGCGACCAGCCTGACAAACATGGTGAAACTCTGTCTCTACTAAATATGCAAAATTAGCTGGGTGTGGTGGCATGCGCCTGTAGTCCCAGCTACTTGGGTGGCTGAGGCAGGAGAATCTCTTGAACTTGGGAGGTGGTGGTTGCAGTGAGCCACCACTGCACCATTGTACTCCAGCCTGGGTGACAGAGTGAGAATCCATCTCAAAAAATAAATAAATTAATTAATTAATTTAATTTAATTTAATATGAACAAACAGAGAGTTAGCAGTACGGAATTTGAGCCAGCTGGGCAGAATAGGCCTTAGAGGGGTTAGGAGACACCACAAAAGATCTCACCTGGCAGGAAGCAGAGGGAATGTGGTTTTTTGGTTTTGTTTTGTTTTGTTTTTTTTGAGATGGAGACTCGCTCTCTTGCCCGTGCTGGAGTGCAGTGGCACATCTTGGCTCACCTGCAAACTCCTCCTCCCAGGTTCAAGTGATTATCCTGCCTCAGCCTCCTGAGTAGCTGGGATTGCAGGCACACACCATCATGCCTGGCTAATTTTTGTATTTTTGTAGAGATGGAGTTTCACCATGTTGGCCAGGCTGGTCTTGAACTCCTGACATCATGTAATCTGCCTGCCTTGGCCTCCCAAAGTGTTGGGATTACAGGCGTGAGCCACCGTGCCCGGTGGGGAATGTGATTTTGGAGTCAGATGCTTACTAATGTGTATCCTTAGGCAAGTGAATTACTTCTCCCAGTTTCAGCCTCCTCATACACAGTCTAAGTGCAAAGGTATTGTAAGGTTGAAGAGTAGGGGCTAGCATGATCATTATAACAGATTTACTTAATTTTTTTAACAGAAGTTCTTGTTCAGATGATTGTACTTCACATTAAGTTGTAAGAAATTTTTGCCAGTTTTACCTGGACTCATTTTTGTGTGTGAATGTGTGGTGTGAGTGTACTCATTCTACACAATTTTATCACCTGTATAGATTCCTGTGTCCACCATCACAGTCAAGAAACAGAACAGTTCCATGACCACACAAGGATCCCTTGTGTTGCTCTTTCTTTTTTTTTTTTGAGGTGGAGTCTTACTCTGTTGCCCAGGCTGGAGTGCAGTGGCACAATCTCGGCTCACTGCAGCCTCTGCCTCCCAGGTTCCAGTGATTCTCCTGCCTCAGCCTCCCGAGTAGCTGGGATTCAGGCACATACCACCACACCCAGGCAATGTTTTTATTTTTAGTAGAGACTGGGTTTCACCATGTTGGCCAGACTGGTCTCGAACTCCTGACCTCAGGTGATCCACCCACCTGAGCCTTCCAAAGTGCTGGGAATATAGGCGTGAGCCACCACACCCAGCCATGTTGCTCTTTCATAACCACACCAAACCTAACTCCTGCCTCTCCTCTTCATCCCTAATCTCTGGCAACTGTTCATCTGCCTCCATTTCTAAAATTTTATCATTTCAAAATGTTATGTAAGTGGAACAATACAGTAAATACTATTTGGGAATTGGCTTTTTTCACTTAGCTTAATTCCCTGGAGATTCTTCTCAGTGGTTGCATATATCAGTATTTCCTTCCTTTTTGTTGTTGAGTACTATTTCATGGTATGTAGCTTTCACTATTTGTTTGACTGTTCACCTGTTGAAAGACCTGTAGGTTGATTCCAGTTTTGGCTATTACAAATCATGCTGCTATACACATTTCTTTTTTTTCTTTTTTTTTGAGACAGAGTCTCATTCTGTTGCCTGGCTGGAGTGCAGTGGCATGATCTCGGCTCACTGAAACCTCCACCTCCTGGGTTCAAGTGATTCTCCTGCCTCAGCCTTCTGAGCAGCTGGGACTACAGGCGCGCACCACCACCCCCAGCTAATTCTGTATTTTTAGTAGAGACGGGATTTCACAATGTTGGCCAGGACGGTCTCGATCTCTTGACCTCGTGATCTACCTGCCTCAGCCTCCCAAAGTACTGTGATTACAGGCATGAGCCACCGCGCCTGGCTGCTATATGCACTTCTATACAGGCTTTGTGTAACTGTAAGTTTTATTTTCTTGGGATAAATGCCTACGAGCGCAATTGCAGCATTGTATGGTAGTTGCATGTTTAGTTTTTTAAGAATCTGCCCAATTGTTCTTCACAGTGTCTGTACCATTTATATTTCCATCAGCAATGTATGAGTGATCCAGTTTCTCTGCATCCTCACCAGCATTTGTTGTTGTCACTATTTTTTATTTTAGTCATTCGGATACTTATGTAAGTGATAACCCATTGTGGTTTTTAATTTGCATTGCCCTAACGGTGAATAATACTGAATGTGAAAATATACTTATTTCTCATTTATATATTCGCTTTGATGAACTTTTGCTTCATGTTCCAACCAGATTGTTTGTTTTTTTTTTTTTTTAACTATTGAGTTTGAGGCGTTTTTTGTTTTTCTGTTTTTGTTCTTTGTTTGTTGGAGTTGAGTTGAGTGGGGTCTCACTCTATCATCCAGGCTGAAGTACAGTGGCACAGTTATGGCTTGCTGCAGCCTCCAACTCCTGGGCTCAGGCAATCCTCCCACCTCAGCCTCCGGAGTAGCTGGAACTACAGATGTGCACCACCATGCCCAGCTGTATTTTAAATATTTTGTAGAAATGGGTTGTCACTGTGTTGTCCAGGCTGGTCTTGAACTCCTGGGTTCAAGCAGTCCTCCTACCTTGGCCTCCTACAGTGCTGGGATTACAGCACACCACAACCGGTCAAGTTTGAGAGTTTTTGCTATATTCTAGATATTAATCCTCTGTCAGATATATGGCTTGCAAATATTTTCTCCAACATGTACTTTGTCTTGTCATTGTCTTCACAGGGGCTTTCACAGAACAAAAGTTTGAAGTTTCAATAAAGTTCAGTTGATGAAGTTTTTATTATATAAATCATGCTTTTTATTTGTATTTATTTATTGATTGATTTTTTGAGATGGAGTCTTGCTCTTGTCACCCAGGCTGGAGTGCAGTGGCAACAACTCGGCTCACTGCAACCTCCACCTCCTGGGTTCAAGTGATTCTTCTGCCTCAGCCTCTCAAGTAGCTGGGATTATAGGCATGCACCACCATGCCCAGCTAATTTTTGTATTTTTAATAGAGACAGGGTATCACCATGTTGGCCAGGCTGGTCTGACCTCAGGTGATCTGCCCACCTCGGCCTCCCAAAGCGCTGGGATTACAGGCATGAGCCACTGAGCCCGGCGAAATCATGCTTTTTAGTGTCAAGTGTAAGAACTCCTTGCCTAGCCCTAGATACTGAATTTTCACCTATTTTTTTAAAGTTCTATAGTTTTACATTTTACATGTAAGTCTATGATCCATTTCAATTTAACTTGTGTATAAGGTATAAGGTTTAGGTTGAGGTTCATTTTTTGCTTGTGGATGTCTGATTTTTTTTTTTTTTTTTTTTTTTTTATTGAGACGGAGTCTTGCTCTGTCTCCCAGGCTAGAGTGCAGTGGTGCGATCTTGGCTCACTGCAACCTCTGCCTCCTGAGTAGTTGGGATTACAGGTGCTCACCACCGTGCCTGGCTAATTTTTGTATTTTTAGTAGAGACAGGGTTTCACCATCTTGGCCAGGCTGGTCTCAAACTCCTGACCTCTTGATCCATCTACCTCGGCCTCCCAAAGTGCTGGGATTACAGGCATGAGCCACCGTGCATTTTTTTTTTTTTTTTTTTTTGAGATGGAGTTTTGCTCTTGTTGCCCAGGCTGGAGTGCAATGAATGGCATGATTTTGGCTCACTGCAACCTCTGCCTCCCAGGTTCAAGAGATTCTCCTGCCTCAGCCTTTAGAGTAGCTGGGATTACAGGTGCCCACCACCATTCCCGGCTATTTTTTTTTTTTTTAGACAGAGTCTTGCTCTGTTACCCAGGCAGAAGTGCAGTGGTGCGTTCTCAGCTCAATGCAACCTCTGCCTCCTGGGTTCAAGCGATTCTATTGCCTCAGCCTCCTGAGTAGTTGGATTACAGGTGTGTGTGCCACCACACCTGGCTAATTTTATATTTTTATTAGAGACGGGGTTTCACTGTGTTGGTCAGGCTGGTCTCGAACTCCTGATCTCAAACAATCCACCTGCCTCGGCCTCCCAAAGTGCTGGGATTACAGATGTGAGCCACTGCGCCCAGCCAATTTTTGTATTTTCAGTAGAGATGGGGTTTCACCATGTTGGCCAGGCTGGTCTCAAACTCCTAACCTCAAGTGATCTGCCCGCCTCGGCCTCCCAAAGTGCTGGAATTACAGGCATGAGCCACTGCGCCCGCTGGATGTCTGATTTGATTTGCTTGATTTTTAACCATTGTCCCCCTCTTCATTACTCATTCCTATCACACAGAAGTATCTTGCGCAACCAACTGTTTTATGACATGCAGCATTAGGTTTTGTTTTGATCCTAAAATAAATTGCTATTAACTCTGAGATTTTTACAGAATCCTCTAAGGTGGCTAGAGACCCTCTTAGATATTCCCAAAACAAGTTTGGGAATTATTGCACCAGAAGGCTTTGGGAGTTTGATGCATTGTTGCTTTTCTGACTTACTCATTGTTCCATGTTATACTTACCCATGCTGGTTGTCACCTGTATGGCATCTAGCCATACCACTTTGTTTGCACTGTTTATCTGTTTTTATCTTCACAGCATGCCTGTAACATAGGTATTTTTATGCCTGTTTTCCAGATAAGGAATTGAAGGTGAGAGAAGTTAAATAACTTGCCTAAGGTCACAGAGAAGTAGAAGAACTGGAATTTGAACCCAATCCTGGTTTTAAAGCCTGTGTTGAAAGTGAAGACAACGCACAGAATGGGGAAAAACTTTTGCAAATTATACATCTGATAAGGGAGTTGTATCTAGAATGTATAAAAACACTTACAGATAGGCACGATGGCTCATGCCTATAATCCCAGCACTTTGGGAGGCAGAGATGGGCGGATCACCTGAGGTCGGGAGTTCGAGACCAGCCTGACCAACATGGAGAAACCCTGTCTCTACTAAAAATACAAAATTAGCCTGATGTGGTGGCGCATGCCTGTAATCCCAGCTACTCAGGAGGCTGAGGCAGGAGAATTTCTTGAACCTGGGAGGCAGAGGTTGCAGAGAGCTGAGATCATGCCATTGCACTCCAGCCTGGGCAACAAGACCGAAACTCAGTCTCAAAAAAAAAAAAAAAAACACACACACCTGCAACTCAATAATAATGAAACAACCCAGCAGGGCACAATGGCTCACATCTATAATCTCAGTATTTTGGGAGGCCAAGGCAGGTGGATCATTTGAGCTCAGGAGTTCAAGACCATCCTGGGCAACATGGCGAAACCCAATCTCTACAAAACTACCAAGAATTAGCCGGGTGTGGTGGCACACACCTGTAGTCCCAGCAACTCGGGAGGCTGAGGTGCGAGGATCACTTGAGCCTGGGAGGCGGAGGTTGCAGAGAGCCAAGATCATGCCGTTGCACTCCAGCATGGATGACAGAGTGAGACCCTGTCTCAAAAAATAATAATAATAATAAGACAACCCAATTTAAAAATGGACAAAGAAGGCCAAGTGCAGTGGCCACATGCCTGTAATCCCAGCACTTTGGGAGGCCAAGGCAGGTATCACTTGGGCCCAGGAGTTTGAGACCAGCCTGGGCAACATAGTGAGACCCCATCTGAAAAAAATTTTTTTTAAAAAAAGGACAAAGACATTGAGTAGGCATTTGTCCAAAGAAGATAGACAAATCGCCAAGAAGCTTACAAAAAGATGCTGAATATCACTAGCAATCAGGTAAACGCAAATCAAAACTACAATGAGATAACACTTCACAGTCACTAGATGGCTATAATATTTAAAAAGACAGATAGTAGCCGGGCACGGTGGCTCACGCCTGTAATCCCAGCACTTTGGGAGGCTGAGGTGGGCAGATCACGAGGTCAGGAGTTCGAGACCACACTGGCCAACATAGTGAAACCCCATCTCTACTAAAAATACAAAAAATTAGCCAGGTGTGGTGATGGGCACCTGTAGTCCCAGCTACTCGGGAGGCTGAGGCAGGAGAATCACGTGAACCTGGGAGGCAGAGGTTGCAGTGAGCCAAGATCATGCTACTGCACTCCAGCCTGGGCAACAGTGTGACACTCTGTCTCAAAAAAAGAAAAAAAAAAAAGACAGTAACAGGTTTTGGTCATCAGCTTTCTGGGCCTTGGTTTCTCCACTTATGAAGTAAGGGGTTTGGACCAGTTCTGGGATGGCTGACAGCCTACATTCCGCCACACACACCCCTGCCATGGCAGGGTTTGCCAATTGATGATGGTACATGTGTTAATCAGCCTCAGAATTATTGTCAACACAGTGTTCTCATCAGCTACCACCAATGGATTGGAGTTAGCACAGAGGTTAGGACCTACCAGCATGTGCCTGAAATGGTGCAATTCTAAAGGTCCACCTAACCCTGATATTCTGATGAATTTGAGCCTCTAGGTTTACAATCACAACAGGAGGAGAATATGAAACTGATAGGAACAGGGGCATTAGAACCAGAGAATCCCGGGTTTGAATACCAGCCATGCTACTTCCAGGTTATATGGAATCTTGGGTGAGTCATTTCTTTTCTTTTTTTTTTTTTTTTTTTTTTGAGATGGAGTCTCGCTCTGTCACCAGGCTGGAGTGTAGTGGCATGATCTCAGCTTACTGCAGCCTCTGCCTCCTGGGTTCAAGCAATTCTCGTGCCTCAGCCTCCCGAGTAGCTGGGGCTACAGGCGCACACCGCCATACACAGCTAATTTTTTTTTTTTTTTGTATTTTAATAGAGATGGGGTTTCACCATGTTGCCCATGCTGGTCTCGAACACCTGAGCTCAGACAATCTGCCCACCTTGGCCTCCCAAAGTGCTAGGATTACAGGTGTGAGCCCCTGTGCCTGGCCGAGTCATTTCTCTTTATGCCTTGGTTTCTTCTTCTCTGTAAAATGGGATCAGAATCCCTAACACATAAGGTTTCAAAAATTAAATTGAGATGCTACTTGTACCTTTTGCTTACATATAGCAGGAACTGCATAAATGGAATGTAAACAGACACAGCCGGCAAATGTGTACACCAAGAGACTTGTCTTCCACCTGTTCATACCACCCTCTCCTCCCACAAAGCAGAGAAACTCTGACAAGTGGCTTCTGACTCGTGCTGCTGAGGACACCGAGATGAATTAGACATGGTCCTTGTCCTCAGGATGTTCACAGTCTAGTGGGGAAAACACAGGTACAGCATGTTGGGGCCATTTAGGAGAGAAACCTGAAGACTGTGAGATTTTGCCAGGTAAGTAAATGCTCCTGTAGCCACCAAGGACAGAGAGCGGGTGTAGGCTGATTTTGTACCCCAGGCGACACTTGGTAGTGGCTGGAAACTTTTGGTTATCATGACTGGAGGTGAGGTTGGGGAGAGGTGATACTGGCATCTAGTGGGTAGAAGCCAAAGAACATCCTGAGATGCACAGGACAGCACCAACAACAAAGAATGATTTTGGCCTGGCGCGGTGGCTCACACCTGTAATCCCAACAATCCGGCTGAGGCGGGCGGATCACCTGAAGTCAGGAGTTCGAGACCAACCTGGCCAACATGGCGAAACCCCATCTCTACTAAAAATACAAAAATTAGCCAGGCGTCGTGGCACACGCCTGTAATCCCAGCTATTCAGGAGGCTGAGGCAGGAGAATCGCTTCAACCTGGGAGGCGGCGGTTGCAGTGAGCTGAGATTGCGCCACTGCACTGCAGCCTGGGAGACAGAGCAAGACTCCAGCTCAAGAAAAAAAAAAAAGAATGATTTCTCCCAAAATGTCAATAGTGTCAAAGTGGAGAAACCCTGGATGAAGGCTGCATTGGGAGTCTTCTGTCTGACTGTCATGAAGAGGGAGACATGAGCAGGAACACATAGGAATTTATAAGCCAGCCTAGACTTTTTCTTGAGGCTCTCAGGAAGACACTGAAGAGTTTTTATCAGTCCAGCGGCAGGACTGAATTTGTACTTTATTTTTCATTTATTTATTTATTTTTCGAGATGGAGTCTCACTCACTCTGCTGCCTAGACTGGAATGCAGTGGCATGATCTCTGCTCACTGCAACTTCCGCCACCCGGGTTCAAGCCATTCTCCTGCCTCTGCCTCTTGTGTAGCTGGGATTACAGGCGCCTGCCACCACGCCCAGTTAATTTTTGTATTTTTAGTAGAGACGGGGTTTCGCCATGTTGCTCAGGCTGGTCTCAAACTCCTGGCTTCATGTGATCCACCCACCTTGGCCTCCCAAAGTGCTGAGATTACAGGCGTGAGCCGCCACTCCCAGCCTCTGGATTTGCACTTTAAAAAGACCCCTCTGAGGCCAGGCGCAGTGGCTCACGCCTGTAATCCCAGCACTTTGGGAGGCCGAGACGGGCGGATCACAAGGTCAAGAGATCGAGACCATCCTGGCTAACATGGTGAAACCCCGTCTCTACTAAAAATACAAAAAGTTAGCTGGGTGTGGTGGTGGGTGCCTGTAGTCCCAGGTACTCGGTAGGCTGAGGCAGGAGAATGGCGTGAACCTGGGAGGCAGAGCTTGCGGTGAGCCGAGATTGTGCCACTGCACTCCAGCCTGGGCGACAGAGCAAGACTCTGTCTCAAAAAACAAACAAACAAAAAAGGCCGGGCACGGTGGCTCACACCTGTAATCCCAGCAATTTGGGAGACTGAGGTGGGCGGATCACGAGGCCAGGAGATAGAGACCATCCTGGCCAACATAGTGAAACCCCGTCTCTACTAAAAATACAAAAATCAGCTGGGCATGGCGGCATGTGCCTGTGATCCCAGGTACTTGGGAGACTGAGGCAGGAGAATTGCTTGAACTCAAGAGATGGAGGTTGCATTGAAGCTGAGATCGCGCCACTGTACTCCAGTGTGGTGACAGAGCTAGGCTCTGTCTCAAAAAAAAAAAAAAGTAAATTTTATGTTACATATATTTTACCACAGTTAAAAAAAATTAAATGGCGTCATCTTATAAGGTCAGTTAGCAAATGGCATCATCTTATAAGGTCAGTTAGGAGCCAAATATTTATTATGACCACTTTTTCTTAGATGTAGTTCAAAAAAGTGAGAATCCAAGAGCTCGGAGGCCAGAACAAGCAAGTTGGCAAACGCGGTCTGTGGTCTCAGTCGGGGGTGCAGCTTCACAGCCAAGGCCACGTGGGACTCAGATTTGGCTGCAGAGTCAGAGGAGGATGCTCCTGTGAGTGAGTGTGAACCCACTGACCATAAACATCTAGAAGCAGGCTCCCACACACACTAAGCTCCTGGCTGGGACGGTCCACCTGCGGGAGCCCTGCGAGCAAACCGCCTGAGATCCTGTCCTTTGTTTCAACAGGGCAGGAATTTCCGAGCCTGAGGTATTTGCATTTGGTATCTTAACTACCGACCTGTTTCTGCAGCTGCTAAACCACTGATACGCTTTCTCTGAATCCCCTGATGAGCAGTAGAAAATCAGTAAGCCTGGCCCTCTCAGTTTTCATGTCATAATTAGTATTTTATTCCTTGTGGGGAGAGAAAATAGCCCGAACACCTGCTCTCCGAGGTGTCAGTTGCCGACAGATCTCCTTTGTATACTCTCTATACATATGATTTTAGAGGAAGGACCCTTTAGGAGTCTTAGGCCAACCCACTCATTTCACAATGGAGCCAACACAATGTCAGAGAAGTAAACAGACTGCAGTGCAAGGGGTGTGGTGGTTCGAATCCCTGCAGGCCACTTCCAAGCTCTGCGCCTGGGTAAGTTATTTAACCTCCGGAAGCCTCATTCCCTCACAGTAAAACAAGGATGAAACAGCTTCCTCTTGGGGATCTTCTGAGGAATGAAGGCCATGGTGGGGTTTTAAGTTCGCTGGCAGCTGGCAGGAGGGAAACTCAGCCAGCACCCCCTCAGAGAATCCTGCCCATGACAGCCCCATCTCTTCACTCTCTCTCGTTCGACCTGGTGTTATTGTATTCTTGACATTTGTCTTTAACTGAAGTTGGTTATGTGTGTACTTTTTGGTTTTGTTACCAGAAAGGGGTCCTCCTGATCCAGACCACCAGAGAAGTTTCTTGAACCTCATGCAAGAAAGAATTTGGGGAGAGTCTATAGAGTAAAGTGAAAGCAAGTTTTTTTTGGTTGTTTTTTGGTTTTTTTTGAGACAGAGTCTGGCTCTTGTCACTCAGGCTGGAGTGCAGTGGCACGCTTGGCTCACTGCAGCCTCTGCCTCCTAGGTTCGAGCTATTCTCCTGCCTCACCCTCCCGAGTAGCTGGGATTACAGGCACCTGCCACCAGGCCTGGCTAATTTTTTTTTTTTTTTTTTTTTTTTGTAGTTTTAGTAGAAACAGGGTTTCACTATGTTGGCCAGGCTGGTCTCAAAATCCTGACCTCAGGTGATCTGCCCGCCTTAGCCTTCCAAAGTGCTGGGATTACAGGCGTGAGCCATTGTGCCCGGTCTGAAAGCAAGTTTATTAAGAAAGTAAAGGAGTAAAGAATGGCAACTCCTGCCTGTCGCTGTGGCTCACGCCTGTAATCCCAGCACTTTGGGAGGCCGAGGCAGGTGGATCACCAGAGGTCAGGAGTTCAAGACTAGCCTGGTCAACATGGTGAAACCCTGTCTCTACTAAAAATACAAAAATAAGCCAGGCGTGGTGGTGGGCGCCTGTAGTCCCAGCTACTCGGGAGGCTGAGACAGGAGAATTGCTTGAACCCAGGAGGTGGAGGTTGCAGTGAGCTGAATGCGCCATTGTACTCCAGCCTGGGAGACAGAGTGAGACTCCGTCTCAAAAACAAACAAACAAAAAAAAATTAGGTCTCGTAAGACTTATTCACTACCAGGAGAACAGTATGGGTGAAACCGCCCCATGATTCAATTATCTGGCCCTCCCCTTGACACGTGAGGATTGTTACAATTCAAGGTGAGATTCACGTGGGACACAGCCAAACCATATCAGACACTGAGGTTGATTACATATCTTGGCTATTGTGTAGTGCTGTGATAAACACAAGGGTACAGATAGCTCTGGACAAACTGATTTCCTTTCTTTTGAACACATACCTAGCAGTGGGGTTGCTGGATCATATGGTAGTTCTATGTTTTGTTTTTTGAGGATGATAACCTTTTTGTAGGCTCAGGTGTCCCTTTGAATCTGAAAAAAGTCATAAATGCTCTCCTAAGACATGTAACTTTTTGTAATTTTAGGGGGCTCCCAAAGCCTCTGATATTTATCAGAGATCCTCCAAAAAATAACGTCGGCTCAACCCAGACCCTCTATCTTAACTCTTCCTACAACTTCCCCAGTGGTCTTGTGTCTTTCCTGATGGTCTTCAAGAGCAGGAACTTCCTGTCTCTCCAGGCAGCCCATTCAAACAACAAGATTCAACAGAAACTTCTTCCCTCTGGTGAGAAGTCAGCTTCCCGGCATCGCTGCAGTGAGCCTGGAGCCCTGAGAACAGGTCAGCTCCCAGCTCCTAGACGGTTCCTCAGATGATGGCCTTTGGTCCTTCCCACCCTTCTTTCCTCAAAGGCTTTTTTTTTTTTTTTTTTTTGAGACAGGGTCTCGCTCTGTGGCCCAGGCTGGAGTGCAGTCGCACGATCTTGGCTCACTGCGACCTCCGTCTCCTGGGTTGAAGCGATTTTCCTGCCTCAGCCTCCCAAGTAGCTGGAATTACAGACACCCGCCATGACGCCCAGCTAATTTTCATATTTTTGTAGAGATGGGGTTTCACCATGTTGGCCAGGCTGCTGTTGAACTCCTGACCTCATGATCTGCCCGCCTCAGCCTCCCAAAGTGCTAGGATTACAGGCGTGAGTCACTGTGCCAGCCCTTTTTTTTTTTTTTTTTTTTTTTTTTTTTTTTTTTTGAGACAGAATCTTGCTCTGTTGCCCAGGCTGGAGTGCAGTGGCACCATCTCAGCTCACTGCAACCTCCGCCTCCTGCGTTCAAGCAGTTCTACTGTCTCACCCTCCCAAGTAGCTGAGACTACAGGTACACACCACTATGCCCAGCTAATTTTTGTATTTTTAGTAGAGACGGGGTTTCACCATATTGGTCAGGCTGGTCTTGAACTCCTGACCTCAGGTGGTTCACCCACCTCAGTCTCCCAACGTGCTGGGATTACAGGCGTGAGCTGCCATGCCCGGCTGGCTCCCTCTTTTTAAAATTTTTTTAGAGATGGGATCTCACTATGTTGCCCAGGCAGGACTCGAACTTCTGGGCTCCGGCAACCCTCTCATCTTAGCCTTCTGAGTAGCTGGGACTACAGGCATGTGCCACCAAGCCTGGCTAACTTCCCCCTTAAAGTGAGAGGCATGGAGATGACGGTGATGTTGCTTCTGAAAAGATGTCTTCATTTATGCTGAGAGCAGGTGTGGATGGAGGGAACCCCAAACCCCCTTTACATCCCCTTTTTTCTGACTCAGCCCAGCCTTGGCCAAGGGACTGGATATACCTTTCTGGGCCTAGATGAGTCCTACTGCAAACTAGCAGGCGGTTGATGAGATTGGGGTTACAAATGCAAATGCTTACACTGGGGTCATGCCAATAATAGAAACGTCTAGGAATATTCATTTCCTCTATAAACACGTAGGTTCTCTTCTGATTTCCTTGAAACATGCCACACTCTCAGTCTCGTTTCCTATTTCTGATGAATCCGTAGAGGCAGACTATCTAAAGTAATTAAAAAAAAAATGCAAGAGTGAAGGAAAATGATGGCGGGGCGTGGTGGCTCACACCTGTAATCCCAGCACTTTGGGAGGCCAAGGCAGGTGGATCACTTAAGGTCAGGAGTTTGAGACCAGCCTGGCCAACATGGTGAAACCCCATCTCTATTAAAAATACAAAAATTAGCCAGGCATGATGGCATGTACCTGTAATCCCAGATACTCAGGAGGCTGAGGCAAGAGAATCACTTGAACCTGGGAAGCCGAGGTTGCAGCAGGCTGAGATTGCCCCACTGTACTCCAGCCTGGGTGACAGAGCAAGACTGAGTCTCAAAAAAAAAAAAAAAAAAGGAGTGAAGGAAAATGACAACTGGCACTTGGTCTCAGTGGAGGGGAATAAGAGGGGCCTGCTGACTGTCTATGGGGAACATGTAGGATGCCCACTCTGTCTTTAGGGCAACTGGCACTCAGCATATGCTGATTGGTGCCATGTGGACATGGATGCCCAATGTTAGCAGATCTCACACACTTTCTAGAGAAATTGAACACATCAATTTTTATTTGAAATTTCCCGATTATTAAAACTTTGGCTCAAATTTTTCTTAAAAAGTAGGAGGGCCAAGTACAACGTATTCTGGACTGTGAGCTGCCAGCCTGCCATCTCCAGATTAGGTGGGTTTTTTGTTTGTTTGTGTTGTTTTGTTTTGTTTTTGAGACAGAGTCTCCATCTGTAGCCCAGGCTGGAGTGCAGTGGCGAGATCTAGGCTCACTGCAACCTCTGCCTCCCGGGTTCAAGCAATTCTCTGCCTCAGTCTCCCGAGTACCTGGTATTACAGGCACCTACCACCATGCCTGGCTAATTTTTTGCATTTTTAGTAGAGATGGGGTTTCACCATCTTGGCCAGGCTGGTCTTAATCTCCTGACGTCGTGGTCTACCCACCTCAGCCTCCCAAAGCGCTGGGATTACAGGTGTAAGCCACCGTGTCCGGGCTTTTTTTTTTTTCTTTTCTTTTGAGACAGGGTCTCCTCTGTCACTCAGGCTGGAGTGCACTAGTGCGATAATGACTTACTGTAGCCTCAACCTCCCAGGCTCAGGTGATCCTCCTGCCTCAGCTTCTTGAGTAGCTGGGACCACAAGTCTGTGCCACCTGGCCTGGCTAATTTTTTAAAAAATTATCTGTAGAGGCAGGGTCTCCCTATGTTGCCCAGGCATACCTTGAGCTTGTGGGCTCAAGCGATCCGCCCACCTCAGCCTCCCAAAAGGCTGGCATTACAGACGTGAGCCACTGAGCTATCCCAGATTAGGTGTTTTTAAAGCTGTCTTTCTGCTGGAATGTTCTATGGAGAGAGCAGTGAACAGGGAAGGAGGAAAAGAAGAAGGGATAGCAGGAGTCACTGGGGAATCTCTTTGAGACCCAGTTGCGGGGAGAGGAAGAAGGTCTGGCCTTTCTACTCAGTAAGGCTCTGTTTAGGTTAACCCTTCTTTTCCTCTTGCTGCTGGCTCTCACTTGGGAGAAACGTAATGGCCCAAGCCTTAAGAGTGTCTGAGCAGATCTGAACTGCATGCTCCAGTGTGTTGCTGGAGAGGCGTGGCTGTGGCTCTGGTGGAAGGTGAGAGGGGAGACCACTATCCTAGTCTAGAAGAGGCCTGAGGCCTCGGCCTCCAAGAGGACCGCTCTCTGTGCCCTGGCCTGCTGCTATCCCTGGAGGAGCCCCGGATGTCCTTCCGACTGGGCCTGTGTGTCAGGGAGAGAGAATGTAGTCTGTGGTCAGTGTGGCTGGCAGCCAGCCTGGCAGATGGCCAGAACCCAGAGCTCGCTGGGAAGGAGCATAAACAAGGCGCCTGGTGGGCAGCTGTGACCCAGAATCTTCCAGCAGAAGAGCAGTGAGGAAGGAGGGGGGAATGCCAGGGGGACCCTCGCCCCGATTCCCCAGGCTGCCCAGCACTCAGGCATCAGTCAGGGACAGCATGGGGCTCCCTGAGGCACCGGGCAAGCAGCTGCCACAGAAAGAACTGGAGGAGCCCACTTTGAAGGGGTCTCCTGAGACTCTGTGATCCCATGACTCTGTGATTCAGCTTTTCTTACACTGTAGAGTCACTCTGTACAGAGGACATCTGTGGTTTTCCCTTGCCGAGCATCCACTCTGCTCCTTCTGTTAGCAGCACCCTAGTTATCCTCCGGGAAACCACCCCGCCTCCACTCAGTCCATGCGGTTTGGGTGAGGCTGACTTTGCTTTTCCACCCTCCCAGCTTGAGGGTGGGCATGTGTGCCCGGCCTGGCCAATCAGCAGACTTCTTCTTCTGCTGGATCCAGTGAAACCCAATCCAAGGGATTTTGCTGGAACTCTTGGGAAAAGTAAAATTGACAGCAATTGGCTTGATGCATATCTGGAGGTGCTGGGGGCCATCTGGTCCTGACATGGGAGGAGCTTGCCAGAGAATGAAGCCATCACAGAGAAAGACAGCATAGAGAGGGAGGGAGAGGACAACAGATTGATTAATTGACATGTGTAAGAGACAGAAAAATAACTGAGACTTGATGAAATGGTTTGAGCTCCTAGATCCAGCTTTAAATGATGTAGTTGGTATCTAATCCCTGGACTTTTCAGTGAAGGGGTCTAGAATATGCTGCCATGGCATAAAAATTATTATGAGCAGAAGGGATTTGAGTTCCTGAAATCTTTGATCTGCCTAAAAGTAGAGCCTCCCAAAAGAACTCAATTATAAATCCCCTCCCAGAGCAATCAGGGAAGATTGACTGTTATCTCTGAAGGCTAGAAGTCACCACACCTAAACAGACTGTCACAAAATTATCATATCTCCCATCTATTCTCCTAAGGGCCCATCTCTCTTTCCTAAAAGTCACGTGTTCCTGTAAGTGCCCTTCTCCCTTTTCCTTCCTCTATTAAGATGGTATATAAACTCCCAATTCTAATGCCTTCCTGAGTCACATTTTTGTGTGAATTCCTTTAAGGATAAGATTAAATGATTAAATCCGTCTCTTCTCATGCTAATCTGTCTTTTGTCAGTTTAATTTGCAGGCCCCCAGTCATTATCCTAACAAGGTAGAGGAAAACTTTTCCCTGCCCCGTCTCCACCTGCTCATCTAAGCTTCCATGACTCCAACATTCTACACAAGTCTATGATTTACCTAAGAACTAAATTCTACTTCATTTTCTTCAAGGCAGAAAGAAGCCAGCAAAGAACCTGGGGCCCTTTAAAACCCACCCTGATTGCTTGGAATTGGAGGGATTTGCCAATGAAATCTCAAGGATCCTGGCTGCATTTCTGCCCTGTCAGCACCCCCGGTGTTATCGGAAAAGGGGGTCCTGATACAGAACTCAAGAGAGGGTTCTTGGACCTCACACAACAAAGAGTTTGGGGAGAGTCCATAAAGTGAAAGCAAGT
The DNA here is from genome assembly GCF_000001405.40 of Homo sapiens. Classification (NCBI taxonomy): domain Eukaryota; kingdom Metazoa; phylum Chordata; class Mammalia; order Primates; family Hominidae; genus Homo; species Homo sapiens. The sequence continues at coordinate 160,166,966 of NC_000005.10, forward strand.
TTATTAAGGAAATAAAGGAATAAAAGAACGGCTACTCCATAGGCAGAGCAGCAGCTTGGGCTGCTGGACTAAGGATACTTATTGCTTGATTATATGCTAAACAGGGGGTGAATTATTCATGATTTTTCAGGAAAGGGGTGGGCAATTTCCGGAGCTGAGGGTTCCCCCTCTTTTAGACCATATAGGGTAACTTCCTGATGTTGCCGTGGCATTTGTAAACTGTCGTGGCACTGGTGGGAGTGTCTTTTAGCATGCTACTGCATTGTAATTAGTGTATAATGAGTGGTGAGGATGACCAGAGGTCACTTTCATGACCATCTTGGTTTTGTTGAGTTTTGGCCGGTGTCTTTACTGCAACCTGTTTTATCAGCAAGGTCTTTTATGACCTGTATCTTGTGCCGACCTCCTATCTCATCAACGCGTGACTAAGGATGCCTTAACTTTTTGGGAATGCAGCCCAGTAGGTCTCAGCATTATTTTACTCAGCTCCTGTTCAAGATGGAGTCGCTCTGGTTTGAATGCCTCTGACAACAGCATATACCCTAGGGAAACTTGATTTCTAGAGCACAAACCCGCAAAGAGAATGCCATGGGTCCTAGTAGTGTCCTTCATTCATCTGTCAATTCAATGCAAATGTATGGAACACCAACTGTTTTCAAAGATGAAGTTCTTATCCTCAGAGATCTTAGATTTTGGTGAGGAAAACAGACCAGTAAAAAAAATTTCATCAGAAAGTGATTAGTGCTATATTAGAGGTAAGTACCGAGAAGCAGCCTGTAGACCAGGGGGAGGCAGTAGGCATGACATAGGTGCTTCATGAAAGAAGTGACCTTTGAGCTGAATTCCACAGGATGAGGAGTCAGGCAGGAGAGAGGGTAGAAGAAGAGCTTTCCGGGCAAGCAAAGGAGCAATATGAGGTGCCAAATCCAAGGGATGGGAGAGGCTGTGGCTTGTAAGAGGAATTAGCTGGGGTAGAGTTGGTGTGGGTAGAGATTCCCTATTAGGGAACAGGGTGGCTGGCATGCTGTTTGACAAGCTGGTTTTGATGAGGGCTGCTTCCTACATGTAAGAACATACAGACAGCAAGCAACACAGCTCAGTCCCAAACCTGAGCCCCGGGCAAAGCCTGACTCATGTCCAAAGAGTAGAAAACAAGCTGGTGGATCCCCAGTCAGGGTTCCAAGCCAAGGGGTACAGCAGAGCCTCTGAGCATACGTATTGGTGAGCTCCATGCCCACAGTGGGCACTTGGACCTTTCCCTATTGGAAATTACTGTAGGCCACTAAAGGCAGGGCCCAGCGATACTTTGCAAAAATCTTCATTCTCTTCTCCCGCTCCCCAATTCCTCCTAGATACCCCTTTTTCCCATGCATGTCCTTCAGCTCTGCAGAGCCTATGAGGACAGTAAATGACCATGTGTAAAAGTAGGTGCTTTGTGGAGCCAGGCAACCCCAGGTTCCACTCCTTGCTGGGCCATTATTGAGAGTGTGACCTTTTTTTTTTTCCCCTTTTGGCTTTTTTCTGGGGGTTGGGGTGAAGGACACAGTCTCACTCTGTTGCCGAGGCTGGAGTGCAGTGGTGTGAGCATAGCTCACTGCAGCCTTGAACTTCTGGGCTCAAGCAATCCTCCTGCCTCAGCGTCCCATGTAGCTGTTACTACAGGTATGCACCGCCATGCCCAGCTGATTTCTTTATTTTGTAGAGACAAGGTCTTGCTGTGTTGCCTAGGCTGGTCTTGAACTTCTGGCCTCAGGCAATCTGGCCTCCCAAAGTACTGGGATTACAGGCATGAGCCACTGTGCCTGGCATGAGTGTGACCCTTTTTTTTTTTAATTTAAAATTTTTTAAAATTTTATGTATTTATTTTCTGAAACGGGGTCTCACTCTCTTACCCAGCCTGGAGTGCAGTGGCGCAATCTCGGCTCACTGCAACCTCCGCCTCCTGGGTTCAAGTGATTCTCCTGCCTCAGCCTCCCAAGTAGCTGGGAAAGTAGGTGCCTGCCACCATGCCTGGCTAATTTTTGTATTTTTAGTAGAGACAGGGTTTTGCCATTTTGGTCAAGCTGATCTTGAACTCCTGACCTCAAGTGATCCGCCTGCCTCAGCCTCCCAAAGTGCTGGGATTACAGGCGTGAGCCACTGCGCCCAGCCAAGTGTGACCTTCTGACACAGTTTCTCTGTATCTCTCTCCTCCTCTGCAGAATGAAGATTATAGTACAGATTACATGAAGTAATGCATATATAGTGAAACAGTCATAAATTCACTCATTGACTCTTTTGTCTGTGGAGCATTCCTTTCTTTGGGAATCCATGCTATTCATTCCATGTACTCTGTTGAGACTTTCAGTCAGAGCCTTGGCCTCTTCCTGGGCACAGGGTAGGGGCACAGACCATGCCCAGCCAATCATGAGATCCCCTTTTTGGCAACAGTGATTGGTCCCTGGGGTGGGCTGAAGCCTCAAGAAAGCCAACCAGAGCCTGCCTTGGGAAAGGACTGCTTCTTCCTGGGGTTACTGAGCTGGGAGAATATAAATCCCGAGAGAGCCTGTCTATCTGTGGATGAAGTCACTTCTTAGAAGGAAATACAGCCAAGATGACGAAGATGATGTAGACATCATCTTGCATTGCTTGAAGCCAGATTCACTTCCTGACTTCCTAATTCTATGAGCCAGTTCGTTAGTTGGGTTTTCCTTATTTAGTTGGGGTTCCTTTACTTGTAGTCATAAGAATCTTAAATCATTTGGCATGCAAAGCCCTGAGCACAGTATCTGCCACATACGAAGGGCTCAAAGAATTGTCACTACAGTGAGGAGGGTGGAAATGATCTTATTCCCCCTTCATCACCACCGTTTTTACTCCCAGAACACAGTTTCACTTCTTTTCCTTCTGGTCTGCTGGCTGTGTGGGCTTCCCATTGGCAGGAATGGGGTAGGGGTCAGGGATACAGTGACAGGCAAGCCAAACTACCCAGTGCCCACCAGACAGACAGCATGGGAGCTGTGGCCACACCACCAACGTCCCCAGCGTGTCCACTGAATGTGATTGGAATCAACTGCACGGTAGAGCAGGAATAAGCTGGAGTCAGACTGACCTAGTTTAAATTCCATCGCTAGAGCTGTGTGACCTATAAAAGGTCACTTTATCTTTCCAGGCTTCTGTTTTTTTTTTTCTATAAAACCAAAACAATAATGGCCCCTGTTTCTCCAAGGGAAGTCATGAGGATTAAATGAGGAAAAAAAGAGAAACCTGGTATTAATATTGTGGTATTAATATGTTCCGGGCATTGGTCTAAGCACTTTGCAAGCTATTAGTCTAATTAACCTTCACAACAAGCCTGGGTGGCAGGTATTACTATTCTTCCCACTTAAAAGATAAAGGAATTGTGGCCGGGCGTGGTGGCTTACATCTGTAATCCCAGCACTTTGGGAGGCTCAGGCGGGTGGATCACCTGAGGTCAGGAGTTCAAGACCAGCCTGGCCCACATGGTGAAACCCCCTCTCTACCAAAAATAAAAAAATTAGCCAGGCGTGGTGGTTGATGCCTGTAATTCCAACTACTAGGGAGGCTGAGGCAGGAGAATCGCTTGAACCTAGGAGGCAGAGGTTGCGGTGAGCCGAGATCACGCCATTGCACTCCAGCCTGGGCAACAAGAGCGAAACTCTGCCTCAAAAAAAAAAAAAAAAAAAAAAAAAAAATGAAGGAATTGAGGTTAGTGTGCCCTGAAGTAGAACCCAGCAGTTGTGGTACATCATGTGATATCTGAAAAGCAAGGGAAGGGGCAACAACTGGGGGCCCTGATGGTGCCTCCTTCCCTTTACATTTTCATATCTAGAAGCCTCTACAGACAGCTCTACATTGCTGGGTGCAGACCCGCCATAAAAAGCAAGCTCTCTCCTCTTTTGAGATGGAGTCTTGCTTTGTCGCCCAGGCTAGAGTGCGATGGCATGGTCTTGGCTCACTGCAACCTCCGCCTCCCAGGTTCAAGCAGTTCTCCTGCCCCAGCTTCCTGAGTAGCTGGGACTACAGGTGCATGCCACCACACTGGCTAATTTTTGTATTTTTAAAAGTAGAGACAGGGTTTCACTATGTTGGCCAGGCTGGTCTTGAACTCCTGACCTCAAGTGATCCACCCGCCTCGGCCTCCCAAAGTGCTGGGGTTACAGGCATGAGCCACCTCGCCTGGCCCTTCTCTCTCTTTTTTTTTATTTTTATTTTTTTGAGACGAAGTCTTGTCTGTTGCCTAGGCTGGAGTGCAGTGGCACGATCTCAGCTCACTGCAACCTCCGCCTCCTACGTTCAAGTGATTCTCCTGCCTCAGCCTCCTGAGTAACTGGGACTACAGGCACCCACCACTACACCCGGCTAATTTTTGTATTTTCAGTAGTGACGGGGTTTCACCATATTGGCAAGGCTGGTCTCAAACTCATGATCTGCCCTCCTCAGCCTCCCAAACTGCTGAGATTACAGGCGTGAGCCAATGCGCCCAGCCGGCCCTTCTCTTTAAAGGGAATAGGAGCAGCCTAAATCACCCCAGCAACTGCTTTGGGGTCTGAGAGAAGCAGATGCAGCAGTTGTTGAAAATCAGGAGGCACTTAAGTAAGGTGAGATCCCAGCTCCATATGACGTTCTTTTGCAAAAGCCTTGTGGGGTCCCCTTATTCCCCTTACACATGCAGACCTCTGTATGACCTTAGTGAGTAGCTGGGAAGCAGCTGCTACCTGCTGTTCTGGAAGCAGGCAGGATCCCACAGGTGACAGTATGAGTAAAGGTAAAAGATCCTGGCCAGAGCACAAGAGATATGGGGTCTGAGCCTGCTCTGGCAGGATAGAGCATAGCTGGATATGGGAACACTTCCCTTTGACGCAGCATTCTGTCTCTAGGGATTTATCACACAGATAATCTTGCAAAAGCGCATAAAGACTTCAGAAGAAGGCTATTTGCTGCAGCATGGATTGTGATTAGCAGAAGACTAGAAAAAAAAGACCAAGTGGCCAGTAGGAGGTGATTTAATTAAACAAATTATGATGCACCTGAACAATGGAATGCTCTGTGCTCTTACAAGAAATGAGGTTCATGTAGATGTGCTGAAACAGGCTGACATATGAGACAAGTTGTTAGTGAAAAATGCAAGGTAAGAACAGTGTGTCCGTTATACTCACATTTGTGGGGGGTGCTAAGAAGAGGTGTTTGTGTGTATTTATGAAATCATCTTTTGCTATCTAAATCTATTTGGTTTCTGAATTCAGATATCTAGGGTTCAGAAAGCAAGGAATGCTACATTACTGGAATCTTTGACTCCTACATTTCATTTCAGACAGCAAACAGCAAGAGTCAGATAGCAGATAGTTCATCCAAGAGGTGGTCTGAATCCATTTAGTTTTCTGCGTTGGAATAGTATTTGGATAACTAGAGTAGATAGTAGAGACATCTGTATATGTATAATTCTCACACCTATTTATATGTGGACTCTCTGGGAAGACACACAAGAAATTGATTAGTAATGATTTTTGCAACAGGGAGTAAGTCGGCCCTGAGGGGACAAAGTGAAAGGCAAACTTATGTTCTCAGTTTTCATATATGTTGTGGTCATTTTTTTATTTTTCAGATGGAGTCTTGCTTTTATCGCCCAGGCTGGAGTGCAATGGCGCAATTTCAGCTCACTGCAATCTCTGCCCCCTGGGTTCAAGCGATTATTCTGCCTCAGCCTCCTGAGTAGCTGGGATTACAGGCGCCCGCTACCATGCCCAGCTAATTTTTGCATTTTTAGTAGAGATAGGGTTTCACCATGTTTGCCAGGCTGGTCTTGATCTCTTGACCTCAGGTGATCTGCCTGTCTTGGCCTCCCAAAGTGTTGGGATTACAGGCGTGAGCCGCTGTGCCTAGCCGTCGTGATGGTTTTAAAACATGGTCCCAGACTTCTTTGAGAGGTGAGGTCTATGTCTTTGCCCATTGAATCTGAGTAGGTTTGCAATTGGTATAGGCCAATCAGGAATGGCTGGGGTGACATTTTATGACTTTTTTTTGTTCTTATTTGAGACGGAGTCTTGCTCTGTTGCCCAGGCTAGAGTGCAGTGGTGCGATCTCAGCTCACTGCAACCTCCGCCTCCCAAGTTCAAGCAATTCTCCTGCCTCAGCCACCCGACTAGCTGGTATTACAGGCACCTGCCACTGTGCCTGGCTGATTTTTGTATTTTTAGTAGAGATGGGGTTGAACCATCTTGGCCAGGCTGGTCTCAAACTCTTCACCTCATGATCCACCCGCTTCAGCCTCCTAAAGTGCTGGGATTACAGTTGTGAGCCACTGCGCCCGGCCCATTTTACGACTTTTAAGGCTAGGTCATGGAAGGGTCATGCAGTTGCTTCTCGTTCTCTTGGATTGCTTGCTTTTGGCATGCTCTCTCTCTGATCCTCACCACCATGCTGGGAGAAGCCCAAGCCAGATGCAGCAGCCCCACAGAGGCACTGCAGTTCACATTCCCACCTCAGCTCCCCGCTCACGGCTAATATCATATGCCAGCCATGTGAGTGTGCATCTTGAAAGTTAAATCCCAGGCCGGGCATGGTGGCTCACGCCTGTAATCCCAGCACTTTGGGAGGCCAAGGCAGGTGGATCATGAGGTCAGGAGTTCAAGACCAGCCTGGCCAAGATGGTGAAACCTATCTCTACTAAAAATACAAAAATTAGCCAGGCATGGTGGCAGGCACCTGTAATCCAAGCTACTCGGGAGGCTGAGGCAGAGAATTGCTTGAACCCAGGAGGTGGAGTTTGCAGTGTGCCAAGATTGTGCCACTGTGCTCCAGCCTGGGCAACAGAGCAAGACTCTGTCTCAAAAAAAAAAAAAAAAAAAAAAAAGTTAAATCCTAGGCCAGGTGCGGTGGCTCACACCTGTAATCCCAGCACTTTGGAGGGCCAAGGCAGGTGGATCATCTGAGGTCATGAGTTCAGGACCAGCCTCTCCAACAATGTAAAACCCCATCTCTACTAATAATACAAAAATTAGCCAGGTGTGGTGGCACATGTCTGTAATCCCAGCTACTAGGGAGGCTGAGGCAGGAGAATCACTTGAACCTGGGAGGCAGATGTTGCAGTGAGCCGAGATCGTGCCATTGCACTCCAGCTTGGGCAACAAGAGTGAAACTCTTGTCTCCAAAAAAAAAAAAAAAAAAAAAAAAAAGTTCAGTCCCAGTCAAACATTCAGATGATGTTTTTCCCATGTGACTGCAACAACACCTGAGACCCCAGGTCTCATCTGAACTGGGTCAAGACATAAAACCACAAGAGATCATAATACATTGTTGTTTTAATCCACTACACTCTGGTGTGTGTGTGAATATTAACTGGAACATTTACATTACCACATGCATTACCTATTCGAAATTCAGAGTATCTTCCTTGTAAACATACAAGAGATGGTACTAAATGTTAAATGCACAGTATCTGTTTTATTCCTCACAAGATACTGCCATTATCCCTGTTTCACAGATGAGAAAACCGAGGCTCAGAGAGGTTCTTCTACTTGCCCAAAGTCACACAGCTCATAAGAGGCATGCCTGCAATATGAAACCAAGTGGCTTCTCAGCTCCAGGGCTGCCATTCATGAGTCCCCACTCAAGTCCGTGCCCACTGTAAACCTGAGTTTCCTCAGTGAGCACTTTGGAATGCACGAGGGGTAGAAAACTCAAAGCCACAGGGGCCTGGTCAGTAACACAAAAGGGCGAAGTGGGCACAGTTGTTGGCTCTGTCTGGAGCAGTTTCAACTTAGCTCAGGGAAAGGCCAGCCCAGAATTGCCAGATTTTGAATTTTTTTTTTTTTTTTTTTTTGAGACAGGGTTTCACACTGTCACCCAGGCTAGAGTGCAGTGGCGTGACCTTGGCTCACTGCAGCCTCAACCTCCTGGGCTCAGGCAATCTTCCCACCTTAGCTTCCTGACTAGCTGAGACCAGAGGCACGCAACACCACACCTAGCTAAGTTTTCCATTTTTTATAGAGACAGGGTCTCGCTATGTTGTCCAGGCTAGTGTCGAATTACTGGGCTCAAGAAGTCCACCTGCTTCAGCCTCTCAAAGTGCTGGGATTACAAGCAACACCCACTGTCCCTGGCCAGATCTTTGGAATTTTTAAGAGAAATCAGAAATCAGATTTTTATGTGCAACCTATTTCTGTTTAAATGTTGGCAACTAATTCTTTTTTTTTTTTTTTTTTAACTGTGCAGACTGAGAAGCAGAACAAAAACAACAGCAAAGGGCTGCTGATTTGTCTTTCTGGACTAGCAGATCTCTAAGGAGTCTTTGGCTCAGACATCTTGACTTTCAGCACAGTCTCTGGGGAGACAACATAAATTCCACTCCCAAGAGGTGGACATGGGAGAAAGGAGAGGGCAGTGGGGAAGATGGAGGTATCCAGCCTCCCCTCATTAAGCCCCTCCAGAGGTTATTTGGGGAATAGGGGTTGCTGGGAAGCCAGGTCACAGGGAGCTCGAGAGGTGCGGGAAGGCAGCTGGGCCTGCGATAAATCAGCCGCCATAACCTGCCCGCTTTCCCAGAGTCAGTCTGCTCCCTGGGGTGCAGGGAGCTGGCAGGGCACCAGGGGAGGCTGAATTTCCTTTGCAATGGGAACCCCCCCACCTCCGCCGCCCACACCAGCCATTTTCTCCACCTCTCCTTTCTCACTGCTCTTCCAATGGAAACCCTGCCCTCCCTTCCTCCCCCAATCGACCCTTCTTAGCTGAGGGGGGATTGATCCAGACCTTGCCTGTCTTTCTGGGCCTCCCTTCCCTCCCCCTCAGTGGCTTCGATTCCCTCCTGAGCCTACGGCCCATTCCGTCTTCAGCAGACTTGTCTTCCTCTGAGATCCAGCCTGGCAGAGAGCAGCCACGTGATTGATGAGCTAAGATGCTGGGCTGGCAGGCGGGTGGCAGCCAGCCAGAGACAAGGCTCTCACAAGATAGCAGAGCTGCCCCGGGGAGAGCCCGCAGCTACCGGGATGCGATGCTCCCTGGGGTTGCCCCCTTAGTCCCCCCATGCCTGGGTTGGTGGTGGCAGCACTCTGGGCAGAGCAGGTAGCCACAAGTGTCACTGGTACAGTACCTGGTGCGCACTGGTCCCTCAATGAATGAGTGCTCTCTTCTTTCCCCACTCCAAAACAGAGGCCCAAGTAGATGAACACAGTGAACTTCTTAAAGCTGGAAATGTCTGTCATTCAGTCATGCCACTCAGTTCAGGTGTTTGTAATTTGCCTATTCATTCATTCATTCATGTGTGCAACATGAAGCTTTGCTTGTGGAGGATCAGCACTCCATTGTCACTGCGAGTGTGGTCTTGGGAGGCAGGCTGGTTTGAATCCAGGCTCCATTCCTTCCTAGCTGCCTGACCTTGGGCAGGTCTCTTCACCTGCCTAAGTTGCAGCTTCTCTCAAGGTTGCCATTGCAAGATTCAGCCAGATAATACATGTAAACTGCTTAGAACAGAGCCTAGCATAGAAAAGAGATCAATAAATTCATTCATTCAACGACTGATAGCTGAAGGCCTACATTGGGCCAGGTTCTGGGGCCACAGTCACTAACAAGACAGGTAAGGTCTCTGATCTCAAGCACTTCATCTTTGAGAGAGGAAAGACTGACAGACACATAACTGAATGAAAAAACAAGGACATCCTAGGGAGAGCTAAGAGGATGTAAAATGGCGAGGGGTGATGGAGGGGGCAGTAGTCATGAAGGCCCTTTCAGGGAGGGGACTTGGGAGCTGAGTTTGGACGAGGAAGCGGCTGTCAGGTGAAAACCTGGGGAAACAGCATTCTAGCTAGAGGGAACAGCACATGTTCCTGGAGGCAGGAATAAACCTTGGAATATGTAAGAATCAGAAAAAGAAAAGAGAGACCACTGTGGAGAAGCAAAAGGAAGGGGAGCGTATAGGAGATGAGCTTGGAGACACAGACAAGCCAGATCAGCTAGGGCTTGCAGGCTGGCATAAAGGTTTTATTTTAAGCACAGTGGGAAGTGACTGTGCTTTTGTTTTTGTTTGCTTTTTGGTCTGTATAGCTGGAAAAAAAAGGAATTAATTGCCAACACTTTAAGCACAGGAGCAGTCTGACGGGGGAAATAGGAGAGAGAGCAGCTACCATGGTGGCTTGGGCTCCGGTGGTGGCCATAGCAAATTTAGGAGGGTTTGGGAGGCACAGGGACAGGTCTTTTCCTGGTTACCTGGGAGGAGGGTGATCACAATCAAGGTGTCCATTCTATTATCTCATTTGAGCCTCCTAATGAATGCTGGTGTAGGTCATGTACTGAGCTAGGGAAGCCTGGAGAGACTGTTTCGCAGCCTTTGTGGATAATGGTGATTTTGCTTTATGCAGTGAGTTAAGAATAGAGGGTACAATGCTTACAGGAGGTGATCTCTGTCCTCGAGAATCTAAGGTTTAGTTGGGGAGTCAGAGAAATGAGCAGGCAATGACAATCCAGTGTGACAGCTGCTGTGACAGGGAGGGAAAGGGAGCTTGGTGTCCAGGGGATGCACCTACCCAAACATGGGAGTGCTGGCTTCCTGCTCTTGCCTCTTCTCTGGCCTCCTCTGATCCAGCCACACTGGTCTGTCCATTCTTCTTCTTTTTTATTTTTTGAGACAGAGTCTTGCTCTGTCGCCCAGGTTGGAGTGCAATGGCACGATCTCGGCTCACTGCAACCTCCACCTCCTAGGTTCAAGAGATTCTCCCGTCTCATCCTCCCTAGTAGCGGGGATTACAGGCACGTGCCATCATACCCAGCTAATTTTTTGTATTTTAGTAGAGACGGGGTTTTACCATGTTGCCCAGGCTGGTCTCAAACTCCTGAGCTCAGGCAATCCACCTGCTGCGGCCTCCCCAAGTGCTAGGATTACAGGCATGGGTCACTGATCCTAGCCCCAGTCTTTCCATTTTTCTAAAGAGGCATATCCTTCCTGTCTCCCAGCTGTGCATATGCTGCTGCCTCCTCCCAGAGTGCTCCTACCCCACCTATCTCAGCCCTTGTTTCTGTCCCTCCCATGTTCACCCTAACTTAAATTCCGCACCCCCCTTTTTTTTTGAGGTAGAGTCTTGTTCTGTTGCCCAGGCTGGAGTGAAGTGGCGCGATCTCGGCCCACTGCAACCTCTGCCTCCCAGGTTCAAGCAATTCTCCTGCCTCAGCCTCCTGAGTAGCTGGGACTACAGGCATGCGCCACCAAGCCTGGCTAACTTTTGTGTTTTTAGCAGAGACGGGGTTTCACTATGTTGGCCAGGCTGGCTTCAAACTACTGGCCTCAAGTGATCTGCCCACCTCAGCCTTCCAAAGTGCTGGGATTATAGACTTGAGCCACCATGCCTGACCTCCTTTTTCTTTTTCTCTCTTTTTTTTATTTTTTTTGAGATAGAGTTTCACTCTTGTTGCCCAGGCTGGAGTGCAATAGCGCGATCTTGGCTCACCGCAACCTCCACCTCCCGGGTTCAAGCTATTCTCCTGCCTCAGCCTCCTGAGTAGCTAAGATTACAGGCGCATGCCACCATGCCTGGCTAATTTTGTATTTTTAGTAGAGACGGGGTTTCTCCATGTTGGCCAGGCTGGTCTCGAACTCCTGACCTCAGGTGATCTGCCCACTTTGGCCTCCCAAAGTGCTGGGATTACAGGCATGAGCCACTGCGCTCCAGCGACCTCCTTTTCTTAAATGAAATTGTTTAATTGACTGTCCCCTCCCATAAAAATCTGTAAACTGCTCAGTGATGTGCACCTGTAGTCCCAGCCACTCAGGGGTCTGAGGCAGGAAGTTCACATGAGCCCAGGAGTTCAAGTCTAGCCTGAGCAACATAGCAAGACCCTCTTATTTATTTATTTATTCATTTATTTATTTATTTATTTATGAGACTGAGTTTCACTCTTGTTGACCAGGCTGGAGTGCAGTGGTACGATCTCGACTCACTGCAACATTTACCTCCAGGGTTCAAGCGATTCTCCTGACTCAGCCTCCTGAGTAGCTAGGATTACAGGTGCACGCCACCATGCCCGGCTAATTTTTGTATTTGTAGTAGAGATAGGGTTTCACCATGTTGGCCAGGCTGGTCTCAGACTCCTGACCTCATGATCTGCCCATCTCGGCCTCCCGAAGTGCTGGGATTGCAGGTGCGAGCCACTGTGTCCAGTCTGGTTTTTGTTTTTTTATTATTATTTTTTAACCTTTTTTTGAGACCGAGTCTCCCTCTATTGCCCAGGCTAGAGTGTGATGGCACGATCTAGGCTCACTGCAACCTGCACCTCCCAGGTTCAAGTGATTCTTCTGCTTCAGCCTCCTAAGTAGCTGGGATTACAGGCACATGCTACCACGCCCGGCTAATTTTGGTATTTTTAGTAGAGGCGGGGTTTCACCATGTTGGCCAGGCTGGTCTCGAACTCCTGACCTCAGGTGATCTGCTGCCTCAGCCTCCCAAAGTGCTGGGATTACAGGCATGAGCCCCCATGCCCAGCAGGAGAGGGGGATGGGCGTGGTGGCTCACACCCATAATCCCAGCACTTTGGGAGGCCGAGGCAGGCAGATCACGAGGTCAGGAGTTCGAGACCAGTCTGACGAACATGGTGAAACCCCGTCTCTACTAAAAATACAAAAATTAGAGTCTGGGTGTGGTGGCTCATGACTGTAATCCCAGTACTTTGGGAGGTCGAGACGAGCTGATCACGAGGTGAGGAGTTCGAGACCAGCCTGGCCAACATGGTAAAACCCTATCTCTACTAAAAATACAAATATTAGACGGGTGTGGTGGTGTGCACCTGTAATCTCAGCTACTTGGGAGGATGAGGCAGGAGAATCTCTTAAAACTGGGAGACAGAGGTTGCAGTGAGCCGAGATCTCGCCACTGCACTCTGGCCTTGGTAAAAGAGTGAAACTCTGTCTCAAAAAAAAAAAAAAAAAAAATTAACTGGGCATGGTGATGGGCGCCTGTAATCCCAGCTACTCAGGAGGCTGAGGCAAGAGAATCGCTTGAATCCGGGAGGCAGAGGTTGCAGTGAGCCAAGACCCACCACTGCACTCCAGTGGCTCACGCCTGTAATCCCAGCACTTTGGGAGGCCAAGGCAGGCAGATCACGAGGTCAGAAGATCGAGACCATCCTGGCTAACATGGTGAAACCCTGTCTCTACTAAAAATACAAAAAATTAGCTGAGCATGGTGGCAGGCACCTGTAGTCCCAGCTACTCGGGAGGCTGAGGCAGGAGAATGGTGTGAACCTAGGAGATGGAGCTTGCAGTGAGCCGAGATCACACCACTGCACTCCAGCCTGGGCGATAGTGAGACTCTGCCTCAAAAAAAAAAAAAAAAAAAAAAGATGGGGATGCGGGGGTGACAGCCATGATGGCTCATGCCTGTAATCCCAGCACTTTCGAAGGCTGAGGCAGGTGAAATGCTTGAGTCCAGGATTTTGAGACCAGCCTGGGCAACAAAACAAGAGCCTATCTCTACAAAATATAAAAAATTAACTGGGCGTGGTGGCACACATGCCTGTAGTCCTAGCTACTCAGGAGGCTGAGCAGGAGGATTGCTTGAGCCTAGGAGGCTGAGGCTGCAGTGAGATATGACTATGCCACTACACTCTCGCCTGGGCAGCAGAATGAAACCTTGTCTCAAAAAATAAAAATAGGCCAGGCACAGTGGCTCATGCGTGTAGTCTCAGGAGGTTGGGAGGCCAACATGGGCCGATGATTTGAGGTCAGGAATTCAAGACTTCCTGGCCAATGTGGTGAAACCCCATCTCTACTAAAAATACAAAAATTAGTCAGGCATGGTGGCGTATGCCTGTAGTCCCAGCTACTCTGGAGGCTAAGGCAGGATAATCAATTGAGCCCAGGAGGCGAGGGTTGCAGTGAGCCAAGATCGTGCCCTTGCACTCCAGCCTGGGTGACAGAGCAAGACTCCATTTTTAAAAAATAAAAAATAAAATAAAAATAAGAAATAAAACAAAAATCTGCAAGCTCCTATAAAACAGGGACAGAGTATATCTTGTTCACTCCTAGATCCCAATCCCACAGACTGGCACAAGGTAAGTGTTCTCTCCATGTGAATTGAATGAATGAATGCATGCATGAATGAATGAATGAAGGTGAGACTTGAAAAATAAATTGAGAGCTAAGATAATGCCAGGCATAGGGAATGGCTTGTACAAGGGCCAGGAGTCAAGAGAAAATGGTATAGTCAGAGAACCGAAAGGACTGAAAGATCTGAAACCATTTTTATCTTCTCTGGGCCCTTAGCCATGCACACAGGGGATCTTCAGGAAGTGCGGAAGCCTTCCTTCTCTTTCCACCTCTGTTTTGTGAATAGAAAAACAGTAGCAGGGCCGGGCATAGTGGCTCACCCCTGTAATCCCAGCACTTTGCAAGGCTGAGGTGAATGGATCGCTTGAGCTCAGGAGCTCAAGATCAGCCTGGGCGATATGGTGAAACCACATCTCTACAAAAACTATAAAAATCAACCAAGTGTGGTGGTGTGCACCTGTAGTCCCAGCTGCTTTGGAAGCTTAGGTGGGAGGATCTCTTGAGCCTGGAAGGTTGAGGCTGCAGTGAGTTGTGTTCAAGCCACTGCATTCCAGCCTGGGTGACAAAGTGAGACCCTGTCTCAAAAAGAAAAGAAAAGAAAAGAAAAATAGTAGCAGGATGAGATGGTGCCTGAGAGTTCCTAGGACAGGAACTGTGCCTCATTCACCCCTGATCCTCAGTGCCTGGTATAGGCTGGCACATAGTAGGTATTCAGTAGGTTTTGGAATTGAATGACGCTGAAAAGACATTCAGCTCTCAGGTGCAAAAGCAATGCTATATGATAATTCCAGAATGTCAGCTCCAGCAAGTTCTTCATAGACCAACCTGCCTCATGTTACAAATGGGGAAACCGAGCCCCAGAGTGAGAAGTGGATTTGTGCAAACTCACACAGCAAGTCAGTGGCAGAGTTGGTATGGGAGCCCAGATATATCCCGACTGCTGGTTCAGATCGTCTCCCACTCTGTCCCACCATCTATCAATCCACCTCCTGACCCTTCCTGTCCTCTGACTTTCAAGATGTCAGAAACCAGCAGATTGGAGCCAACAGGAAATCCCCAAGTGCCTTTTAGTAGGGTGAAGGCATTAGGTTACAGGGCGGGCAGATGGGGCGTCCCATTAGTGAACTGACACTGGGTTCCTGTAGGTTCCATTAGTGTCTCCGATATTGACCCATTAGCACCCACTGAAAGCCGGAAGCACAGGGACCAGGGACCTCAGAGGGGATGAGTCACCGAGTAAATCAGCTTTGATGAGGCTGAGGGAGCAGAGTTGGAGAGACAGAGGAGTCTTTCCTCTTTCCTTGGAAAGTGGGCTCAAAAGCAGTAAGAGAGTGCCCAGCAGTATCAGGGATGATAAGGACCAGGCACGACTCAGAATCATGGCATTTCGGACCTCCAGAGAACCCGATGAACTGACCCATTCTACAGATGTAAAAACCGAGCATCTGAGAGAAGAAATTTGTCTCTGAGTTACTCATGGAGAACCAAGGTTTCCTGCCTGTCACACTATATTATGGGACTCAAGTGTGCCCTAGGAATTACAGCCAAAACTACAGTCACTGTGCTAACTGCTTTACAAACATTATTTCATTTTTTAATTATTATTATTATTATTATTTTTGAGACAGGGTTTTGCTCTGTCACCCAAGCTGGAGTGCAATGGTGTGATCTTGGCTCACTGAAACCTCCGCCTCCCGGGTTCAAGCGATTCTCCTGCCTCAGCCTCCCGAGTAGCTGGGATTACAGGCGCCCGCAATCACGCCCGGCTGATTTTTGTATTTTTAGTAGAGACGGGTTTTCGCCATGTTGGGCAGGCTGGTCTCAAACTGCTGACCTCAGGTGATCCACCCGCCTCAGCCTCCCAAAGTGCTGGGATTACAGGTGTGAACCACCATGCCCGGCCTATTTCATTTTATTCTCATAGCAATCCTGGGAGATAGGTACCATCAGCCCGATTTACAAAGCAAAACTGTCATTCTTCTATGCAGCAGAAACTGTCTGCTGAGCCCTCCAAGGGCATGCTTTTTATTGCAAACACTTCAAGGTGATATTATCATCCTGTTTCACAGGTGGAAAACCCAAGGCACAGTGAGGCCAAGTGACCTGCCCCATGTCACACACATAAATAATGTCAGAAACTCCTGACTGTTTCAATGCAAAGCTAAAGCTCTCAGCCTATCCACTACATGAATGTGATGAACACCACCCCCACATTCCACACTATGACAGCTGTGTAATGTGCCACCTCCGTGCTTGGCATCCAGACTGATTCATCCACTTATTCATCCGTTCATTCACTCATTCAACACACATAATATTGAGCTCCTGCCATGTGCCAGGCCCCTGATTACAAGACCAATGTAGCTTACCTTCCACTTGGGGGACAGGACAGACAGACAAGCAATTCCAGCATGGTACAGGTGAACATTGAATGTTATGGCATGATCTAGACATATGGGGCAGAGAAGGCCAAGTTGAGTCTTGCAGGACAAATAAGTGTTGTCCAGGCAAAGAGAGGAGCCAGGACCAGCACATACAGAGGCCAGAGGCATACAAGAGCACCCAAGCAGCACCACAGGGAAGGGGGGATGAGAGGTGGAACTGCAGATTCCAGAAGTGGCTGGAGTTTGGGGTTTAGCCAGGAGACAAATGGGAGCCACTGCGTGGTATGAGGCATGGTAGCATGGATTTGTACATAGAAAGCTTGGGGTCTGGAGGAAGGATGCAGTGGGGTAAGAGGTAGATGCCTAGAGGCTGGTTTGGTGGAGTTTCCAGAGATAAGGAAGGTCTTTAATGATTGATTAGATCTAGGAGTGAGAGGTATGGGGAGGTCTGGTTTCTTTTCTTTTCTTCTTTTCTTTTCTTTTTTTTTTTTTTTTTTGAGACGGAGTCTTGCTCTGTAGCCCAGGCTGGAGTGCAATGGCGTGATCTCAGCTCACTGCAATCTCCGCCTCCTAGGTTCAAGTGATTCTCCTGCCTCAGCCTCCCGAGTAGCTGGGATTATAGACACCCACCACCATGCCCAGCTAATTTTTGTATTTTTAGTAGAGATGGGGGTTTCACCATGTTGGCCAGGTTGGTCTCAAACTCCTGACCTCAGGTGATCAGCCTGCCTCCGCCTCCCAAAGTGCTGGGATTACAGGCATCAGCCACCATGCCCAGCTTGCTTGCTTGCTTGCTTGCTTCCTTCCTTTCTTCCTTCCTTTCCTCCCTCCCTCCTTCCCTCCCTCCATCCTTCCCTCCCTCCCTCCTTCTTTTCTTTTCTTTTTTTCTTTTTTCTTTTTTTCTTCCTTTGTTTCTTCTTTTTGAGACAGGGGCCAGGGGTGTTTCATTCTGTCACCCAGGCTGGAGTGTAATGGCACAATCAGCTCACCACAACCTCAAATTCCTGGGCTCAAGCAATCCTCCTGACTCAGCCTCCCAAGTAGCTGGGACCATAGCCGCGTGCCACCATTCTTGGCTAATTTTTTTGTAGCGATGGGGTCTTGCTATCTTGTTCAGGCTGGTCTTGAACTCCTGACTTAAAGAGATCCTCCAACTTTGGCCTCCCAAAGTGCCGGGATTACTGGAGTGAGCCATGGTGTCTGGCTGTGGGAGGCCTGGTTTCTAACAGGCATGATAGGCACATGGTGGGCGAGGGCTGGGAATGAGACCCCTGCAAGAGAAGTCTGGGGAAGAGAGGTAAGTTCTATTTTAGACTCAGTGAGGGTGAGAGGCCTAAGGGTGTCCCAGGGCCTGGATTTCAGGCCATTCTCTACAGAGCTTGAAAGGTTTCTAAAAAAAAAAAAAAAAAAAAAAAGTGCACACAAGCTTCGTGATCACTCACAGACATCCCTGAGGAGAGGTCTAGTTAGTGGCTGGACACAGGAATCTGGGGTTCAGAGAAGTCAGAACTGAAGAAATAAACATGGGGTGATTGGCTTATATGTACTTTTTTTTTGAGAAGGAGTTCCGCTCTTGTTGCCCAGGCTGGAGTGCAATGGCACAATCTCGGCTCACTGCAACATCTGCCTCCTGGGTTCAAGCGATTCTCCTGCCTCAGCCTCCCGAGTAGCTGAGATTACAGGCATGAGCCACCATGCCCAGTTAATTTTGTTTTTTTTGTTTGTTTGTTTTTGTTTTTGTTTTTTTTTGAGACGGAATCTCGCTCTGTCACCCAGGCTGGAGTGCAGTGGTGCGATCTCGGCTCACTGCAAGCTCCGCCTCCCGGGTTCATGCCATTCTCCTGCCTCAGCCTCCTGAGTACCTGGGACTACACGTGCCTGCCACCACGCCAGGCTAGTTGTTCTGTATTTTTAGTAGAGACAGGGTTTCACCGTGTTAGCCAGGATGGTCTTGATCTCCTGACCTCTTGATCTGCCCGCCTCGGCCTCCCAAATGCTGGGATTACAGGCGTGAACCACCATGCCCGGGCATAATTTTATATTTTTAGTAGCGACAGGGTTTCTCCATGTTGGTCAGGCTGGTCTCGAACTCAAGACCTCAGGTGATCTGCCCACCTTGGCCTCCCAAATTGCTGGGATTACAGGCGTGAGCCACCATGCCCAGCCTATATGTGCTCTTAAATGTCTCAGCATGGGAAGGAATCACTCAGGAGAAGAGCGTTGACAAGGAAGAGAAGCAGTTCCAGGACCTCACCTGGGGGGAGCACATTATATTTTCTTGCCAAGTAGAGGAGGAACCTGTGAAGGAGAGTGAGAAGCAGCAGCCAGTGAGGCAGGAGGAAAACCAGGACATTTCTGTGAAAGAACAAAAGCTTTGCAAGAAAGCCTTTTAAGTAAGAGGAAGTAATATAAAACCAATACTAGTGGATGAATCTGGGTAAGGGAACTGTCTGGGGACAGACAGGGCTGGAAGGGAGGGGAACAAAGGACATTGGATTTGGGGCCCAGATGAAGTTGAAGATATGCTGGAGGGAGGAGTAAATGAATGGCAGGAGGAGGAAGTGCTGGTCAAAGAGAACCCCTGACCTTGGAATTTCAGAGGAAGTGTGATGCTAGGATGGGAGGCAGGGACGTGATGGTGGGAGGATGGCTGAGGTGCGTGGAGGGCACCATTGATTACAGGGACTAAGAAACAGAGGCCACATGTCAGTGGGTCCTTCAGCTGGAGGCTGAAGTGGTGGTGACAGGAATAAAGATGAAGACAGCTGTGAGCCACTCTGACCAGTGCAGAAAGTGAAGTAGAGCTTCCTCTTCAAAGGGACTTTCCTTCCCGTCTAATTAGGAATAAACAGTAACTTCTCTTAGAAGCAAAATTTATTCAAAGACCTGTGCTAACATTCTTAGAAATCTGCTAGCCATAATAAAGAAATCAATGTACTTTGTGTTCTTAGCACCCACATTTTAGCCTAGATATTTGCCCTGGCGTGCTTATACTGATCCAAGCAAGCAGTAGGTCATAGCCTGTTCCTCTTCCTTATTCGGAGGTGTTTTTACCTTTCTCAGCATTCCACAGGTTGCTTCCTCCTTCCTTTGTTCTCCTCTGCCTTTGCCTCTTTCGGAAAGTTCTAAATGACTAGCCAATCGGGACAAGTATAGAATGTGAGGTACCCTTCCAGCCAACGGAAACTGGACACAGCAGTAGGGTGGATGCATCAGGTTATAAATGACCCTGTCTCCTTTGTTCGTGTGTGCTCTTGCGAGAATTACTGATAGTGATGGCACCCTTTCTGCAGAAAGTAAACTAGCCTTGCTGAGAGATCCTTTGTTTTTTATGACACCAAGCACCTGTTCCCAACACCAGTGAGGGCCACCTCCAAGAAGCTGGCAAAAGAGAGGAACAAGAAGAGTTGTGGGCAGGAAAGATTGATGTAATGAACCCACAGGTGGTAATGTGTTTGGAAGAAGGGAGGAGAAAGGGATTGCAAGAGCCAGGTGTGGTGGCTCACACCTGTAAGCTCAACACTCTGGGAGGCCGAGGAGGGCGGATCACTTGAGCTCAGGAGTTTGAGACCAGTCTGGGCAACATGGTGAGATCCCGTCTGTACCAAAAATACAAAAACTTAGCTGGGCCTGGTGGTGCCCATCGGTGGTCCCAGCTACTTGGGAGGTTGAGGTGGAAGTTAAGCTGGAGAGTGGGGCATTAGGGGGGTGGGGGTTGCAGTGAGCCGAGATTGGGCCACTGCACTCTAACCTGGGTGACATAGTGAAAAAAAAAAAAAGATTGCAAGAGAGTGAACTGACCTCCCAGGCCCTGATCTACAGGGTGTGTGAGAAAATTAAAAACAGGTGGCACCGGCCTGTAGTCCCAGCTACTCAGGAGAAAGAGGCGGGAGGATCGCTTGAGCCCAGGAGGCTGGGTAGAGCCTGCAGAGAGCTATGATTACACTACTGCACTCCAGGCTGGGTGACCCTGTTTCCAACAACAACAGCGACAACAAAACAGATTACTTTGAAGGGACTAGAAGGAGGACACAGGGTCCTGGAGGAAGGCAGCTGGCAAGTTACAGAGCAGAAAGGTGAAGGGACTGTCCAGGGAAGAGGGGAGGCTCCAGAAGTTATCCTTGAGGAACCAACAGCACGGGGTGGGGGTTGGGGGGGAGCTCATGGAAGGGTGGGGAAACTGGGGAAAGGGAAAACTCGAGTCAGATCAGGAGTAGAGCCCTGACTTGGGGGAACAAGGGTGCAGGTGATGGAAGCTGGGAGCTGTGGGAAGCTTGAGCCTGTAGTGCTGAAGGGTCTACCCATTCCATCAACAGTTCCTCTCCAGCAACTGTTCTGAGCTGCACCCTTAAAAATATTTGCTATTATTTATTTATTTATTTATTTATTTTTTGAGACAGTTTCGCTCTTGCTGCCCAGGCTGGAGTGCAATGGCGCTATCTCGGCTAACCACAACCTCCGCCTCCCGAGTTCAAGCGATTCTTCTGCCTCAGCCTCCCAAGTAGCTGGGATTACAGGCATGCACCACCATGCCAGGTTAATTTTGTATTTTTAGTAGAGGCAGGGTTTCTCCATGTTGGTCAGGCTGGTCTAGAACTCCCGACTTCAGGTGATCCACCCGCCTCGGCCTCCCAAAGTGTTGAGATTACAGACGTGAGCCACTGAGACCCCGGCCTGCTAATATTTTTTATTTCTCCAGGCTACAAGAGAGGGAATCTCCTGAATTCCTCTGGGGCAGCCCTCCCAATTCACCCGGGAGAAAAGCAGGCAGGGGCCGGGCTAGGATTCCAGAGGGGCGGGAAGCCCTGGTGGAATGGGGTAGCTGGAGCCAAGCACCCCAGGAATGCCCTCCCGGCCTCTCCTCCCGATTCCTTATCAGCTACAAGCTCGAGTTTCCTCAGCCACACGCGATCAAATGCTGCTTCAGAGCTCTAGGAAGCTGGGTGTGTCTTCTGTGCTTTGTAAAAAAGAAACGAAAAAAACATTAGCAAATCCCCAGCCCAGGTAGCCGGCTGGCTGAGGGCGGACTCTTGGAACTGGGCGGTGGGAGGTGGGGGACGGGGGAGGGATTGGGGGGCCCTTGCTCCAAAGCCAAAGAGCGGGAAACAGGAACTGCAGGGAGGCCACTCCGCAGGCGCCTCCCCTTTCCCGCTGGGGAGAGGCCGCCGCCGCGCGGCGCTCGGCCTGCACCGACCCTCCGGGGACCCCGCTAAACGGAGGAGACCCCAGGCCCGGAGGTGTCGCCCCTGGGCTGCGACCCCCGACTTTGGCCGGCTTCTCCCTGCGGAGAAGGAGGCAGCGCCGGGACCGGGCTGTTAGCCACGTGCTGGGTGGCCTTGGGCAGATTGCCTCCTGTCTCTGGGCCTCAGATTTTCTCATCTAAAAAGAGGGGGCTGGACTCATTTCTGCAAGGCCCCTCCCGGTTGGAGCGGTTCCCTGCAATTCCCTTCCTTCTCTGAACTTGAAACTCTTCCCTCCCCCATCCCCTTGGGGTGGCCCCTGGATTATCTGGGTGGTGCTTATCCAGTCTGCCGCCTTGAGAGAAAATGTTGCCCTGCAGCTGTGATTTACAGCAGGGCTCTGCACCCTTTTTCTTTTTTTGTTTTTCTTTATTTTCCCTCCTTCTTTCCTTTTTACATCTAGAGTACACACTTTATGCACCCTTTTCCTATAAAGGGTCAGAGAGTAAATACTTCGGGTTTTGCAGGCCACACTCTCTGTCACAGCTATTCAACTCCGTCATTGTAGCCAAGGCAGCCATGGATAAGACATAAACGAGTGGGCATGATGTGTTTCCATGAAGCTTTGTTTATTGCAGCTGACATTTGGATTCTCACAGGTCAAGAAATCGTATTTTACTTATTATTTATTTTTTTTCTGAGACAAGAGTTTCACTCTTGTTGCCCAGGCTGGAGTGCAATGGCAGGATATCGGTTCACTGCAACCTCCACTTCCCAGGTTCAAGTGATTCTCCTGCCTCAGCCTCCCTAGTAGCTGGGATTACAGGCGCCCACCACCACACCCGGCTAATTTTGTGTATTTTTAGTAGAGATGGGGTTTCACCATGTTGGCCAGGCTGGTCTCAAACTCCTGACCTCAGGTGATCCACCCACCTCAGTCTCCCAAAGTGTTGGAATTACAGGCATGAGCCACCGCGTCAGGCCAAGAAATTGTATTCTTCTTTTTATTTTTTTCAGCCTTTTAAACCTTGGCTGGGTGCAGTGGCTCATGTCTGTAATTCCAGCACTTTGGGAGGCTAAGGCAGGAGGATCTATTGAGCCCAGGAATTGGAGACCAGCCTGGGACAACGTAGAGAGACCCTATCTCTACAAAAAATTAAAACATTAAAAAAATTTTAAGATATACTACTGACATACCTCAGAGCATAGTTGTGGGAATGAAGTGAGAATACAGATGAAGCTATCGCATAAAGGATATTATTCTTTGGGAAGTTGTTGGTATGTATGCTCAGCAGAAGATGTGGACTTAGAGATTTGGATGGTGTCTTGCTGGCCATCCACTCCCAAAATTTCGTGAGCAAAGGCACTGTGTGTGCCCACTGTGCAATAGCTCATTTAATTATCTCAGGCATAGGAGATAAAAATGACATATTCCTACTTTACAGGAGCTCAGAGCCAAGGTTTGAACTGGCTGTATTAGATCTGCCTTCAGAGCCCCTACTCATCTTCCTCCTTTCTCTCTGAACAAACTTGCCTCTGAACAAACTTGGAGTTGCTTATCTATCCAGCAACAAGACCTTAAACAGAACGCTATTTTTCTGGACATCTATAACCTCTTTGGTCAAGGGACAAGAATTAACACCTTCTATGTGCAACTGTCATCGTGTCGTAGCTTTTTTATTTTTATTTTTGAGACGGAGTTTTGCTCTTGTTGCCCAGGCTGGAATGCAATGGTGAGATCTCGGCTCACCGCAACCTCCACCTCCCGGGTTCAAGTGATTCTCCTCCCTTAGCCTCCCGAGTAGCTGGGATTACAGGCATGCACCACCACGTCCAGCTAAGTTTGTATTTTTAGTGGAGACGAGGTTTCTCCATGTTGGTCAGGCTGGTCTCGAACTCCCGACCTCAGGCGATCTGCCCACCTTGGCCTCCCAAAGTGCTGGGATTACAGGTGTGAGCCACCACGCCCAGCCTGTGTCTCAGTTTTACAGAAGAGAAAACTGAGGCTTGAGATTAAAGTAAGGATTGAAATCTAGGCCTGCCTGACCCCAAAACTGAGCTCTTTCTACTGGGAATAGCTTCAGAGTAACCAGTTGCATGGGCCCTAAGTCTAGGAGCCCTTGAGAACTCCTCCCTTCCCTTAACCTATGTCCATTATACTGGCAAGTTGTTTTGATTCATCCATGAAAATATATCCTGAATCTATTTTGGGGCTAGAGGGAAACCATAGAATGCTTTGGAAGTTATTGTGATCTTTTAAAAATGCAAATCAGGCCGGGCACGGTGGCTCATGCCCATAATCCCAGCACTTTCGGAGGCCGAGGCGGGCGGATCATGAAGTCAGGAGATCAAGACCATCCTGGCTAACACAGTGAAACCCCATCTCTACTAAACATGAAAAAAAAAAAATTAGCCAGCGTGGTGTACTCAGGAGGCAGAAGAATCGCTTGAACCCAGGAGGCAGAGGTTGCAGTGAGCTGAGATCATGCCACCGCACTCCAGCCTAGGCAACAAGAGCAAGACTCCATCTGGAAAAAAAAAAAAAAAAGCAAATCAGATCATGCCACATCCCTGCCTAGAGGCTTGGAAGATTTCCTTGTTTACTTGGAATAAAACCCCAAACCTGGCCAGGAGCAGTGGCTCATGCCTGTAATCCTAGCACTTTGAGAGGCCAAGGTGGGTGGATCACCTGAGGTCAGGAGTTCGAGACCAGCCTGGCCAACATGGTGACACCCCGTCTTTACTAAAAATACAAAAAATTAGCCAGGCATGGTGGCGGGCGCCTACAGTCCCAGCTACTCAGGAGGCTGAGGCAGGAGAATCGCTTGAAACCGGGAGGCAGAGGCTGCAGTGAGCCAAGATCATGCCATTGCACTCCAGCCTGGGCAACAAGAGTGAAACTCCATCTCAAACAAACAAACCCCAAACCTTACCTTACTAGGGCTCTGTGCCACCTAGACCCTGCCCATCTCTCTACTGTGTTCCCCTCTCATGCCCTCATTCCTTTTGCTTCAGCGTCAATGGCTTTCTTTCTGTTTCTCTTTTTATTTATTAAAAAAATTTTTTTAATTGAGATGGGGTCTCACTATATTGCCAAGGCTGGTGTTGAGATCCTGGGCTCGGCCGGGCGCGGTGGCTCACGCCTGTAATCCCAGCACTTTGGGAGGCCGAGGCGGGCAGATCACAAGGTCAGGAGATCCAGACCACCCTGGCTAACATGGTGAAACCCCATCTCTACTAAAAATACAAAAAAAAAAAAAAAAAATTAGCCAGGCATGGTGGCAGGCGCCTTGTAGTCCCAGCTACTGGGGAGGCTGAGACAGGAGAATGGCATGAATCCAGGAGGCGGAGCTTGCAGTGAGCCAAGATCACGCCACTGCACTCCAGCCTGGGTGACAGAGCGAGACTCCATCTCAAAAAAAGAAAAAAAAGAAAAAAAAAGAAATCCTGGGCTCAAGCAGTTCTCCCGCCTTGACCTCTTAAAGTGCTTTCTATTTCTCTAACTTGCCAGGGAGCCATATCCCCTTTCCCTCACCTGACCCCTTGAATTTTCCTGCCAGTATTCACAAGGGTAAAGGCCCCAATGTCACCTACCCAGCCAGCCTTCCCTGGCAATCCCCACTGGTCCTCTTTTTCTAAATTAAACATTTTAGAGATGGGGTCTTGCTATGTTGCCGAGGCTAATCTTGAACTCCTGGGCTCAAGCAATCCTCCTCCTTCAGCCTCCCAAGTGGCTGATACTACAGGCTCATACCACTGTGCCCGGCCTCGCCAGTCTTATCCCTCACCCTGTGTTCTCCTGTTTCCAGCAGTCATCCCTATCTGACATTTTTCTGCACACACTGCATCTTCCCCAGGGCAAGGTTAGCTCCATTCCTGCAGAAACCTTGCGTGTTTACTCTCCACTAAGTCCCCAGGCTTCGCCCACATCTGGCACATAGTAAGTGCTCAACATATGTCTGATGAGCTAATGGCCCATTAGGCCTGGATCCCCTCTCTATGGGAAATCATGAACTTGCAGCAAACAGAATCATCCAATAGACACTGGGCCCTACTATGCGCCTGGCACCGTGCTAGACAGCAGGGCAGCCACAGAGACACAGGCTCAGTCCTGGCTGAGGAACTCACTGGCCCACTGGGCAGAGATAATGTGCTTGTACAGTAAGGCCAGGCAAGGCGCATGCGCCCAGGTTCTACTGAAAGGCCGTCTGGGGTCAAAGGGTAGCTGGAGATAATGCCAGTGTGGCTCCTGGATCATATAAGAAATCCCACGCTGGGGTTGATGGCTCATGCCTGTAATCCCAGCACTTTGGGAGGCTGAGGTGGGAGGATTGCTTGAAGTCAGGAGTTTGAGACCAGCCTGAGCAACATAGTGAGACCCTGTCTCTACAAAAAATAAAAAATAAGCCAGGCATGGTGGTGCACACCTGTAGTCTGAACTACTTGGGAAGCTGAGGCAGGAGGATTGCTTAAGCCTGGGAGATTGTGTGTCCGGAATTGGTGGGTTCTTGGTCTCACTGACTTCAAGAATGAAGCCACGGACCCTTGCGGTGAGTGTTACAGCTCTTAAGGTGGCACGTCTGGAGTTTGTTCCTTCTGATGTTCGGATGTGTTCAGAGTTTCTTCCTTCTGGTGGGTTCGTGGTCTCGCTGGCTCAGGGGTGAAACTGCAGACTTTCGCGGTGAGTGTTGCGGCACGTCTGGAGTTGTTCGTTCCTCCCGGTGGGCTCGTGGTCTCGCTGGCTTCAGGAGTGAAGCTGCAGACTTTCACGGTAAGTGTTATAGCTCATAAAAGCAGTGGGGACCCAAAGAGTGAGCAGTAGCAAGATTTATTGCAAAGAGCAAAAGAACAAGGCTTCCACAGTGTGGAAGGGGACCCGAGCGGGTTGCGACTGCTGGCTCAGGCAGCCTGCTTTTATTCTCTTATTTGGCCCCACCCACATCCTGCTGATTGGTAGAGCCGAGTGGCCTGTTTTGGCAGGGTGCTGATTGGTGCGTTTACAATCCCTGAGCTAGATACAAAGGTTCTCCTCATCCCCATCAGATTAGTTAGATACAGAGTATCCACACAAAGGTTCTCCAAGGCCCCACCAGAGCAGCTAGATACAGTGTCGATTGGTGCACTCACAAACCCTGAGCTAGACACAGGGTGCTGATTGGTGTGTTTACAAACCTTGAGCTAGATAGAGAGTGCCGATTGGTGTTTTTACAATCCCTGAGCTAGACATAAAGATTCTCCACCTCCCCACCAGACTCAGGAGCCCAGCTGGCTTCACCCAGTGGATCCCGCACCAGGGTTGCAGGTGGAGCTGCCTGCCAGTCACGCGCCATGCGCTCGCACTCCTCAGCCCTTGGGCGGTCGATGGGACTGGGCGCCGTGGGGCAGGGGGCGGCGCTCGTCGGGGAGGCTCGGGCTGCACAGGTGCCCACGGAGGCGGGGGAAGGCTCCTGCATGGCTGGCTGCAGGTCCCGAGCCCTGCCCCATGGGAAGGCAGCTAAGGCCCGGCGAGAAATCAAGCGCAGCGCCGGTGGGCCGGCACTGCTGGGGGACCCAGTACACCCTCCGCAGCCGCTGGCCCAGGTGCTAAGTCCCTCATTGCCCGGGGCCAGCAGGGCCGGCCGGCTGCTCCCAGTGCGGGACCCACCAAGCCCACGCCCACCGGCAACTCCAGCTGGCCCGCAAGCGCCGCACGCATCCGCACGCAGCCCCAGTTCCTGCTCGCGCCTCTCCCTCCACACCTCCCTGCAAGCTGAGGGAGTGGGCTCCAGCCTTGGCCAGCCCAGAAAGGGACTCCCACAGTGCAGTGGTGGGCTGAAGGGCTCCTCAAGTGCCGCCAAAGTGGGAGCCCAGGCAGAGGAGGCCCCGAGAGTGAGCGAGGGCTGTGAGGACTGCCAGCACGCTGTTATCTCTCATTTGAGGCTGCAGTGAGCCATGATTGCACCATTGCACTCCAGCCTGGGCAATGGAGCAAGACCCGGTCTCAAAAAAATTAAATAAATAAAAAATAAAAATAAAAAGAGAGAGAGAGAAAGAAATCCCCTTTCTGAGCTGGGCCTCTCACCAGGGACACCCTCTGCGTAGAACACCCCTATCCACCGCACTCCAACTCTCCCAGGCTTTTTGTTCATTCTTTTGATTCCAGTGTCCACCTCCTTACCTCCAGGCCTTTCCTGACCCCTCATGTCCCACCTTGATGGCAGTCCCTTTAGATCCCCTGTCCTGATGCTGACCACTGCTCTGATGGCCGGTTTCCCTGCCTATACCTCCATATTCCCCACTCCCTGCCCACCCCATCAGTCTATTTGTTCCCGGAAAGCAGGGACCTTGACTAGCACCCAGTGCAGTGCTCAGTACATAGCAGGAGCTCAAGGAATATTTGTTGTCTGAATGAACAAATACACAGACAGAGTATTTCCTGGGAAGGCAGAATTTAATCTCCTTCCTGGCTGGGTGCAGTGGCTCATGCCTGTAATCCCAGAACTTTGGGAAGCCAAGGCAGGTGGATCACTTGAGGTCAAGAGTTTGAGACCAGCCTGGCCAACATGGTGAAACCCCGACTCTACTAAAAATACAAACATTAGCCGGGCATGGTGGCGGGTGCCTATAATCCCAGCTACTCAGGAGGCTGAGGCCGGAGAATTGCTTGAACCTGGAGGCAGAGGTTGCAGTTAGCTGAGATGGTGCCACTGCACTCCAGCCTGGGCAACAGAGCGAGACTCTGTCTCAAAAAAAAAAAAAAAAAAAAAAAAAAAAGACTCTCCTTTCTGAGGCCAGCACAAGGGGTTGAGAACAAGAGCCCTTCCACATGGTCACAGCCCGTTCTTAGTGTGTATTCACTGCTGGACTGGCCACTGCCTCATTCAGGGCTCTACTGCCAAGCCTCAAACTTTTTTTCTGTCTCTCTCTCTCTTTTTGAGACAGGGACACGTTCTGTGGCCTGGCTGAAGTGCAGTGGCACGATCACAGCTCACTGCAGCCACAGCTTCCCAGGCTTGAGAGATCCTCCCCATCTCAGCCTCCCAAGGAGCTGAGACTACAGTCATGCACCACCTTACCCAGATAATTTTTGGTAGAGACAGGGTTTTGCCTTGTTACTGGTCTGGAACTCCTAGGCTCAAGTCATCCACTTGCCTCGGCCTCCTAAAGTGCTGGGATCCCAGGTGTGAACCAGCCCACCTGGCTATTTTTTCCTTTATTATTATTTTTCTTAGGTCCATGAAGGTTCATATTGCAAGAAGTCCACAGGGTATAGAGCAACGTGGCTCCCTCTTTCTCTTCCCCAGAGGGAGCTGCTGCATGGTTTCCGTGTGCTGTCTTCCACTTTGCTGCATCTTCACTTCAGGGAGGCCTGCAGTCTGCAGCCCTCTTGGGACCCGAGGGCACCACTCCCTGTTGGAACAGAAGAGTCAGTTCTGGCATCAGCAGTATCACTCTGTAGCTGGGTCCAGGCAGAGGGGACATGGGCCAGGAGGATTTATTCCAGGCTGTAAGATGCCCAAGTGCAGGGCAGCTGGAGAAGCCCATGCCGAGAGAGCAGGCAGTGCCCACAGTCCTCCTTTACAGGGTGTCTACTGGATCTCATGTCAAAGCACCAAGATGCCAGGTGGCTTGATGATGCCTGGGGAGCCACCATGGCACTCAAGGGGAAAGGGTCTCACTCCACGGGGAGACCTGGAGAGGGACATCCCCTATCCAACCCCTTCTGCCAGGTCTAGCCCAAGCCTTCCCCAGGAGGGTTGAGAAGGCGGTGACAACCTCAACTACAGCTTCTCTGCCCAAACATGAATCCAGGTTTAGATAAAGATGAACAACAGGAGGCCCCAAAAAGGAAACCTGATGGGGCTCTGGGGAGAGAGGCTCTAGGGTTAGGGAAGGCTTTCCTGGGGGACTAGTGTATATACGAGCCTCAGGTCTTGTAAGGTTTTGGAACGAGGGTTGGCAGCTTCATTGTTGAGTCGCTGCTAAGTTGCAAGGGTGGGGAGTGTCAAGATATCTCCTAGTCCAATTCCATTTTCTTTTCTTTTTGTTTTTTGAGATGGAGTCTTGCTCTGTTACCCAGGCTGGAGTGCAGTGGCACGATCTCGGCTCACTGCCAGCTCTGCCTCCCGGGTTCACGCCATTCTCCTGCCTCAGCCTCCTGAGTAGCTGGGACAACAGGCACATGCCGCCACGCCCGGCTAATTGTTTTGTATTTTTAGTACAGACGGGGTTTCACCGTGTTAGCCAGGATGGTCTTGATCTCCTGACCTGGTGATCTGCCCACCTCGACCTCCCAAAGTGCTGGGATTACAGGCGTGAGCCACCGCGCCTGGCCTCCAATTCTATTTTCTATTCTCCATATTTTAGGACCAGGAAGGCAGATGCTGGCCACTCAGCCACTCTCATCCCGCTTTCCTACTCCAGACCTTATTAGGCTACCGTGACACCTTGTCTGCTAAGCAACACATGTCTGCAATGGGAGAAATCCCATTTGCCACCCTTCCCTAAAGGAGCTCTGCCTTACCTCAACAGGCCCCACGAAGAAGCCCATGGGAGTGGCCTCTCCTAGAGTTTTGCAGTGCACAACCTGTGCAGCCCTCCACAGGGGCCCTGCCCGGCTAGACAGATGGCTTTTGGAGGCTCCATAAGGTGGGAAGAGGGGTGGGCCCAGGGGGTTCATAACCTCCCACACTGCTTCACCCTAGGCAGTTCTACGCTCTCTGTCTTACACAGTGGACTTACATTGGACTTCTGAATAAGACTTCACTTGAGACAGCGTGTCCCATTGCTAATAACAATGACACAGGCTGTGACAACCCCTTCAGTAGAGAGAGACCAGTTAAACCACAGGCTTCACAGTCTTAATCCCAGCTCTGCCTCTTACTGCCTGCATGACCTTGGGTGAATAATACTATGTACCTCACAGTGTGGCTGAGAAGACCAATAGAGATAATGCAGGGACAGTGTGGCCAGTGTGGTGATAGTGGGACCACAAGGAAGAGGACAGTCCCTTCCAGCTCTGCCGGCAGAGCCTAGGGAGGGCTCTCAGCACTGTTGGCGCCGATCATTCTTTGTTATGGGGGCTGTCCTGTGCATCTCTGGTCTCTACCCACTCCATGCCAACCCTGCCCCCTCCTCAGTTATGACAACCAACAATGTTTCCAGATATTGCCAAATGTCCCAGGAAGACAAAGTGGCCTCCAGTTGAGAAGCGCGCGTCTGGAGAGAAATGCTGCAGGAAGCGAGAGGCAGTGGGAGCTGGAAGGAATGGGGAAGGCAGGGAAGTCAGCCTCCCCCTGCTCCGGAAACTCCTGTCAGCTCCTCTGCTCTGTCCCTGGAGACCGCTTGTCTCTGCTGGAGGCTTCCTCCTGATAAGGCTGCTTCGTGTGTGTGTGTGTGTGTGTGTGTGTGTGTGTATGTGTGTGTGTGTGTGTATGTGTGTGTGAGAGAGAGAGAAAGAGGAGCAGGAGGTGGGGGAAGGAGCTGGAGAGGGAAGGGAGAAGGAGAGAAGAAGGGGGAAGGGGGTAGGGAGAGGGATTGCAGAAGACAGAAGGAGAGAGCTAGAAGGCTAAAAATACCTCTGGCCCCCACGTCCCTAGTTTCTGCACAGACCCAAGATATAGCCCTGGGGACCTGGGGCTATATCTGGCTACATAGTCTGGAGTCCTTTGCCCCCTCCTCTTAGTTACCTGAGGGAGATGATTCAGGCCAGAAGGGGTGCAAAGCGGGAAGAGGAAGGCAGGAAGAGGAAGGCACCCAGTCTTTGCTCTCCCTGTCCCCCACAGACAATCCCCCAGCAGGTTTGCCTTCTGTGCCTCCAAAATCCACCAGGGTCAGGCTCCTCCCACTCGCCCCATCAGCCGCCACCTCTTTGTTTCTGGAGTTACCACCTCACTGGTCTCCCTGCTTCCACGTTCCTTCTTCCTATCATGTGTTCTCCAGGAAGCAGATGGAATGACATGAAAAATGTAAATTGGATCGTGCCATCCCCATGCCTAAAGCCCTGTAATGGTCCCCTCAGTCCTCAAAATCCAAGCCAGATGCCCGGCTACAGCCTTCAAGTGTGCACGGTCCCCAGGCCCCTCTTTCACTCACCACCAAACTCCCACCACACTGTCCTTCCTTCTATTCCTTGCCTGCACCATCCCCCTAGCTTTTTACCAACTGAGGCGTTATCTGAAATTCCTCTGCCTGCTTTTCTCAGCCCCATGTCCTAAGCATTAAGGTGTCCACAAAGATTCCTTTCTCAGACATGCCTTCCCTGCCCACCCCATCTGAAAACGACCTCTTCAAATACTGGCCCATCATCCTGTTGTTCTTTACAGCACTTTTGACTTTATCTTCTTAATTCCTGGAGGGCAGGGACCTCACGTGTTTCTTCTGTATCTCCAGGGCCCATGTGTCTGGCACACAGTGAGCAGTCAATAAAATGGATTGAATAGACAAATGAATGAACAATGAGATGGTCTCCAGAGCCCCTCCCAGCGTGCTGGCTTTTTGTGTCATTGCAGACTTTGCACCTCTGGCTCCAGGGAGCTCACAGGCAGGGGCTGGTCCAGCCCAGAGGCGATGAAGACAGTGACGATGATGATGGTGGTGGAGATGCAGGCGCTGACTCAGGTAGCTCCGTGAAGCTGGAAATAAGTCATTTGAGGCAAATGAAAGGATGACCCAGGTCACAGTGGGGAGAACACCTTGGGTGGGGGACTTGCTCGCCTTTCTCTGTGATGCTAATAACAGACTTGTCATGGCTCCAAAGCCCTTTTCCTCCTTTCAGCTGTCTCTCTGTGACTGTCTTTGTGACAGTCTCATTGTTGTTGTTACTAAGATGGCTTCCCTCAGAGGACGGACACTTGGAGTAGTGGCAGGTTCGGCCACCCCTAGAGACGATGGCGGTGGGGACCGGGGCAGCCCCCTGGCCCCCTGGGCTCACCCCCTCCTGCGCCACCCCGGGCCGTGCCGTGCCAAGCCGGCCACCAGAGGGCGCGCCAGGTCGCGGCATCCCGGCTCCCCGTCGGCCTGGGGCCGGCGGGCGGGGCTCGGCTGTCTCCTACTGAGGCCTCGCACTTCCTCTCTGTCTTGCCATTCCTGTCTCCCTCTCTCCCTACCTGGCATCTCCCCCTGCTATCTTCATCCCCTGCCCCCTCCTTCGTCTCCATTAGCAAACCCGCATGGTAGCCTATCTTGTGGTGAGCCCCAGTGTCCGGCGCGGGGAGGGACACAGACGCGTCCCAGTGGGATCTCCGCTCACTAGGGAGTTCACAGCCTAACCTGAACCCCCGCACCAGCCCAGAGCAATGAAGCCTCCTGAAAGGACTGCTGAGGAGAGACAGGCCGTCCTACAAGAAGTGGGGCAGGACATGGTCTTCCCCACGGAGGTGGCTCCACATCCCTCCCACCTACCCCAGCCAGGGGCCCTCTGACTGTGCCACTCACCGTGCAGGCGCACCACACAGGACGTCCTGTGATGGAAAAGGCTTAGGCAGAGTCTGGCTGCCTTATCTCACTAAGGGGTAAACTGAGGCTCCAGCAGTGAAACTAGTGTGAAGTCTGGGTTCAAATTCCATCTCTGCTGCTTAATAGCTGGACGACCTTAGACAGCCTTCCTAACCTCTCTGAGCTCAAGCTGCGGAAGTGGCAGCCTCTTAGGATTATGGGAGAACACACATGCAACATGCTTAGCACTGTGCCTGCAGTTAGTCATTATTCTTAAGAAAGTGGCCTACCCATGGCCACCTATTGAGCAGAGGTGGCAGACCTAGGCCCAGAATCCCCATCTGACCTCTGAACTCTCAGGCCCTAGTTCTTTCTGCCGTTGTGGGCAGAGGCTGCAGGGAACAGCAGAGGATGCAAACGCCCGTTGAGTCCTTTTTTTTCTATTTTTTTTTTTTTGAGGCGGAGTCTCCCTCTTGTTGCCCAGGCTGGAGTGCAATGGCACGATCTTGGCTCACTGCAACATCTGCCTCCTGGGTTCAAGAGATTCTCCTTCCTCAGCCTCCTGAGTAGTTGGGATTACAGGCGCCCACCATCATGCCTGGCTAATTTTTTGTATTTTTAGTAGAGACGGGGTTTCACCATGTTGGCCAGGCTGGTCTTGAACTCCTGACCTCAGGTGATCCACCCGCCTTGGCCTCCCAAAGTGCTGGGGTTACAGGCGTGAGCCACCGCACCCGGCAAGTCTTTAGTTTGAGGAGAGGTCTGTGTTACTGTCCCCAGCTGTCTCATCTGTGTTCTCCTGCCATGGGCATCTCTTGGGATGGCTCCACACTTCCTCCTGGCCTGGCCACACCTAATCCTTCAAACCTAGCCCTTGGGTGGGGAGAGGGGAAGGTGGCCTTAGCATTGCCAGGGAAGTATGAACTGGCACAATCTTCATGGAGGCTTCGTCAGTGTCTGGCAATCCTCTGACCCAGTTGTTCTACTTCAGGGGATTTAACCCTACAAGAGGGTCATATATATACACATATGAATGTATACATATTTGCGTGCATTTATACATATATCTCTGAAGGATACATAAGAAACTAGTAGTTTTGAGTTGGGTGCCATGGCTTACACCTGAAATCCCTACAGTTTGGTAAGCTGAGGCAGGAGGATCACTTGAGCCCAGAAGTTCCAGACCAGCCTTGGCAACATGGCAAAACTCCATCTCTAAAAAAAAAATACACAAATTAGCAGGGTGTGGAGGCATGTAATTGTAGTCCCAGCTACTTGGGAGGCTGGTGTGGGAGGATCACTTGTGTCCAGGAGGTCGAGGCTGCAGTGAGTCAAGATCGCGACACTGCACTCCAGCCTGGGCAACAAAGCGAGACCCTGTCTCAAATAAAACAAAAATCCCCAAAGAAACTAGTGGTTTCGTTTGCCTAGGGTGGGGGGGTAGGGTGGAAGGGGATGGGAGTGAGGTGAGGTGGGAGATTTTCCCCATAGCTCTTTTGTTATTCTTGGATATTAAGAGAAGTGAATGTATTACCTATTTAAAAATAATAATTTAAACGTTTTTTAAATAGGAATGGTAGCCAAATGCAATGCCATACAATTAAATAACAAAATAATAAGTAAAGTCAGAGTTGGGGGAGGAGCCAGGTGGGATTCCCTCTCCCCTTCTCATTTCTCACCCTTCTTCTTTCTTCCTCTTTCCCCTCCCCCTCCTCTCTTTCTTCAGGAAGCCACCTGTCCTGTTTTCTCCAGCCCACAGTGAGGTTTCTTTGAACTCATTCATTCATTCACTTATTTATTTATTTTTTGCGACAGGGTCTTACTCTATCACTCAGGCTGGAATGCAGTATATGATCATGGATTACTGCAGCCTCCACCTTCCAGGCTCAAGTGATCCTCCCACCTCAGCCTCCTGAGCAGCTGGGACTGCAGGTGCACACCACCACACCCAGCTAATTTTTGTATTTTTTTGTAGAGATGAGATTTCACCATGTTGCCCAAGCTGGTCTTGAACTCCTGGGCTCAGGCGATCTGCTCGCCTTCACCTCCCAAAGTGCTGGGATTACACGTGTGAGCCACCTCACCCAGCCATTCATTCACTGATTCATTCTTCATTTATTCTTTCACCAAATGTGCTCTTGGGTGGAAGCAGGGATTTAGGCAGACTCTACTTTCTGCTCTCTACAGGGGAGATGGATATTGAGACGACACAATCCTCAGTATTGTCATTATCATTCATCGAAGTGCCATGAAGGAGAAGTGGCATGGCAGCATAGAAAAGGGACCTGAACTAGCCTGGAGGGCCAGAAAGGCTTTTCTGAGAAAGTGACTCCTTTATTTCCACTTAACTCTTCAAAAACTTTTTTCTCTTATGAAGAAACTCAAATATATACAAACATACAATACCCCATGTACCCACAGCCCAGCTCCATACTGATCAACATGGCCAATCCTACCTTATTTTATCCCACCTACTCCCCCACTTCACCATGTCAAAAAGCAAAATGTCAACAAATTGAGTTTCAAAAATTTAACTGGCTTGGCCGGGCGTGGTGGCTCACGCCCGTAATCCCAGCACTTTGGGAGGACAAGGCAGGCAAATCACGAGGTCAGGAGATCGAGACCATTCTGGCTAACACGGTGAAACCCCGTCTCTACTAAAAATACAAAAAAAAGAAAAATTAGCCAGGCGTGGTGTCAGGCGCCTGTAGTCCCAGTGACTCGGGAGGCTGAGGCAGGAGAATGGCATGAACCTGGGAGGTAGAGCTTGCAGTGAGATTGCACCACTGCACTCCAGCCTGGGGAACAGAGCGAAACTCCATCTCAAAAAAAAAAAAAAAATTTTAACTGGCTTTTCTTAGCGATTCATGAATTGGGCAGAATCCCATATACAAAACAGAAAGGTGCTCCAATGGGGTAACCAGAGAAGCTGGGCTTTTTTTTTTGAGATGGAGTTTCACTCTTGTTGCCCAGACTAGAGTGCAATGGCTTGATCTCAGCTCACTGCAACCTCTGCCTCCCAGGTTCAAGCGATTCTCCTGCCTCAGCCTCCCAAGTAGCTGAGATTATAGGCATGCACCACCGTATCCGGCTAGTTTTTATATTATTAGTAGAGATGGGGTTTCACTGTGGTGGCCAGGCTGGTCTCGAACTCCTGACCTCAGGTGATCTGCCCACCTTGGCTTCTCAAAGTGCTGGGATTACAGGCTTGAGCCACCACGCCCTGCCAGAAGCTGGGCTTCATAGGCAGAAAAATGTTGAAGAAAGCAGAAACGGGGAACAAAAAGTGGATTGGTTATTTCAAAGTTACATTCCTTGTAGGGTTAAAGCAGAGGGGACCTCCTTATCATGCTGTCTCAGGTTGACTGGGGCATTTTAGCTAGCTGCTGTGAATATCCTATTTTTTGGAAAACTGGCCTATTTCTAAGTTCAGTTTGATTATATGGCCCCTCAGAATGAGTGACTCCAGTTTGGTTTGGCCTGATTTGTTAGGACCTAGTGCAGAAGTTCAGTCCAAAACAATGGCATCTCATAAATTTTATTTAACGATGCTCACCTCATTTTTTTTTCTTTGAGAAAAGGTCTTGCAATGTTGCCCAGACTGGTCTCAGACTCCTGGGATCAAGCAATCCTTCTGCCTTAGCCACCCAAGTAGCTGGGATTATGAGTGCAAACCACTGCATCCAACTCCACCCAATTATTTTGAACCAAATCTCAGATATTATATTTCTTTTTTTTTTTTTTTGAGATGGAGTTTTGCTCTTGTTGCTCAGGCTGGAGTGCAATGGCACAATCTTAGCTCACTGTAATCTCCGCCTTCCGGGTTCAAGCAATTCTCCAGCCTCAGCCTCTCAAGTAGCTGGGATTATAGGCACGCGCCAACATGCCTGGTTAATTTTGTATTTTTAGTAGAGTTGGGGTTTCACCATGTTGGTCAGGCTGATCTCGAACTCCTGACCTCAGGTGATCTGCCCACCTTGGCCTCCCAAAGTGCTAGAATTACAGGCTTGAGCCACCGCGCCCAGCCTCAGACACTATATTTCATCTGTAAATATTTCAGTATAAATTTCCAAAAAATAAGGACTTTTAGGCCAGGCAGAGGTTGCAGTGAGCCGAGACTGTGCCACCACACCCCAGCCTAGGCAATAGAGTGAGACTCCATCTCAAAAAAAAAAAAAAAAAAATACCCACAGGGTTCTTGCTGTGGAGCATGCACCTGTAGTCCTGTAGTCTTAGCTACTTGGGAGGCAGAAGCATTGCTTGAACCCAGGAGTTGGAGGCTGCAATGAGCTATAATCCTGCCATTGCACTCCAGCCTGGGCAATAGAGTGAGACTCCCCATCTCTAATAAAATAAAGATAAAAATAAAAATAAATAATACGTTTTTTTAAAAAAGCTCACTATGGAGATGGAGTGAAATTCCACGAAGGGCACACAATGAGTGATGCATGAACGTGCTCAGCCCATGTCTTTCCTCCCCAGCTCCCCCTCATCCCCTGCATCCTATTTTCTTTTCCTTTTTTAGGGGGGGTGGGGATGGAGTTTCTCTCTTGTCATCCGGGCTGGAGTGCAGTGGCGCAATCTTGGCTCACTGCAACCTCTGCATCCCGGGTTCAAGCAATTCTCCTGCCTCAGTCTCCCGAGTAGCTGGGATTACAGGCGCCCGCCACCAAGCCCGACTAATTTTTTGTATTTTTAGTAGAGACGGGGTTTCGCCATATTGGGCAGGCTGGTCTCGAACTCCTTACCTCAGGTGATCCACCCGCCTCGGCCTCCCAAAGTGCTGGGATTACAGGTGTAAGTCACTGCGCACGGCCGCATCCTATTTTCTTTACTGGGAAACACACTGCTGTGGAGAGGGAAAGAAGCCAAGTGCTCAGGGCCTATCCAAGGTAGGAAGCCTCACCCTGCTAGCAGCCTTGAGCTCAGGCTTCCTGCTTTCTGAGAAATACTGTCCCGAGGTCTCCAGCTCCATAGCTAGGGATGGTCTGGGGGTTGGAAAGAAAGGGGGCGTAACAGCTAAGGTTTTCCATTGGCTTTTTGGGGACCAGTGGTGCCTCAGATAGAGAAGCCCAAAACTGAAAGTTTCTCAGAGAATTATAAAAAATATATGTGGTAGTCTCGTCTCCCACTGCCAGTATTGTGGTTTTGGCAGAGTTATGATAAGGGCCGAGTCTTCCATCTGGCATGGGACCCAAGGCCTCCCAGTCAAAGACAAGATACCATTAATGATTAGATTGTCATCTTGGCCAGGATTTGCTCTCTCAGCAGGAAGCAGAGGTTGCAGTGAGCCGAGATCGCACCACTGCACTTTAGCCTGGGTGACAGAGCAAGACTTCATCTCAAAAAAAAAAAAAAAAAAAAAAGCAACTGAAATACCCCCACACATTACATATTTGCATGTTCATACATGTTCAAAGTCGTGTACACTTATAAACAGACATGCCTGCACAAGTGTGCACACTCCTTTATCACAGGTGCTGCTGGCTTCCCCCTTCCTGATGAACTCTGTCAGATGCCCATTTCTCCTAGCAACCTTGTTTTCTGAAAGGCTGACTCCAACCCTGCTCCAGGAGAGGGACCTTCATTAGTCTAAGCCAACCCTGGTGGTCTTAGTCCCTCTGATGGAGATTGGTTTACCTTTGGGCTATGTGACCACGTTCTAGCCAATGACATTTGGAAAGAAGTTGGCTTGGGGCTTCTGTGAAATTTTCCTTATTCTTAAGAAAGTCATCTCAGAAGTGAAGACTCATTTACCTGTCATTGGATTCTGTAATGTGAGAGTGTGGGGTATGGAAATGCTGCAGCCATTTCGTGACCTTGAGGATGCAGAATTAAGCAGAGTGGAGAAGTGGAAATGACCCAGGGCCTCTAATGCCGTTACTGATCCACACAATCAGTCAACTTGAGAGTCCTCCCTTCCCATCTCTGGAATTCTAGTCATGAGAGATATTAACTTGATTTATTGTTCAAGGTCTCTTTTCTTTTTTCTTTTCTTTTCTTTCTTTTCTTTTTCTTTCCTTGTAGCCTAAGGCAGCAAACCGATACCCTCCTTCCATAAACACATTATCTCACATATACATATCCATATATCTGTATATAAACAACTAGAGCCATATATAGAAAGTCACAGCTGAGCACATGTGCACGCTGTTTACATGTATGTATAATAAAAGCAGGCTGGGCGTGGTGGCTCATGCCTGTAATCCCAACTTTGGGAAGCCGAGGAGGGCAGATCATGAGGTCAGGAGTTTGAGACCAACCTGGCCAACATGGGGAAACCCCATCTCTACTAAAGATACAAAAAATTAGCGGGGCATGATGCGTGCCTGTAATTCCAGCTACTTGGGAGGCTGGGGCAAGAGAATCGCTTGAACCCGGGAGGCAGAGGCTGGAGTGAGCTGAGATCATGCCACTCCACTCCAGCCTGGGCGACAGAGCAAGACTCTGTCTCAAAAAAAACAAAAAAGCAAAAAAACCCACATAATATTCTACATGTATCCACAGTGATTCAAACTTAATATACACAGAGAAAAGTATACATCCTCCTAGGTACACAGATAGAAGGACACATATACATCATGTTTCATACATGCATGCAAATCTATGTATAGTACAACAGACATAAATGCACACGGGCAGTATGCATTTCTACACAGAGCCACACATACTGGTTACATCGATGGCAACATTATTTTTTCCTACCCACGTCTAAACAGCCACAAAGTGCATACCCACAGCTCTGAGGGCTGCTTGGCTATGAGCACCCAGGACTGAAGAAAGTTCAGGAAATAGTTAGGAGAGGGACTTACAGACCAGAACACCACTGAGGAGTGAGGAGGTCAAGTCCAGGGTGGCTTGGACATGCACGGCAGCACCTGGGTCATGGATGCTAGACACAGCACCAAGGCAAGCTGTGATTAGAGTGTTTCCACCTTCAAAGGCGAAAAAAACCTTACTCTCACCTACCCCAGGACCTTCGTCCATACAGAAGAAAAACCTACTTTGCCCTTCAAACAGCTCTTTTTGTTTTCCTCATAGGCAAATAATTGAGTTAGACGTTGCATGAAAGTCAATTTTTTTCCCATTTATGCCACTGGGCATTCTAGGTAGAAGGAAAAGTGCAAAGGCAAAGAAATGCAAAATAGCACAGTGAGTTTAGGGGATTCCAGTGGAAATGAGTTTGCAGCAGAAACTGAGGATATGACAGAAGATGAGGTAGGGAAATGGGCAAGGGCCACGAACCTAGATTTACCTCTAAACTCCCATGGCCCAATCCATTCATCCGACTCCCAGGGTCACATGACTTTGCTCCCAGGCCTGCATCTTCCATCCATCAGCTTTTTCATGCCAAACACCCAAATTAAATGGATAACCAAGACATTTTAGGAGACAAGGTAGCAATAGTCAGATTTTCTTTCTGGCTTTTGTATGGGGTTATTTAGGTTTTCTGCTCTAAATTACCCTTCTTTTGTTTCTTTTTTATAACAGAGAGGAGTTACCAAGGACATTCTTGCTAAATTAGTTTGTATTTATTATTCAACAGTGTAAATCATCTTTCAAAAATGTCATGTTTCCAAGTTTAATAAAAAGTATTTCCAAAACAGTACATATGGTATGTTCCCATTTTGGATAAAATGTTTGTATGTATATTTATATGTGTATATAATAAGGTCTGGAAGTAAATACACACCAACTGTTAAGCAATAGTTACATATGAGAGACGGGACTGTAGGTCATCTTTACCTCCTTTTTTTTTTTTTTTTTGAGATGAAGTCTCGCTTTTGTCCCCCAGGCTGGAGTGCGATGGCATGATCTCGGCTCACTGCAACCTCCGCCTCCCGGGTTCAAGCGCTTCTCCTGCCTCAGCCTCCCCAGTAGCTGGGATTACAGGTGCCTGCCACCACGCCCAGCTAATTTTTGTATTTTTAGTAGAGACGGAGTTTCACCATGTTGGCCAGGCTGGTCTCAAAATCCTGACCTCAGGTGATCTGCCCGCCTTGGCCTCTCAAAGTGCTGGGATTACAGGAGTGAGCTACCGTGCCTGGCCATCTTTATCTTCTTTAGACTTTTCTGCATTTTTTCTCAATTTTATGTAAAAAATTTCTGAATTTTATGCATTTTTCTGAATTTTATGTTACTTTTATCATCAGAAGAAAATGATTTTAAATTATTTTTAAAGTTTAAGGCTGGGCTCAATGGCTCATGCCTGTAATCTGAGCACTTTGAAAGGATGAGGCAAGAGGACTGCTTGAAGCCAGGAGTTTAAGGCCATCATGGGCAATATAACTAGATCGTTTGTCTAAAAAAAAAAATTAGTCAGGTGAGGTGGTGCATGCCTTTCATCCTAGCTACTTGGGAGGCTGAGGTGGGAGGATCGCTTGAGCCCAGGAGTTTGAGGCTGTTGTGAGCTAAAATCATGCCACTGCATTCCAGCCTGGGTGACAGAACAAGATGCTGTCTCTTAAAAAAAAAGAAAAAAGTTGAATCTACATTGCAATAGTTTGAATGTTTGTCCCCTTCAATCTCATGTTGAAGCTTACTACCCCATGTAACTATAGCAAGAGGTGATAGGATCATGAAGACTCTGCCCTCATTAATGAATTAATCCACTAATAAATTAAAGGATTAATGGGTTATCATAAGAGTGGATTAGTTATCATGAGAGTGGGAGCCAGGCACTGTGGCTTATGCCTATAATCTCAGAACTTTGGGAGGCCAAAGCAGGAGCATTGCTTGAGGCCAGGCATGCAAGACAAACCTGGCCAACATAGGGAGACCCCATTTCTTTTTTTCTTTCTTTCTTTTCTTTTTTTTTTTTTGTAGGGAGTCTCACTCTGTTGCCCAGGCTGGAGTGCAGTGGTGTGATCTCGGCTCACTGCAACCTCTGCCTCCCGGATTCAAGCAATTCTCCTGCCTCAGCCTCCCAAGTTGGTGGGATTTCAGGTGCCTGCCACTACACCCAACTAATTTTTTGTATTTTTGGTAGGGACGGGGTTTCACCATGTTGGCCAGGCTGGTCTCAAACTCCTGACCTTGTGATTTGCCTGCCTCGGCCTCCCAGAGTACTGCGATTACAGGCGTGAGCCACTGCACCCAGCAGGGAGACCCCATTTCTAAAAAAAAAAGAATTAGTCAAGTGTGGTGGCTCACACCTGTTGTCCCAGCTACTCCAGAGGCTGAGGCTGCAGTGAGCCATCTTTGCATCACTGCACTCTGATCTGGGCAACAGAGCAAGACCCTTTCTCAGAAATAAATAAAGGTCTGGTGTGGTGGCTCATGCCTATAATCCCAGAACCTTGGGAGGCCAAGGCAGGCAAATCACTTGAGCCCAGGAGTTTGAGACCAGCCTGGGCAACATGGTGAAATCTCTCTCCACAAAAAAATAAAAAAACAAAAATTAGTCGGGTGTGGTGGCCCACACCTGTATTCCTAGCTACTTGGGGGACTGAGGCAGGAGGATTATTTGAGCCTGGGAGGTTGAGGGTTCAGTGAACAGTGATTGCCCCATGCACTCCAGCCTGGGTGACAAAGTGAGACCCTGTCTCAAAAAATTAAAATAAATAAATAAAGCCAGTTTGGCTCTCAGTGAGCTCCCCTTGCCATGTGATGCTCTGTACCGTCTTGGTATTCTACAGAGAGTCCCCACCAGCAAGAAGCCTCTCACCAGTTGTGCCCCCTAGACCTTGGACTTCCCAGTCTCCAAAACTGCAATAAATCATCGTCTTTTTTGTCTTTTTTTCCTTTTCTTTTATTTTTAGAGACGGGGGTCTCACTATGTTGCCTAGGCTGGTCTTAAACTCCTGGCCGGAAGTGATTCCCCAGCCTTGGCCTCTCAAAGTGCTGGGAGTACAGGCATGAGCCACTGCGTCCAGCCCTTTTCTATGTCTATATATACAGTCTCAGGTATTCAGCTGTAGCAACAGAAAGCAACCTAAGACATACATTTTAATCAAAAGTATAATAAGAAAATTTCAGGAAGAAGTGGGAAAAGGAGACATACAATCAACCTGTGCACAGTAGAATCCTCCTGGTGTCTTCAGGAGACCCGACGTGATCTGACCAGGGGAGTCTTGCAGCTCCATTCTCTGTACCAAGGCAAGTCAAACAGGTAAAGCAGATCACAGAAAGGGCTCTGACCTCAAGAAACATGTGATCTAGGTGGAAGCATGAGTCACATATGCATGAAAAACACAGCAGGCAATGAATGACAGGTAAGCTGGAAAGAGAATTCACCTGGTTACCAGGAGATATGGGCTCTGTTCCTAGTTCTGGCACCCAGTGATGACCTTGGGAGCCCAGTGGCTTCACCTCTGTGAACTTTAATCTCCTTATCTGTCAAAGGGTTTTAATGACAATAATTGAGAAGCTGTGATCATCAGATGAGATAACCTA
The DNA here is from genome assembly GCF_000001405.40 of Homo sapiens. Classification (NCBI taxonomy): domain Eukaryota; kingdom Metazoa; phylum Chordata; class Mammalia; order Primates; family Hominidae; genus Homo; species Homo sapiens. The sequence continues at coordinate 160,210,369 of NC_000005.10, forward strand.
TCAGTGACTGCTCTCTGAACTGTGGTACAAGTTACCTTTCAACCTGGAACAGCACCTCAAACATGAAGGAATCTATCCCTATGGTGGAAATTCAGGCCCAAGCAGTGGGCAAGTGGGGTAGATCATGTGGGGACAAGGCCACCTTTGGTTGGCCCTTAAAAATACCAGAACACAGGGGCAGCCTGCACAGCTCTAACACTGCAGAACAGAAGTCAAGGTGGGCATTCTTGCCTCAGCTCGAAGACCTGCACAGCCTGCTCACCTTTGTAGAGCAGTGCACCCCAGGGAGAAAACACAGGAGCAGCCACGTCTCAGCCTTCTCAGAATGTCCAATCCTTTTCATAATTTAACCGCTTGCTCTGCATAATTACTTTTCTCCTGCTTATGAGCTTAGAGCAATAGTAGTTCCCAATAACTAGAGATTTAATAAGGCTAAATTACAACGAGTGTCCTGCAGAATTACACACCGCATTAACACCAAATGAGTTCATTAGAAATTCATTAGGAATGATTTCTGCGGCTGCCACAGGAATTAATCACGGTTTGCCAGTGGCAGGAGAGGGGGCAATGAATGATTGCATGGGAGCGGGACGACCTTTTGCCATCTGACTTTCTTCTGAAGCAATATCTTTCAAGGGTCATGGGCTGCTTTGGTAGGGAGATTGCTTGGACGTTGTTAGACATGCCTCTCAATCTTCTTCCTTCTTCCCAGCCACTGCCCTAGATCAAACCTGTAGATGTTGGAGTCGGACCCTTTTTCTGTCCTGGGGAGCTGAGAAGTCATCATGGGCACTTATGTTCTTGCCTGCCCAGTATCCTTTCCCCCTTCTTCTGTCAGTGTACTTCTGTGTTTCTTGGAGAGCTGCTCCTTGAAGATACTGCTGCATGTGGGTCTCTGTGGGACTGTCAGTTAAGAGCCTCCACTGGCCTCACCCACCCCCAGAGGGAATACATGTCCTCGGCTGAGCCCATTGGGCTTTCTCTCCTGGTATTTTTTAGTAGCTGATATTTATGAAGTGCTTGCTAGGTGCTGGCCCCCTTTCTAAGGATCTTCATGTACTGAGCATCCAACCCTCCCATTGCCAGTTAAGGAAGTGGGCTTTATTTTTAGCTCTATTCTGTCAACGAGGACACCCCAGTACAGAGGTTAAGTGACTTGTCCAAGTGACAGAGCCTGTAACTGTCCAAGCTGGGACTTTGAGTCATGAGTGCAGTACTATAAGGATGAAGGATTGTTGAAGGTAATCAATGGGTTGGCAGTGCCCCAGGGACTGTCCCTTCCTTCTTGCTTCCTGGTGCTATGTGCTATCTGGAGGCCTGGTGGTGGAGCTTTTTCATCCTTTCTATGAGTTACTCCATACGTTTCCAAAAATTTTATTTTTTGGTTTGTCACCAAGAGTCCGTGTCTGCTACTTAGATCTGTAAGAGCTTTGGCTGATGCCTGAGCCGACCAACAAGTATGTAAAGGCCCAGGTATAGACACTGCACAGTTATAGGCCCTGCCCTGCACAGGCCAAACAGAAACATAAGGCAGGCTTCCTGCCTTCCAGCTGCTTATATCTCAGATAGAAAAACAACAACAACAATTTCATCCTGTGCCTTCCTATGCAAGTTCTTTTTTTTTTTTTTTTTTTTTGAGATGCAGTCTCCCTCTTATCGCCCAGGCTGTAGTGCAATGGTGTGATCTCAGCTCACTGTAACCTCCGCCTCCTGGGTTCAAGCTATTCTCCTGCCTCAGCTTCCTGAGTAGCTGGGATTACAGGCGCCTGCCACCACACAACTGGCTAATTTCTTTTTCTTTTTTGAGATGGAGTCTCTCTCTGTTGCCCAGGCTGGAGTGCAGTGTCACAATCTCGGCTCACTGCAACCTCTGGCTCCTGGGTTCAAGCGATTCTCCTGCCTCAGCCTCCCAAGTAGCTGGGACTACAGGCACCCGCCACCATGCCCAGCTAATTTTTTGTATTTTTACTAGAGACAGGGTTTTACCATGTTAGCCAGGTTGGTCTCCATCTCCTGACCTCATGACCTGCCCATCTCAGCCTCCCAAAGTGCTGGGATTTCAGGCATGAGCTTCTGCGTCTGGCCCTACAACTGGCTAATTTTTATTTTTATTTTTTGGAGACGGAGTCTCACTCTGTCAACCAGGTTAGACTGCAGTGGCACGATCTCCGCTCACTGCAAGCTCCGCCTCCCAGGTTCACGCCATTCTCCTGCCTCAGCCTCCTGAGTAGATGGGACTACAGGCACCCACCACCACGCCTGGCTAATTTTTTTGTATTTTTAGTAGAGACAGGGTTTCACCGTGTTAGCCAGGCTGGTCTCGATCTCCTGACCTTGTGAGCCGCCTGCCTCAGCCTCCCAAAGTGTTGGGATTACAGGTGTGAGCCACCGTGCCCGGCCACAACTGGCTAATTTTAAAAATATTTTTGGTAGAGACAGGGTTTCAGCATGTTGGCCAGGCTGGTTTTGAACTGCTGACCTCAAGTGATCTGCCCGCCTCGGCCTCCCAAAGTGCTAGGATTACAGGTGTGAGCCACTACGTCCAGCCCTCCTATGCAAGTTCTAAGTGGAAAAGAGCCAGGATGGGATGGATTGGGAGGAGGAAAGATTTCATAGAAGGCACATGAGCTGGGTAGAATCTTTGGGGAGAGGTAACTGTCACGGACACTCTTTGGGCACCTATCCAGCCCACAGTCCCTTCTTCAAGAACTGTCCACCCAGAGCAGTTGGCCCTCACGGTCGAGATGGTTGGTACCACATGACGCTTTTGGTGGGATCAAGCATCTGTACCCTTTTCTATGTTTAGAGAACTTTCCACTACATGGGGCCCAACGAAAGGTGGGCCCACCTTCTAGTACAAAGCTGAAAAGGCCAGTACTCATGTCCCGTTTGTCCCATCGCCCGATGGCAATGAGGGTGCATGGACATGAGGTGGGCTCAGCCTCTGCAGCTCATGATACAAATAAGCAGGGACAAGAGAATCCATTCTGGTGGTGGTGGCCATATTCTATGCCCAGGGAAATGGTGGCTGCAGGGTCCGCATGCAGTGCTACCCTTGATAGGGGTGCAAATTGCCCAGTCCAGCCTTTGGCAGCAGAATCCTTACAAAATCATTTCTGTGATGTGATTGTGGCTGTGGTTCTAGCTGTTTGTCCTGTCCTGTCTCTGTCTGTTTTCCAAGCCTGAAAAGTCTGTGATCCAGTCGATATCCTTTTGATAAATTTCTTTTTTGCTCAAATCAGTTTCCATTGCTTGCAATTAAGAGCGCTGCTATGAGGAGCTCTGCCTCCCTGCACAGAGCTGATTGGACCAGAGATGCCCACTTGACTCAGGATAGGCCAATCAGATTATTTCTCTTCTGACTCAGGTTCTGAGAGCTGTGTTGTCTGCGTGCACATGGGTGAGCCGGAAAGGAGACCTGCAGAGAATGAAACAGACACATAAAGGAAAGGTATGGGGTAGAAGAAGGGAGGGAAGGGTTCCTGACGTTTTTCAGATTCTGGTTCTAGTTCCTCATGAACCTAGACTTTGTGTCCTATCCCTGGGCTCCTTGAGATCCTTCTGCATTGTTAGAATATTAGGTTGCACCATCTGAAATTGTTGTTTTTATAGGTCAAAAAGGTCAAATATCAGCAGTTATACATGCTGATGGTTCAACTTTATAAATCACCTTTTTTATTTTTTAACCTAAGCTAGCTCAAGTAGGTTTTGCCTGCCTTTCTCTTTCTTTCTTTCTTTCTTTCTTTCTTTCTTTCTTTCTTTCTTTCTTTCTTTCTTTCTTTCTTTCTTTCCTTCTTCTCTCTTATAATTTTTATTACAGGGTCTCATTCTGTCACCCAGGCTGAAGTGCAGTGATGTAATCATAACTCATAGCAGCCTTGAACTCCTAGGCTCAAGTGATCCTCCAGCCTCAGCCTCCCTATTAGCTGGGATTACAGGCACGTGCCACCATGCCTGGTTAATTTTTTAAATTTTTTGTAGAGACACAGTCTTGCTATGTTGCTCAGGCTGGTCTTGCACTCTTGGCCTCAAGCAGTCCTCTCACCTCAGCCTCCCAAAGTGCTGGGATTACAGATGTATGTCACCACACCTGGCCTCAAGTGGATTTCGTTTTCTTTTTAATTTTGTAGAGACGGGGTCTCCCTGTGTTGCCCATGCTGGTCTCGAACTTCTGGACTCAAGTGATCCTCCTGTCTCAGCCACCCAATGTGGCTGGCATGAGCCACCATGCCTGGCCTCAAGTGGATTTCTTGACTTGTGACTCAAAGGACCTTGTCTACAACAGTCAGAAATTTCATCAACTGGCCAGGTGCAGTGTCTTATGTCTGTAATCCCAACTCTTTGGGAGGCTGAGGCAGGAGGATCACTTGAGCCCAGGAGTTCACGACCAGCATGGGCAACATAGGGAGACCCTGTCTCTATAAAAAGAAAGAAAGAAAGAAAGAAATCCCATCAACTCAACTCAAAAGTGGGTTGTGGAACAGGCAGAGACACAAAACAGAAGCAGAAAATAAAGGTTTTCCCTGTCTGGCAGATACTGTTCCTAGTGAGGTGGCTGCCCTGCAGAACTTCCCAGCTTGTCCCTGGTCACCATCTCAGAGGTCACTATCCTCCACTAGTTTATGACCCATGGCCATCCAGTGGAACTTCAGCTGTATTCCAGTTGCCTCAAATAACACTGTTCATGTTAACACATAGTTTTGAATAATGCTATTGTTTTTGTTTTCCCCATGTTGTGGTGTTTCCTATTGATGTATACAATTTTATTTTCCTAACCTCACTGTCCAACAAAAGGAGAATGGCTGAGTAAGTTGTGATATGTCTGTACAATGGATTACAATATGGCCATTAAAAGTGATGGTGGGCTAGGCGCAGTGGCTCACACCTGTAATCCCGGCACTTTGGGAGGACAAGGTGGGCGGATCACCTGAGGTCAGGAGTTCGAGACCAGCCTGACCAACATGGTGAAACCCCGTCTTTACTAAAAATACAAAATTAGCCGGGTGTGTTGGCAGGTGCCTGTAATCCCAGCTACTAGGGAGGCTGAGGCAGGAGAATCACTTGAACCCTTGAGGCAGAGGTTGCAGTGAGCCGAGATCATGCCACTGCACTCCAGCCTGGGTAAAAAGAGTGAAACTCTGTCTCAGAGAAAAAAAAAAAAAAGGTGACGGTGGCCAGGCATGGTGGCTCACACTTGTAATCCCAAAACTTTGGGAGACTGAGGCAGAAGGATTGCCTGAGCCCAGGAGGTTGAGGTGGCAATGAGCCATGATTTTGCCACTGTACTCCAGTTTGGGTGACAGAGCAAGACCTTGTCAAAAAAAAAAAAAGAAAAAAAGAAGTAAAGGCATGAGGAATTAGAACTGGGGAAGTGGAGGTGGTGGGAATTTTGTAAGAGACTTGATAAGAAGGTAAAGGTTATTTCAAACCAGCTGCTGTTGTGAGGAATGGGGTGGGATTCATCCAACAAGGAGAGGAAAGAACCAGTGAGTATCCCAAAGCCCTGCTGAGGGAGGGTCATGAACTTGAGGTGGTGTTACCCTCCTCCCCAGTTGCGCCACTTCTTCTGGCTGCAGGTGTAAGTCCTGCAGATGGGAGGTAGAAGGACAAATGCTTTCTTGTGTGTAAGGATGGGGCCTGGGAAGCCAATGTGGCGGAAGGACATTGAGGGTCCTGGCAGAGTAGGGATACATCCATGGGCTGGATAGGAAAGCAGATGAGGCTGAGTAGGGGATGAACTGGGGAAAATTGATGAGCTGCGAAGCTGGAAGCTTCATTCAATGGGGTGAGACAATTTTGTCTTCTGCTGTGTATCTCCATCCCCTAACACATAGCCTTGTGCTAGTAAGTACTTATTGAGTGAATGAAATGATGAATATATGACTTACAGTTCTCATTGTAATTTTTTTTTTTTTTTGAGACCAAGTCTCACTCTGTCACCCAGGCTGGAGTGCAGTGACACAATCTCAGCTCACTGCAACCTTTGCCTCCTGGGCTCAAGTAATTCTCCTGCCTCAGCCTCCTGAGTAGCTGGGATTACAGGCACGTGCCACCATGCCTGGCTAATTTTTGTATTTTTAGTAGAGATGGGGTTTCACCATGTTGGCCAGGTTGGTCTCGAACTCCTGACCTCGGATGATCCACCCACCTCAGCCTCCCAAAATGCTGGGATTACAGGCATGAGCCACCGTGCCTGCCTGGCCCTCATTGTAACTTAACAGACTGGCATTCCACTGCTGGATCAGACAGCCAGCAGGATGCATGGTGGTAGCAAGCACCACTTAGTTCAGAAAAAACTGAATTCCTATCCAAACTTAATCAATGACTGGTTGTGTAACCTTGGACAAGTCACCTAACCTTTCTGAACTTAGACTTTCTTTTCTGTAAGTAGGGATTATTACAGCCCTCTCAGAAGTTTGTTGCATGGATTAACAGAGATGCCATGTGTTGAGTGCTTAGCATGGTTGTCTGGTGCTTTGGGGTCATTCACTAAGTACCAAAGGAGCAATCAGTCTCCAAGACCCTGATTGGTTCTGAAGGCTACATGTAATCAAATTGTTCCTTTTAGTTAGTGGACAAGAGTGCAGGACCTGTAGCCAGACATCCTCCTCCGCTTACCACCTGGACATGTTATTTCTGAGCCTCTGTTTCCTCATCTACATGATGGGGGTAATATCAGGACTGACATACAAGACTGGTTGGGAGGATAGGATGATAATTTATGTAAAGCATTTAGCACAGGACTTGGCGCATTGCAGGTCCATGTTAGATCTTGGCTCTCAGTATTTTCCATCAACTGAGATGCTCCATGGGGGCAGCAAGTTTTGTTGAGGGCAGAACAGGACTTTTGGATGTCAGTTAGAAATGGCATAAGGCATAGAGTGGAGCTGTTAGGCAGGCAGTTGGATATACTAAGTTCAGAGTAGAGATCTGAGATGGAGGAAAAAAATTAGAGTCATCAGCAAAAGATGATATTTAAAGCTATTGGCTGGATGAAATCACCAAGGGAATGAGGGCTCAGAGAAAAGACAAGAAGAAGGGCTGAATGCTAGTACATCTGACACTTGGAGATGAGGGAAATGATTAACACTGCAAAGCTGGGAATTGGACAGAGCATCGTGGAAGCTGCACGGCCAGCCTGCCCCAACAGTTACTTAACACACTCACTTAACACACTCTTATATACTCTGTGCCAGGTGCTGCGAAAAGTACTTTACAAAAATGAACTCATTTATTTATTTTATTTTATCTTATTTATTTATTTATTTTATTATTATTATTATTTTTGGACAGAATCTCTCTCTGTTGCCCAAGCTGCAGTGCAGCGGCATGATCATGGCTCACTGTAGCCTTCCACTCCTACGCTCAAGTGATCTTCCCACCTCAGTCTCCTGACTAGCTGGGACTACAGACACATGCCACCATGCCCAGTTGATTTACTTTATTTTATTTTTTGTAGAGATGGGGTCTCCCTATGTTGCCCAGGCTCATCTCAAACTCCTGGGCTCAAGCAAATCTCCCACCTCAGGCTCCCAAAGAGGAGGGATTACAGGCATGAGCCTCTGTGCCTGGCCTATTTATTTATTTTAGAGTCAAGTCTTGCTCTGTCACCCAGGAGGTAGTGCAGTGGCACAAACATAGCTCACTGCAGCCTTGAACTCCTGGGCTCAAACGATCCTTCTTTTAGCCCCTCGAGTAGCAGGGGGACTACGGACACAGGCCACCATGCCTAGCTTAGGTTTTCTGTTTGTTTTTTTTAGGGACAAGTTCTTGCTGTGTTGCCCAGGCTGGTCTCCAATTCCTGGCCTCTGGCCTCCTGAGTCACTGAGACTACAGGTGGCAGCCACCACCCCTGGCTGAACTCACTTAACATTAGTAACATCCCCTTCAGATAGGCACCATTATTATCCAGATTTTGCAGATGAGAAAACTGAGACACAAAAAAATAAATAAGGTGCCCAAGGCCACAGAACCAGTAAGTGACAGAGCTGGGATTCAAACCTAGGCAGCCTGTGCCTAGAGTCTCTGTCTCTTTCGTGTCTCATTGTGGATAAACAAAGCGCCAACTGGATTTTCTTATCTTAGTCTTTGACTTTTTTTTTTTTTTTTTGAGATGGAGTCTCACTCTGTCTCCTAGGCTGGAGTGCAAAGGCGCGATCTCAGCTCACTGCAACCTCTGCCTCCCGAGTACAAGCAGTTCTCCTGCCTCAGCCTCCTGAGTAGCTGGGATTACAGGCACCCGCCACCATGCCTGGCTAATTTTTGTATTTTTAGTAGAGACGGGGTTTCGCCATGTTGGTTAGGGTGGTCTAGAACTCTTGACTTCAGGTGATCCTCCCACCTCAGCCTCCCAAAGTGTTGGGATTACGGGCATGAGCCACTGCGCCTGGCCTTTTTTTTTTTTTTATGAGTTGGGGTCTCATTCTGTCACCCAGGCTGGATTGTAGTGGCACAATCATAGCTCACTGTAGCCTCAAACTCCTGGACTCAAGTGATCCTCCCACCTCAGCCTCCTCAGTAGCTAGGACTACAGGCGCAAGCCACCATGCCTAGCTAATTGTTTTTTAATTTTTTTAGAGCCAGGGTCTTACTATGTAGGCCACACTGATCTCAAACTCCTGGTCTTTGATTCTTGAGAGTAAAACTAGAAGTATCATCATGGGAAAATATTGTTCTCAGAGGCTCCAGTTAGCTCTGACATTCTAGGGATCGATGCCAACTAGTATTTCAGATTTTAGTGGAGGAAAGAGGAAGGGGAGTTTAATCAAGGAATTGATAACTCTGATAGTTCACTTACTCTATGCAAGACCTGTAAGGTCCTGGGGATGGAGAGAATAGGAGGGTGCCCAGGGCTCCTCCTCACCCATGGACTCAAGAACCTGTATTCCCACCCCCTTCTCCAGGCATTACTCTGAGAATAATGGTAGCTGGCTGAGGCAGGGGCCAGAGTTCAGGTGGAAAGCTGGGGTGGCCCAGGGGAATTAGCCTTGGGCTCTTCTTTATCTCTATTGGGGTATAGTTGTTCTATTGGTTCTATTGCCTCATAAAACTTCACTGTGATATGGAGGCAGTTTGAGTTCATTCACCCCTCCGGGGAGGTTCTCAATGAGGGTCTGAACAAATAGGTAAACCCAGGAGAAGAGGGGAAGAGGCGGGCATGGGTGGATGGAAGGTGGAGGGTCAGATGTACACTTAGACTCTAGGGAAGGGGTGGGAGCATGGCTGAGTCAGTCAGCTGAGTGCCAATGTCATCCTTTCCCATAGCCCCACCACTCCCATCCTGCCTTGGACACTGACCTTGGAAGAGTAGCAACTAAGGAAAAAAACAGCTCTGACCGTGCAGAAGGAAATCAATGGGAAAGGGAGTTAAGCGGGGGCCTGGAGAAGCCACTTGGTCCTTCTTGCCCACATCCCCTGGCCTAGAGCTTCTCAAGGCTGCTGAGCAGTACAATCACTGGGGAGTTTGTCAAAATGCAGATTCTAGGGCCCCACCCCAGACCTACCAAACCAGAATTTTGGGGGGTCAGGTCACAGGGATTTCTATTTTTCACAAGCCCTCCCTTCCTACATCCCCAGTAGCGTATGAACACAGCCTTACAGCCTATTCCACATAGATCTGAACAAATAAAGTGAAATCAACACTATCCCAGTACCCACCAGGAATACATACAGAAGGAAAAATGAAATGCAGCTTGAGGCCTGGAAGGGATCACAATGTAGTTGGGAGATAAAAGACTCACTTTGTGAAGGGTTAAATTAATGCTGCAATATATAAACAGTAGTTCAAAATAGGCAGCTAGGCTGGACGAATTGCCAGTGAGTGAGAATAACAGTAGATATCCTTCAACAATCACCTGTGAAATGCTAGATCCTGTACTAAGCACTTTTGCTATGTACTTTCATTTAATCTCATTAAAACTCTGGAAGATCGGTATTTTTTTCCCCATATAATAATGAATGAGGCCAGGTGATGGCTCACACCTGTAATCCCAGGACTTTGGGAGGCCAAGGCAGAAGGATCGCTTGAGTCCAGGAGTTTGTGACAAGCCTGGGTAACAAGTGAGGCCTCGTCTCTACTAAAAGTTAAAAAATTAGCCGTGCGTGGTGGAGCATGCCTGAGGTCCCTGCCACTTGGGAGGCTGAGGCAGGAAGATCTCTTGAGCCTGTGAGGCTGAGGCTGATTGTGCCACTGCACTCCACCCTGGGTGACAGAGTGAGACCCTGCCTAATAATAATAATAATTATTATTAATAATAAATAAGGCTTTGCCTTATTTGTTAATTCTTCTCATATTAGCCTTCCCTCATACTCAGGAAGTGGTCGGGTAATGTTTCTGTGTTCCAAAAATATCCTTATGTTACAGTCTTTATTTCTTTGATCACATCATGTTGTAACTGCCTGTTTATGGGACTGTGTCTCCTACAAGATTTGAGGACAGACCGGGCGCCGTGGCTCACGCCTGTAATCCCAGCAGTTTGGGAGGCTGAGGTGGGTGGATCATTTGAGATCAGGAGTTCAAGACCAGCCTGGCCAACATGGTGAAACCCCGTCTCTACTAAAAATACAAAAATTAGCCGGGCGTGGTCTATGGGGGCCTGTAATCCCAGCTACTTGGGAGGCTAAGGCAGGAGAGTTGCTTGAACCCTGGAGGCGGAGGTTGCAGTGAGCCGAGATTGTACCACTGCATTCCAGCCTGGGTGACAGAGTGAGACTTTCTCTCAAAAAAAAAAAAAAAAAAAAGACTTGAGACTTGAGGACAGGTACTTGGTATTTCCAGAACCCAGTGAACTAGAGATGCTCAGGTGATGTTTGTTGAATGAATCAATGGTGTGTCTGAAGTCTCAGAGCTAAGACATGAGAAGGCTGAGTGACTCTAAAGCCCAGGTTCCCCCACTGAGTCATTACAAAGAGAAGGTACAGGCTCTGGGGATTTTTGCAAGGGACAATCTCTACAGGTTGGACTAATCAAAAAAGCCTGATTGGAGGAGGCGGGGGTGAAGGACAATTAGAATTCAGAAAGACTGATGAAAGGTGAGCAGTCATTCCAGGCAGGCCAAGGCAGGAAGGAGGGGTTTTACAAGGTACGAACTTCCTCCAAGACGAGAGACCCCAGAAGACTCCAGGAGACTGTGCCTCACCCCCTAAACCTTTCTAGCTCACTCACTGGCTGTCACCTTCTGGCTGACTTGCATCTCCATTACCGTGGTAAAATTATTTCCCCCAAGGTTTTCAGGGAGATGGTGAATTTTTCATTGTTTCTCATGCCTAGAGCATGGCGACAAAACATACTCTATTAGTGGATTTGTCCATTTGGCAAGTCCCTTTGAATAATGGATGGAGTTTTTTTTCAGTTTCCATGAAGAAATAAGACTCATTTATGTCCATGATGTATATCTATGTATATAGCTATGTGAAAAAGAGCAAGACAAAACAGTGTCTCCGAATTTCATTTTGGTTAAAACCAGTAGGAAAAAAGGATATGCACAAATATGTTTGTGTCCATGTGGAAAACATCTAGAAGTTTATCTACTGAATTTAACAGCAGCTGGCTCTGGAAAATGAGATGTAGTGGGATCTGCGGTTTTAACCTTTACAAAGTCTTAAGCTTTTGTCTTTTTAAACAATGAGTATGCATTAATTTTACAATTGAAAAATAAGATTGTTTGGAAGGATTATAGGTAGCTTCAAATTTATTTGTGTTTTGTTCTTTCCAAATTTTTTCTTTTCTTTTTTTTTTTTTTTTTAGACAGGGTCTTTCTCTGTCACCCAGGCTGAATGCAGTATTGCAATCATAGCTCACTGAAGCCTCAGTCTCCCAGGTGTAAGTGATCCTCTTGCCTCTGCCTCCAAAGTAGCTGGTACCATAGGCACATGCCACTACACCTGCTAATTTTTAAATTTTTAGTAGAGATGAGGTCTCTATATTGCCCCGGCTGGTCTCTTCCTACATTTTCTTTTCTTCTTCTTCTCTTTCTTTTCTTTTGAGATGGAGTCTTGCTCTGTTGCCCAGGCTGGAGTGCAGTGGTACCATCTCAGCTCACTGCAACCTCCGCCTCCCAGGTTCAAGTGATTCACCTGCCTCAGCCTCCCAAGCAGCTGGGACTACAGGTGCCCACCACCACACCCGGCTAATTTTTGTATTTTTACTAGAGATGGGGTTCCGCCATGTTGGCCAGGCTGGTCTCAAACTCTTGACCTCAGGTGATCCACCCACCTCAGCCTCCCAAAGTGTTGGGATTACAGGCATGAGCCACCATGCCCGGCCACAGATTTTCTACTATGAAGATATGTTACTTTTATAATCAGAAAATAAACCCCCTTTTTATTATAAAAGTTGTTAAAAAGAAAAGAAAAATTCTCAAGATGGCCCAATTTGTTATGTTGAGGGGCAGGAAAGTACCAAAGATGTTTGAAACTCTGAGTCCCAGTTAAGCTGGGTGTAAAGTAATTCAATCCCAATTTGACAAAACATTGTATGAGTTGTAAGAATGTTCTAGACCCCTTAAGTTTGTAGTCCCATCCTGGGGCTTTAGCTCAAGGAAATATAGGCATACCTTGTTTTATTGCACTTCACTTGACTGTAGTTCATAGATACCGTATTTTATTTTTATTTTTTAGGTTTTTTAGAGATGGGATCTGGCTCTGTTGCCCAGGATGGAGTGCAGTGGCATGATCATAGCTTACTTCAGTCTTGAACTCTAGGCTCAGGTGACCTTCCAGCCTCAGTGTCCCTGAGAAACTGTGTTTTTCACACATCAAATGTTTGTGGCAACCCCATGTGGAACAAATCTGTCAGCACCATTTTTCACTTTGTCTCTGGGCCACATTTTGGTAATTCTCACAGTATTCAAGCTTTGTTATTATTTTTATATGTGTTCTGGTGATCAGCAATCTTTGATGTTACCATTGTAATTGTTTTGGGGTACCATAAATTCCACTCATATAAGAGTGAATTTTTGCCCGCCCTTCCTTCCTTCCTTCCTTCCTTCCTTCTTTCCCTCCCTCCCTCCCTCCCTCTCTCCTTCCTTCCTTCCTTCCTTCCTTCTTTCCTTTCTTACTTCTTCCTTTTTTTTTGACAAATTCTCGCTCTGTTGCCTAGGCTGGAGTGCAGTGGCACAATCTTGACTCATGCAGCCTCTGCCTCCTGGGCTCAAGCGATCCTTCCGTCTCAGCCTCTCAAGTAGCTGGGACTACAGGCACACGCCACCACACTTGGCTAATTTAAACATTTTTTTATAGAGATGATTTTTTGTCTCACTATATTGCCAGGCTGGTCTGGAACTCCTGGGCCCAAGCGATCTTTCCGCCTCGGCCTCCTATAGTGCTGGGATTACAGGCGTGAGCTGCTGTGCCCTGCCAAAATAGTGAACTTCCATCCATTCCCCATCTCTCTTTCCCTCCTCAGGCCTTCTTATTCCCTGAGACACAATATCGAAATTAGGCCAATTAGGCTGGGCACGATGCTTTATGCCTGTAATCCCAGCACTTTGGGAGGCCAAGGTGGGAGGATCGCATGAGCCCAGGAGTTTGAGACCAGCCTAGGCAACAAAGTGAGATCCCATCTCTACAAAAAAAAAAAAAAAATTGGCCGGGCGCAGTGGCTCGCGCCTGTAATCCCAGCACTTTGGGAGGCCGAGGCGGGCAGATCACGAGGTCAGAAGATCGAGACCATCCTGGCTAACACGGTGAAACCCTGTCTCTATTAAAAATACAAAAAATTAGCTGGGCGTGGTGGTGGGCGCCTGTAGTCCCAGCTACTCAGGAGGCTGAGGCAGGAGAATGGCGTGAACCCAGGAGGTGAAGCTTGCAGTGAACTGAGATAGCGCCACTGCACTCCGGCCTGGGCGAAAGGGCGAGACTCCATCTCAAAAATAAATAAATAAATAAAAATTAAAAAATAAAAAAATTAGCTGGGCATGATGGTGAATGCCTGTGATCCTAGCTACTCGTGAGCCTGAGGTGGAGGATTGATTGAGCCTGGGAGGTTGAGGCTGCAGTGAGGCGTTTTTGTGCCACTGCACTCCAGCCTGGGTGACAGAGGGAGACCCTGTCTCAACAACAAAAGAAATTAGGCCAATTAATAAGCTGAAAATGTCTTCTAGGTGTTCAAGTGAAAGGAGGAGTAGCACATCTTTCAGTTTAAATCAAACATTAGAAATGATTAAGCTTAATGGGGGAATAATGAGATAGACCAAAAGCTGGGTCTCTTGAGTCAAATAGTTAGCTGAGTGGTGAATGCAAAGGAAAAGTTTTTGGAGGAAATTAAAATGCCACTCAAGGCTGGGTGTGGTGGCTCACACCTATAATCCCAGGACTATGAAAGGCTAAGGTGGGAGAATCACTTGAGCCCAGGAGTTTGAGACCAGCCTGGGCAACATAGTGAGACTGTCTCTACAATAATTTTTTCCTTTTTTTTTCTTTTTTTTTTTGAGACAGTCTTACTCTGTCCCCCAGGCTGGCGTGCAGTGGCATGATCTCGGCTCACTGCAGGCTTAGCCTCCCAGGCTCAAGTGATTCTCGTGGCTCAGCCTCCCAAGTAGCTGGAAATACAGGCACGTGCCGTCATGCCTAGCTAATTTTCTGTGTTGTTAGTAGAGACAGGGTTTTTGACATGTTGGCCAGGCTGGTCTCGAACTCCTGGCCTCAAGTGATCCGCCGGCCTTGGCTTTGCAAAGTGCTGGGATTACAGGTATGAACTACCATGTCTGGTCAAACCTGATAGCAGTTTTTTTTTTTTGTTTTTTTTGAGATGAAGTCTCACACTATTGCCCGGGCTAGAGTGTGGTGGTGTGATGTCGGCTCACTGCAACATCCACCACCTGGGTTCAGGCAATTATCCTGCCTCAGCCTCCCAAGCAGCTGGGACTACAGGTGCCCACCACCACACCTGGCTAATTTTTGTATTTTTACTAGAGATGGGGTTCTGCCATGTTGGCCAGGCTGGTCTCGAACTCCTAGCCTTGTGATCCTCCCACCTTGGCCTCCCAAAGTACTGGGATTACAGGCATGAGTCACTGGGCCCAGCCCCACCTTTTTTTTTTTTTTTTTTTTGAGGCAGAGTCTCGCTCTGTCCCCCAGGCTGGAGTGCAGTGGTGTGATCTCGGCTCACTGCAACTTTTGCCTCCTGGGTTCAAGCGATTCTCCTGCCTCAGCCTCCCAAGTAGCTGGGATTACAGGCACCTGCTACCATGTCCAGCTAATTTTTTTGTATTTTTAGTAGAGATGGGTTTCACTGTTTAGCCAGGATGGTCTCGATCTCCTGATTTTGTGATCCACCTGCCTCAGCCTCCCAAAGTGCTGGGATTACAGGTATGAGCCACTGCACCTGGCCCAACCTGACAGCTTTTCAGAAACATGGGACCGTGTTTACAAACTAATGCTGGGTGAAGAAAAATAGAATACAATATTGTATTTATGTGGCGTGTGGTTATTGTATATCTGTTACAGTTGATAAGAAAGAAAACAATAATGAGGGAGAAGGAGAGAAATAGCAAAAGAGGGAGGAAGAGAGTAGAAAATATAAGGCCGGGCAGGGTGGCTCACACCTGTAATACCCGCATTTTGGGAGGCCGAGGCGAGTGGATCACTTGAGGTCAGGAGTTCGAAACCAGCCTGGCCAACATGGCAAACTCCTGTCTCTATTAAAAACAGAAAAATTAGCCGGGCGTGGTGGTAGGCGCCTATAATCCCAGCTACTTGGGAGGCTGAGGCAGGAGAATGGCTTGAACCTGGGAGGCAGAGGGTGCAGTGAGTCGAGATGTGACACTGCACTCCAGCCTGGGCGATAGAGTGAAACTGTCTCAAATAAATAAATTAATTAATTAATAAAAGCAGTTTGCTTGTATTAGGGTTATGGGATTATAGGGATTTTTTGAAAAAAAGACGTTGAAAGCTATTTTAAGAGTAAATATAGGCCGAGCGCGGTGGCTCACGCCTGTAGTTCCAGCACTTTGGGAGGCCGAGGCGGGCAGATCACGAGGTCAGGAGTTCGAGACCAGCCTCGCCAACATGGAAAACCCCGTCTCTACTAAAGATACAGAAAATTAGCCGGGCATGATGGTGGGCACCTGTAATCCCAGCTACTCAGGAGGCTGAGGCAGGAGAATTGCTTGAACCTGGGAGGCGGAGGTTGCAGTGAGCCGAGATCGCCCCATGAGACTGTCTCAAAAAAAAAAAAAAAGTAAATATAAACTATACACTGGGGCTCTGTGACTTTGGCAAGGTATACTTTGTCAAGGTAACACTTCACTGAACCTCTGTTTGCTCCTAGGTGAAATGGGGGCAATAACAGTACATACTTCATAGAGCTGTTCTGAAGATTAAATAAGATCATTCATGTAAAACACTCAGCTGAGTGCCAAATGCATAATAAAGATCCAATAAATGTGAGCTATTCTTGCCATTGTTATTATTATCAGTCATTGTTGTATCATCATTATTATTATCAGTGAGGGGAAATTCTCACATGCTCTAGGCGGGAGTGTAAACTGCTATAGCTTTTCTGAAAGGCAGTAAAGTAATAGATATACAAATTTTAAATACTACAATCCTTTGTTCCAGGAATTTCATGTCTGGGAATTCATCCTTAGCAAGCAATCTTAGCAAATAATCTGACATGTACAGTGAAAGGTGTGAACAAGAATATTTTTATCACTGTTATTTATAATAGGAAAAGATTGGAAACAACCTAAAAATCCAGCAATAGCTAAGTAAGTTATGAGACATACATATGATAGAATACTCTGGAGCTGTTGAACAGGATATGATATACCCTTTTGTAATGATATAGACATGTGCCCATATCATTACATAAACAGGAGGTAACAGAGCAATATAGTCTCATTTATACCAGAAAATAAATATGTGCATTTAAAAGCCTAAAAGGGCTGGGTGTGGTGGCTCAGGCCTCTAATCTCAGCACTTTGGGAGGCCGAGGTGGGCGGATCATCCAAGTTCAGGAGTTTGAGACCAGCCTGGCCAACACAGTGAAACCTTGTCTCTACTAAAAATTAGCTAAGTGTGGTGGCAAGCACCTGTAGTCCCAGCTACTAGGGAGGCTGAGGCAGGAGAATCGCTTAAACCTGGGAGCGGAGGTTGCCGTGAGCCAAGATTGTACCACTGCACTTTGGCCTCGGCAACGGAGGGAGACTTCACTTCAAAAAAAAAAAAAAAAAAGGCATGGTGGCATGTACTTGTAGTCCCAGCTGTTTGGGAGGCTGATTTGGGAGGATCACTGGAGCCTGGGAGGTTAAGGCTGCAGTGAGCTGAGATCACACACGGCACTCCAGCCTGGGCGACAAAGAGAGACCCTGTCTCAGGAAAAAAGAAAAGGAAAGAAAAAGCCTAGAAGGAGAGGTACCAAACTACTATCACAGGCCACCTCTGACAGGACTCTCACTTGCTCTGAATTATTTGAAATTTTTATATATATAACTTAAAAAAATCCATGACGTGTGTGTGTGTGTGTGTGTGTGTGTGTGTGTCTGTCTGTCTGTCTGTCTGCCTGTTAGACTAAAGTAAGAGTCCTGGCTGGAGTTAGAAATTCCAAGATTGGAGATTAAAGCCTGGTAAAATGTGGCAGAGTTGGTTTTTCATCAGTTCAGAGACCGCTTAGTCCCAGGTCTGGGAGTCAGCAACTGTATTGAATTCAGCTTTAGATGGAAATGAAGGAGATTCATGGAGAGCAAGCCTGGGAAAAGGAAATAGACGTGCAGAGGTTTCCTGAATTAATAATAATAATTGGCCGGGTGTGGTGGCTCACGTCTGTAATCCCAGCACTTTGGGAGGCTGAGGCAGGCGGATCACTTGAGGTTGGGAGTTTGAGACCAGCCTAAGCAACGTGGAGAAACCCCGTCTCTACTAAAAATACAAAATTAGCTGGGTGTGGTGGTGCATGCCTGTAATCCCAGCTACTCTGGAGGCTGAGGCAGGAGAATTGCTTGAACCCGGGAGGCGGAGGTTGCAGTGAGCCGAGATCACACCTTTGCACTCCAGCCTGGGAAACAAGAGTGAAACTCCATCTCAAAAATAAATAAATACATAATAATCACGAGAGCCTTTGCAGAGTGTTTTATACTTTGCACTGTCAATTTTGCCCAATGCAGAGGACATTCTCACAAGATGGGTAGGCCGGAGTGATCACGGAGGAGATAGAGTCCCTGCATGTGAAGTGGTACTGAGAGACACAGCAGGAAATGGAAGTCAAGATTCTGAACCCCTAACCCCTTCCAGCTCTGAAGCTTGAACAAAATAAAACTCATCCAGCATCCAGCCCAGTGCCTGGTGCACAGGCATCTTCAAGGCACCTGGCACCTTCTCCTCCAGGTGCGCTGCCTAGGCCCATGGGTGGCTGCTTTACTCTGGTTGCATTATCTGCACCCTTAGGAGCATCTGTTCTCCTTCAAGTTTGCTTTGCTCCAGCTAAACTCATTGTTTCCTTTCATCATGGCCCTTTCCATCTTCGTCACACTGTTCCCTCGTCCTAGAATATCGTCTCCCTTTGTTCTCAGCCTCCTCCAACCTTCCTGCTTCTCTACACATCCAAGTCCTATTGGTCCTCCAAGACGGGTGCCAAATGCCACCTCCTCCCCAAACATGCACTAGCCCTGCGCTGGACACCATTGCTCCTTCCCCATGCTCCAGGTCAGCCATCTGCTTTTCTCCTGGGGCACATCACATCCTGCTTACACAAGAACTCTCTGCAGGTGTGTGCTTGTCTCTGGACTAAACCAAAGGCTCTTTTGGGAAAGGTGTGTGTCTCGTTCATCTGTGTTTCTTCAGTGCTGGCCCTGCATGCAGCAAGTGCTCAAGTGCTTTGGCTGCAGAGTTAGAGGGTGCAAGAGTGATGAGAGATGGTGAGAGCATGGGTTGAGGGCAGGGCATGCGGGAACGGAGGGAGAGATGGGCAGAGAGGTGATGACTCCTCAAACCCGTTGCCATCCTGACCCTGCTGGCAATGGGGTGACAGCACTTCCCCAGGGTGAATAACCTCGGGGCTCTGTCCCTCCAGGTCCTGCCCACATCATAAAACAGCAAGTGCTTCCTCTTCAGGACAGGAGGGAGAAGAAGTGGGGTGACTTAGGGGCTGAGCCTCAGCAACTGGGAGAGTTTATAAGCTGGGATAGCAGACCCCTCAGCACCACCCATTCTCCTCATCCCTCTGCTCTCTGGCCTCCAGCCTCCCAGCAGCATGGCTTTCACCGGCAAGTTCGAGATGGAGAGTGAGAAGAATTATGATGAGTTCATGAAGCTCCTTGGTGAGTGAGCTCCTGGGTATCCCTTCCTCGGGGTTGGTTTGTCACAGCCAGCTCTGGGCCAGGAACCCTAAAGTAGAATGGGACAGGATTTCATCCATTCATTCACTCACTCACTCATTCATTCATTCACACATTTGTTGAGCAACTGCTTTCTCCCAGGCTCTGAGGATAATAAGAACTAAGACACTCTTTAACTTTTTTATTTTATTTTATTTTATTTTATTTTATTTTATTTTATTTTATTTTATTTTATTTTATTTTATTTTTGAGACAGAGTCTCACTCTGTCTCCCAGGCTGGAGTGCAGTGGCACCATCTCGGCTCACTGCAACCTTCGGCTCCCACGTTCAAGTAATTCTCCTGCCTCAGCCTCCCGAGTAGCTGGGATTACAGGTGTGCACCACCACGCCCGGCTAATTTTTTTTTTTTGTATTTTTTTAGTAAAGATGGGGTTTTACCATGTTGGCCAGGCTGGTCTTGAACTCCTGACCTCAGGTGATCCACCCAGCTCGACCTCCCAAAGTGCTGGAATTACAGGCGTGAGCTGCCGCACCCAGCATAGACACTCTTTGACTTTAAAACACACATAGAATATATTAGTATTTCCACTTTACTGATGGAAAACTTGAGGCCCAGGGAATTAACTAGTCCAAAGTCACACAGCTAGTAATTGGTAAAGTGGAGACTTGGTTGGTGAAGTAGAGATTTGATGTTTATTTAGTCAAACATGTATTTATTTTTATTCATTTATTTTTGAGACGGAGTCTTGCTCTGTCTCCCAGGCTGAAGTGTAGTGGCATGATCTCAGCTCACTGCAACCTCCGTCTCCTGGGTTCCAGCAATTCTCCTACCTCAGCCTCTCAAGTAGCTGGAACTACAGGCATGTGCCACCACATCTGGCTAATTTTTTGTATTTTCAGTAGAGACGGGGTATCACCCTGTTGCTCAGGCTGGTCTTGAACTCCTAACCTCAGGTGATCCACCCACCTCGGCCTCCCAAAATGCTGGGATTACAGACGTGAGCCACCGAGCCCAGCCCATCAAACATTTATTGAACACCAGCTATATGCAAGGCTATCTCAGTGTTACCAATGGGGACTCAGCGTGACTTGCCCAAGTCAGTGGCAGAGGCCATTGGCACCCAGGACCCTGTGATGAGTGGTGTCACCACATCCTGCCTGGGAGAGGAAACCAAAGGGTTAGCATGGAGACCAGGTTTGACAAGTCACTTCTTCACACAGTCATTCAGCAAACACAGGCCTCTTACTGTGCCAAACACTGTGGGCAGAGAGACCAGTGATTTCATTCCTTCTCTCACTGCTTGACTTGTAACACCAGTCTGTTGTGAGGAACCAATGAGACAGTGGATCTGACAATCTTGTGGAAATCTCAGTATCTCACTATCTAAAAAGTCTCAGGCAGTGTAACTCTCAAGGTTCAGAGGACAGCTCAAGGGGACCCGTGCCCTCCCTCTTGGTGGCCACTTCTTGCCTGCCAGCTGGCTCAGAGCAACCCTGAGACCAGGGCCCTTGTGCCTTGGGGCCTTGAGGAGTCGAGAGTCCCTCTGAGTCATGTATTGGCAGTGGCCCTGAAGGAGCAATGACTTGGCTTCACCTATAACAGCCTCGTGTTGTGGGATGGGAAGTGAGCCCACTTTGGTTCTAGACCTGATTCGGTCATTAAATTTCAGTGAAATACTGGGAAGTCCCTTTCCCATTCTGGGTGCTCACTTCCTTATCTGTAAAATAAAAGTATTAGAAGACACAGTCTTTCTCTGGCAGGGAGGAGGGGACGGAGTCCTGCTCTGTAGCCCAGGCGGAACTGCAGTGGCGCGATCCCAGCTCACTGCAACCTCTGCCTCCAGGGTTTAAGTGATTCTTTTGCCTCAGCCTCTCAAGTAGCCAGTATTACAGGCACCTGCCACCATGCCCAGATAATTTTTTTGTATTTTTAGTAGAGACAGGGTTTTACCATGTTAGCCAGGCTGGTCTCGAACTTCTGACCTTAAACGATCTGCCTGCCTCGGGCCCTCAAGGAGCTGGGATTACAGGCATGAACCACCATACCTGGTCTTGAAAGTCTCATTCATTCCAGAACTTCGCGAGCTTGGCAAGATTCAGTTATATTTATATTACTATCAGAAGCTTGGTTATTATTGATGAGCACCCACCATGTGCCAGGAGCTTCACAAACACACTCACATTGAATATAATTCTTGTAACAGCCTTTTGGGATGGGCCTTATTATCTCCATATTGTGGATGAATAGACTGAAGCTCAGAGAGATAGGGACTTTCCCCAGCCACATGGCTCACAGCACGTATTAGCTGTCTCAGGCACTGTGCTCTTAACCTGCAGGCTAGCCTATCATGCACAAGGGGGTAGGGCGGTGGGGGTGGGCAGGAAAGCTCTTTTCCCAAACCACAGGGTTAAAAGCAGCTCTTATATGGCTACTCTGCTTGTCCCCGGGTCCAGGGATCTCCAGCGATGTAATCGAAAAGGCCCGCAACTTCAAGATCGTCACGGAGGTGCAGCAGGATGGGCAGGACTTCACTTGGTCCCAGCACTACTCCGGGGGCCACACCATGACCAACAAGTTCACTGTTGGCAAGGAAAGCAACATACAGACAATGGGGGGCAAGACGTTCAAGGTGAGAGGCCACTGGCTGTCCCCCTCCTTCCCCAGGCCTCCATCTGACTTCTCCTTCTCAAACATGGCCTCCCCGCTCCCGAGCTGAGGCTTCTTTCTCCAGTTTGGCCTCCAGCATTAGGAGCTTGAGTTACTTGGCAATTTAATGCTCCTGATTTTTAATGGTCAAACATGGGCACTAAAACAATAAGAAAAATAGCTAATACTTGCTGGACACTTATTATAAGCTAGACACTTGCTGAATAGTTTTTCCATCTTAATGCAGTTAATCCTATGAAATTGCTACAATTACTCTCTCCAGATTGATCGGGGAGGCTAAATCATGAGATTAAAAAGCTTGCTGGCCAGGCACAGTGGCTCATGCCTGTAATCCCAGCACTTTGGGAGGCCGAGGTGGGTGGATGGCTCGAGGCCAGGATTTTGAGATTAGCCTGGCCAACATGGTGAAACCCCATCTCTACCAAAAATACAAAAATTAGCTGGACATAGTGGTGCATGCCTGTAATCCTGGCTACTCAGGAGGCTGAGGCAGGGGAATCGCTTGAATCCAGTAGGCAGAGGTTGCAGTGAGCTGAGATCATGCCACTGCACTCCAGCCTGGGCGACAGAGTGAGAGTCCATCACACAAAAAAATAAATAAATAAAAATAAAAAAAACCTTGCCTTAGTTACACAACAGGGGCAGGCCTTTACACCAGGCACTAGAGAGCATAAGTGTTTTTTTTTTTTTATTCGAGACTCACTCTGTCACCCAGGCTGGAGTGCAGTGTCATGATCTCGGCTCACTGCAACCTCTGCCTCCTGGGTTCAAGCGATTCTCCTGCCTCAGCCTCCTGAGTAGCTGGGATTACAGGCGTGCACCACCACATCTGGCTAATTTTTGTATTTTTAGCTGAGATAGGGTTTCATCATGTTGACCAGGCTGGTCTCAAACTCCTGACCTTGTGATCCGCCCACCTTGACCTCCTAAAGTGCTGGGATTACAGGTGTGAGCCACCGTGCCCAGCCATAAGTGCTTTTTTTATGCTGCCTCTCTGTGTAGCACAGAGATAAAGACACTGGGCCCTGGAGTGAGCCTTGGCTGGGTTTGAAACCATGATTTCCCACCAGCAATTGTAGGGCCTTGGGCAAGTCATTTCACTCCCCTGAGCCTCATATCTCTAGTATGCAAAAGGAGACTACATACAATCTCTAGCTCCAAGAGCTGTGGTGAAGATTAAACAAGACAGTGCATGAAAGCACCTGGCATGTTGCCTGCCACATAATGAATGCTAGAAGAAAAAATGCAGTCATTTGCTTTTGTTTTAGAAGTGAAGAAACTGGCCGGGCACGGTGGCTCACGCCTGTAATCCCAGCGCTTTGGGAAGCCAAGGCAGGCAGATCACGAGGTTAGGAGTTCAGGACCAGACTGGCCAATATGGTGAAACCCTGTCTCTACAAAAAATACAAAAATTAGCCAGGCGTGGTGGCCGGTGCCTGTAATCCCAGCTACTCGGGAGGCTGAGGCAGGAGATCGCTTGAACCCTGGAGGCGGAGGTTACAGTGAGCCGAGATCACACCATTGCACTCCAGCCTGGGCAACAGGGCGAGGCTCCGTCTCAAAAAAAGAAAAAAAAAAAAAGAAGTGAAGAAACCGAGGCTCAGGGAGACCAAGTAATGTGTCTAGGGCCTTGCAGCTAGAACATGGTGGGACCAGGGATTTGAACCCCAGCTATTTGCCTCTATCATTAGGCCTCTGGTGACCCATGTGGAGTTCTAATAATAGAAAAGGAGTCAGGTTGGCGGCAGCAGGGTAAAGCAAAAAAGGAGAGCAGATAAGCTGTAAGTCTGCCTTTCTTCATGGTCCAGAACACATAGCCCTCCTGTGCAAATAACTCACAATCTTCCTGTGCCCAGCTATCATCACCTCCACTGATAGAAAAATGTAAGTTATCTCACCATAACCTTTGCTTTGTCAGTACTGCACAAAACCCGCTTCAGCACACAGCATAAGCAACAGTCTATAAACTCTCCAGCAAGACTTTGTCTCCTTGCAGTCAGCTCCTCTCTTGCTGTCCTGCCCAGTGCACCCTTGCAACATATTTTCATACTTTCTCTAAGAAATCTGACTTTTTTTTTTTTTTTTTTTTTTACCTACAACTGTCTTGGTAAATTCATTTTTTTTTTTTTTTTTGAGACAGAGTCTTGCTCTGTTGCCCAGGCTGGAGCGCAGTGCCACGATCTCTGCTCACTGCAGCCTCTGCCTCCCGGGTTCAAGTGATTCTCACGCCTCAGCCTCCCAAGTAGCTGGGATTACAGGCATGAGCCACCACACCGGGCTACTTTTTGTATTTTTAGTAGAGACGGGGTTTCACCACGTTGGCCAGGCTGGTCTCGAACTCCTGACCTCAAGTGATCCGCCTGCCTCAGTCTCCCAAAGTGCTGGGATTATAGGCATAAGCCACCGTGCCTGGCCTTGGTAAATTCTTCTTACTGCCCGCGCCACCAGCCCCAGATAGTTGCCAATCACCTGCAACAACCCAGGCTTAATGTTGTGCTTCCATTCCAGGCCACTGTGCAGATGGAGGGCGGGAAGCTGGTGGTGAATTTCCCCAACTATCACCAGACCTCAGAGATCGTGGGTGACAAGCTGGTGGAGGTGAGTGTCATGCTGATTCCTGGGATGATTATTGGATATTTGTCTGCCTCTTGGCCACAGCCCCTCAGAAGTAGGCCTCTACGCAGCTGGCTTTACCAGCACTTCCCTTGTACCAGGCTCTATGCTGAGTGCTGGATGCACATGATGTCATTTGGTCTTCAAAATAACCCTGTTAGGTGGGGATTTTTATCTCCATTTGAGGAGACTGAAGCACAGGGATAAGTGAGGGAGCACACAGATTTGACGACAGAGCTGAGGTTTGATGCTAAGTAGCCTGACTGCAGCACTCACACTCAACCGCTTCTGGGACACGAGACTGGAAGCCCGGAAGATCCTTCCCAGAATATAAATAAAGGAGGTGGTCCAGGTGGGCTCCTCAAAGGACAGCCACCACTCCATTCCTTTTCCATGAGGGACATCAGGCCCCTTCTACCAGATCTTCTGATTTATCAAGAGAAGTTGGAAATTTGCACTTCCGTGTGAAATCTCCACACTATTAAATATTGGCAACTAATTAAAAAAATTCTGTAAATATTGGCAGGTCCCACACACACATCTGGGGACCCACTCCTCCTACACTGGAGGTGGTGCCCTGGGAGGCCCTTCCTCTCACTTCTGTTGCTTTCCCGTGGGTCTCCAAGTTTTCCCCAGGTGGAAGGAATGAACGTGAGGTTAAAAGGGAAAAGAAGGCATTTCCATACTTCATTCCCTCACTGTGAGCCTGTGACCTGGGCCAGAGACCCTCTGGGGTCCCGTGTAGGTCTAGAAAGGGCCCTTCCCTCCTCCCTGAAGCTCTCCAGCAGGGAAGACATGATGAGGGAGGCAGTGTTTGTGTGACCCCTTTGCTTCTCCTTCTTTGATCCTTCTCTCTCTCTCTCTCTCATTCTCGCTTTCTTGTGCCCACATCTCAAGCCCTGTCAAGAGGAAAGGAGCACACTGCCTCTCTCAGACACTGTGGTGTAAATGATTTACACCACAGACACTTATTTCACACAGCTCTGGAAGCAGGAAAGTACAAGATCAGGGTGCCAGCATGGTCAGGGGCTTATGAGGGCCCCCGTCCTGGTTTCTTCACATGGCAGGGAGACGTCATCTCTCTCATGTCTGTTTTTTTTTTTTTTTTCGAAACAGAGTCTTGCTCTGTTGTCCAGGCTGGAGTTCAGTGGCATGATCTTGGCTCACTGCAACCTCCGCCCTCAGGTTCAAGCAATTCTCCTTCCTCAGCCTCCCCAAGTAGCTGGGATTACAGGAGCCCACCATCACATCTGGCTAATTTTTGTATTTTTAGTAGAGACAGGGTTTCACCATGTTGGCCAGGCTGGTCTCGAACTCCTGACCTCAAGTGATCTGCCCACCCTGGTCTCCCAAAGTGCTGGGATTACAGGTGTGAGCCACTGCACCAGGCCTTGTGTCTGTTGTTATGAGGGCACTAATCCTTCATGGGGACTCCACTCTCATAACTTAATTACCCCCTAAAGGTCCTATCTCCAAATACCATCACACTGGGGCTTTGACCTTTATCATATGGGTTTGGTGGGGGGACACACGCGCAGTCCATAAGATGGCCCAAGAGGTTCCGTGCCCTCCCATTATACTTATTTTACAGAGCAGCATTACAAGGCTCAGAGACAGCAAGGGACTTGGCCGTGGCCACACAACTAGTACATGCAGAGGCAGATCTCATCTGCTGACTTCTAGACTAGGCCCCCTGCCTCTTCTGCCCAGGCCCACGGGTCTTTTTATCCCCCTTTAACATTTTTGTTTAAATAATCTAAAAATTATCTGGGTGTGGTGGCTCAAGCTTCTAATCCCAGCACTTTGGGAGGCTGAGGCAAGTGGATCACCTGAGGTCAGAAGTTCAAGACCAGCCCAGCCAACATGGTGAAACCCGGTCTCTACTAAAAATACAAAAAAAAAAAAAAATTAGCCAGGTGTGGTGGTGCACACCTGTAATCCCAGCTACTTAGGAGGCTGAGGCAGGAGAATCGCTTCAATCCAGGAGGCAGAGGTTGCAGTGAGCAAAGAATGAGCCCCCTCCAGCCTGGACAACAAGAGCAAAACTCTGTCTCAAAAAAAATAATAATAATAATCTAAAAACTAATAGATGTACAGTGTTGAAAAACTGTAAAAAGAACAAAAGTGACTATATCCCTCTTCTCCTGGGTGAAAACTGACATTTTGAAGGATCTGATGAAAGGGCTTTTGATGCATTTTTACATGAAATGTCAGTCAGTAACTCCCAGAAGAAGCAAAGCTCCCCAGCCTGTGAGGTGTGCAGGAAGAGCATAGGGCAGGAGAACTGGAAGCAGGTTTGGGCCTGACAAGAGAATTGATCTTCCCAAGCTGAGCGAACCTGCTTGTCAATTCCCAGAGATTCCTCATCATGGAGCCCATGTGGTGTGGGCAGTGACCAGAGTTCAGGGTCATCATGCACACACACACATGACACAGCCAGGAACACACACATGTATGCACATAGACCCAGGCACGTGCACACATAAACAAAGTTGCATGACTAGGCCCCGAGAGGAGCTGTCTTGATTGCAAATCCCCCATCTCTAGAGGCCCAGAATCATCCTGGCACCTCCCCACTTCTCCACCAATAGACAGTGCATTTTGTAAGCATCCCTCCTGCCTTCCGCCACCAGCACCCCTGCCATGTTCTCATCACCTCTCCCCTACACCAAGCCCCAGCCTCCTCTGATTCCACCTCTCCCCCACCTTCCATCCATCCCATATGCAAATCACACATCACCTCCCACTGCTGCCCTTTGTTATGAATCAGGACCAAACTCCTCCGCTTGACCTTCCACGGCCTTACTGCCCAATTCTACAGGTATGCTCTCCCCAGCCCCTCTGGACCAGCTACTGCTCCTGAGCTGGACAGAGCCATTCCTATCTCCCTTTCTGTGCCATGTGCTTCCTCTGCTCTGAATTCCCTTTCTCCTGTTTGCTTTTCCAAATCCAATTCTTCAGGATTCTGTCCAACAGCCAATTCCCCCTCCTGTTATCTAGTCAGTGGCTCCCTGCCTCCTCTGGGCTCTCCCACAGCTCTCTGTTTGCTACCCGCCCTTCTCATGGAAATGCTGCTTTCTTCTGCTGGGTGTCAGAACCAGCTGATGACACGTGCACATCCAATGGCAGCACAGCTCCACAGCATGGAGCCTGGGGCACCGCACACTGTGGGCCTTCAAAGAACAGCATCCCCCCCGCCTGCCTCTCCCACTAAACCTTAGGCTTCTCGAGAGTAGGGACTGTATCTTCCCATCACCGAGCATGTGACAGGTGCTCACAAACACTGCATGGTGCAGCCATGGCGTGTGGCCTTGGAAGGATTACTTGACTTCTCTAAACTTCAATTTTCCCATCTGTACAATGGGAACAACCTCACAGGGCTGTTGGGAGGATTAAATGGAATCATGCAGGGTAACAGCCTGACATGGGTGAATGGAGAGGAAAAGAGGTGCAGGGTTCCACACCCAGAGCCACATCACCCCTCACAGCTGGTTACCATTCATCACAGGGAGTCTTCACACTGACTCCTGGAACAAATTGGGAAACTGAGGCCGAAAGAAGTGGTGCGCCTGACTCTTATCTACTCAAGGCCGGGGTTGGAGACTCATCTTCCTTCAGCGGTGCCTCCTGGCTACCTTGGGGTGGGGCACTGACTCCCTCTGTCCCGGCTGCTTCTTTCAGGTCTCCACCATCGGAGGCGTGACCTATGAGCGCGTGAGCAAGAGACTGGCCTAAGCAGCCAGGCCCGGCCCAGGGAGCTACAAACCCACCAATAAAACTGATATAAGGACAGACGCTGCTCGCTCCAGAACCTCTTTGTTTTTCTTTTCTGGTGTCTTGGGATGGCCTCTGGCTGGGTGAGGGTGGGAAAGCCCCCAAGGGTGGCCACATGGGCAACACATTGCCCCTGAGATCCATGTGGGATTCATGTCATGGCGGAGGAAGACATGAATGTGGATGACTGCAATGCTCCTGCCCCTGGGTGAGGCTGAAGGTGGCGTACAGGAAACATGGTGGGCACACTTCTGTGGCCCCTTCGCCCCACTCTGCCACCCACTACTCTGTGCTGCTTGAAGCCTCCTTTATGGAGACAAAGTCAGCTGGGAAGGGTAACGCATTGATTCTCGGATGGGCCACAGGCCAGGCATATCAGGACTTGGGGGTTGTGGGGTGGGAGCTGTACCTCTAGGAAGGGCCCCGGCTGCTGGGCTCCAAGGCTCAAAGTGGGGATGGACCAGAGCTCACCCAGGGAAGCTGTTTCAGCTTGGCCGGGGCTCTGCTTTTATTCACTGTGGAGTCATCCCTTTGGTCCTCAGTTTACCCACTGAGGGGTACAAAGGGGGTCCAGGAGGACCAATGATGGGCTGAGGGGAATCAGTGGTCTATGAGATGGCAAAGGGGCAATGGGGGTGATAGGAGGGACAGGAGGGACTGGAGTGTCCTGGTTTTGACTCATAGGGCTTGGGCGGGGTGCCTGGGAAGAACTTTGAGAGGCTATGGGCGGCTGGGAAGGGGGGGCGGGGTCACCCAGACATCAGGTGCCTGGTGTCCTGGGTTGAGAAGCATTCTGAGGCAGCATTTGGGTTTGGCAGCTGTCCTGGGACAATCTCTAATTCAGAGTCCTGAAGGGGACTTTTTTCATCCTCCTCTCTCCTTGGAAGTGTTACCACATCTGGGTACCACCTTGACTTCTTTTTTACCCAATATTTTTCTTTTTTTTTGAGACGGAGTTTTGCCCTTGTTGCCCAGGCTGGAGTGCAATGGCACGATCTTGGCTCACTGCAACCTCCACCTCCTGGGCTCAAGCTATTCTCCTGCCTCAGCCTCCCAAGTAGCTGGGATTACAGGCATGTGCCACCACGCCTGGCTAATTTTGTATTTTTAGTAGAGACAGGGTTTCTCCATGTTGGTCAGGCTGGTCTCAAACTTCTGACCTCAGGTGATCCATCTGCCTCGGCCTCCCAAAGTGTTAGGATTACAGACGTGAGCCACCGCGCCTGGCTACCCTATATTTTTCTATAAGACAATTCACTTATTTTTACTATAATGGAAAATCACGTCACTTCCATACATAGACAACCACTGTTATTTGCCATAAGTAAACTAAAACTATTTAAAAAGTCATAGCTGAACAATGTTGACTTCTAGCTAGATTCTGTTGCCTGCCCAAGGCCCTGGGCCTAAGGCCTCCCTTTGTGAAAAGGGTGAGAGAGGTAAAAGACATAGTGGTATCAAATGGGAAAATTTATCCTTAACTCATCAAAATTCCTGAGAGACTACTGAAAGGAGAATGTACTCACTATAAGAACTGAATTACCGAAGGCAGGTAGTACTTACATTTTTTCGAATGTACAAGTCCCATACGTGAGACATAAGGAATAAGGTTTGTCCAGAGCTTTGCACAGGGTATGGCACACAGAAGGAGCCTAATACGTGCTACCTGACCTAAGGTCCTTCCAGCTCTGCGCAATTTGCAGCCTTTCACTCTTGTGGGCCAGCCTCAACCTGGACAGATGTCACAGCTCAGGTCACAGGCAGCCTTCTCTTGCCTCCTCCCACATTCTGCTCTGAAACCTTGTTTATCTTTCTAAGAACAATACACAGCCTCTCCCCACCCACCCATCCAGCAAGGACCCATGAATTCCACCGTTTTGCCAAGACTTATTACTAATTAAGTGAACCAGGTAAGCATTAAACTAGCAGTGTTGCTGTTTCCCCTCCAGAATGAATAATTACTCATAATGAGCTTGGATAATAAGTCTCTAAATAACAGAGTTAACTATAATTAGGCTGAAAATTGAGACAAGGGGAGAGAGAGAAAGAGGAAGGAAGAGGAGAGAGAGAGAGAGATGGAGGGAGGGAGTGACAGAAGAGACAAGAGAGAATTTTCACTATAATTGATTCAAGGACAAATTCAAATTGCTGGCAGGGGAGAAATATTTTTTTTTTTTTTGAGACAGAGTCTTGTTCTGTCACCAGGCTGGAGTGCAGTAACGTGATCTCGGGTCACTGCAACCTCTGACTCCCTGGTTCAAGCGATTCTCCCGCCTCAGCCCCATGAGTACAGGCACACGCCACCACGCCCAGCTAATTTTTTGTATTTTTAGTAGAGACGGGGTTTCACCATGTTGGTGAGGATGGTCTTGATCTCCTGACCTTGTGATCCCCATGTCTAGCCCTCTCAAAGTGTTGGGATTACAGGCATAAGCCACAGCCCCCAGCCAGGGGAGAAATTCTTAAGCCTGTATTGTTATAAACTCACAGATTCATAGACTATGGAAAAGCAGGACCTCAGCTCTCAACTAGTTTAAACACTGTATTTCACAGACGTGGAAACTGAGGCTCAGAGAGGAAAAGAAATTCATCCAAAGTCACACAGCAGAGAGTGAGTGAGTCTCTGAGAGTAGTAATGCGGGTGTGGGCTTCACTCACTGATGGAGCTACAGTTTCTCAGTGTGGGTAAATGGAGTAAGGTGAGCTGGAGAAAAGCACCTATGTCACTGGCATCTTGGCAGGGAGGATTCCTCAGCCAGAAGAGCCGGTGGTTAAGAGCTTTGACTCTGGGCTGGGTGTGGTGGCTCACACCTGTAATCCCAGCACTTTGGGAGGCTGAGACAGGAGGATCGTTTGAGCCCAGGAGTTCGAGAACATAAGGAGACTTCATCTCTACAAAAAAATTAAAACATTAGCTGGGCATGGTGGCACATGCCTGTGGTCCCAGCTACTTGGGGGGCTGTGGTGGGAGGATAGAATGGGCCCGGGAAAGTCACGGCTGCAGTGAGCCATGATTGCACCACTGCATTCCAGCCTGGGCGACAGAGAGAGACCCGGTCTCAAAAAAAAGAGCTCTGGGGCCAGGCACGGTGGCTCACACCTGTAATCCCAGCACTTTGGGAGGGTGAGGCAGGTGGATCACCTGAGGTCAGGAGTTAGAGACCAGCCTGGCCAACACAGTGAAACCCCATCTCTACTAAAAATACAAAAATTAGCCAAGTGTGGTAGCGCGTGCCTGTAATCTCAGCTACTTGGGAGGCTGAGGCAGGAGAATCACTTGAACCCAGGAGGTGGAGGCTGCAGTGAGCCGAGATGTGCCATCACACTCCAGCCTGGATGACAGAACGAGACTCCATCTCAAAAAAAAAAAAAAAAATAGAGCTTTGGTTTTGGAGTCACATTACCAGGATTTGAATCTTTTCTTTATCACCTAGAAGCTGTGTCACCTTGGGGTAAGTTCATCCATTTCTCTGAGCCTCAGTTTCCTCACCTGTAAATGGGAATAACAACTGTACTTACCTAATGGACTTGCTACAAAGTCACTCAATGTTAGTTTCTACCATCACCTCCATCATCACAACCATCACTCTCAGGTCAATGCAATCAAAGGGTTAGGAGTGCCTCTGTCACTAACTTGTGAGTCACTGGACCTCTCTGAGCCTCATCTTGGTCATGTGTAAAATGAATTAGTAAGACCTTCCCTTCCTCGGTCACAGAGGAGTTACAAGGATAAAGGGTAAAAATCCTTGCTTTGGGAGGCCAAGGCGGGCAGACCATTGAGCCAGAAGTTCAAGACCAGCCTGGGCAACATGGCGAAACCCCATCTCTACAAAAAATACAAAAGTTAGCCGGGCGTGGTAGCACATGCCTTTAGTCCCAGCTACTTGGGAGGATGAGGTGGGACAATCACCTGAGCCCGAGGAGGTCGAGGCTGCAGCGGCCATCATTACACCACTGCATTGTTGCCTGGGTGACAGAGTGAAATCCTGTTTCAAAACAAAATTTTTTTTTTATTTATCCATGCTCATGACTCCCAGAAAGTTAGATTGGCTTCATTATTTGCTGCACTGTGCAAGATGCTGGAAAGACTCCCCATTCCACAGACCTGGTTCAGGTGCCCTTTACCACAGGCTCTCCATGACCTTCACCCTGACATTTGGGAGTCATCTTTCCCACTGTGCCAGGGCACCTGCCTCCCTCCTGGCAAGCTCCTTTAGTGAACTTGGGAGCTACTCATAGCATCTTTAAAGATCACCACTAGGGCCGGGCGCAGTGGCTTATGCTTGTAATCCAAGCACTTTGGGAGACTGAGGTGGGCAGATCGCTTGAGCTCAGGAGTTTGAGACCAGCCTGGACAACATGGTGAAACCCTGTCTCTACAAAACATGCAAAAAATTTAGCTGGGCTTGGTGGTGGGCATCTTTAGTCCCAGCTACTTGGGAGGCTGAGGTGGGAGGATGGTTTGAGCCCAGGAGGCAGAGGTTGCAGTGCGCTGAGATCGTGCCACTGCACTCCAGCCTGGGGGACAGAGTCAGACAATGTCTTAAAATAAATAAATAAATAAATAAATAAATAAATAAATAAATAAATAAATGAAAGAAGATCACCATTAGGTGGCACTCTGCCACCTGCCTGTCATTCCTTGGATACCTGATGTGTTTGGGGGGAAGGAGCAGTGAAATCTTGAGTGATTGGGCCTTTGTGTGGCTGTGTGTCACCCAGGGTGACATGGCATGGCGAGATCTTCAGCCTCCACAATCCTCAGTATCGTCATCTAGGCAATGGTGATAATCCAACTAGCTCATGGTGGCGTTGTGAGGACAAAAGAGGAGTAAGGATAAGAGCATGAGGAAAGTGCCAAAGACAGGGCCTGCCACATAGTAAGCGTGTACAAAGGAGCTATTAAGGGCTCTTCTTCTTCTTTTTTTTTTTTTTTTTTTTTTTGAGACGGAGTCTTGCTGTGTTGCCCAGGCTGGAGTGCAGTGGCACAATCTCGGCTCACTGCAAGCTCCGCCTCCCGGGTTCACGCCATTCTGCTGCCTCAGCCTCCAGCTGGGACAACAGGTGCCCGCCACCACGCCCGGCTTTTATTTTATTTTACTTTTTGTATTTTTAGTACAGACAGGGTTTCACCGTGTTAGCCAGGATGGTCTTGATCTCCTGACCTTGTGATCCGTCCGCCTTGGCCTCCCAAAGTGCTGGGATTACAGGCGTGAGCCACTGCGCCCGGCCAGGGCTCTTCTTGAAACGTCTACTGGTGAGAACTGGCACATACAGGGTAGGGCTTCAGAGCAGGGAGCAGTGTCCAAGCCTGGCTGTGCACGAGCCTCTCCTGGGAAACCTCCCATCTCAGACCTGCTGGACCTGACTCTAGGTAAGAAGACCATGGACTGCCACTGGGATGTGCTCCCCTGCCAGGTATGACCTGGGAGACCATTCCAGTCCCACCCTCTCATTTACAGATGGAGAAACTGAGCTCTAGAAAAGGGAAATGACCTGCCTAAGTCCACACAGTTGGGAGCAGCAGAAGGCCTGACTTCCCAGATGTCCTGCCTGTGTGTCTCTGATAAGGGCAGGGGCCTAGAACCAGCCAGAGCTGGCCCAGCAGAAGCCTGGCCACTTGAATTCTTCCTTTGAAGTGGGAGCTGGGTTGGGGGGAGGTGCAGCTGTCTCACCTGAGCCCTAAAGAAGAGGGGGTCCACTTATTTCCAGTGTTCCTTGTGGAACTCACTGCTGAATGATAATACCACGTGTTCCAGGCTTCCTTACCATACACCTGAACCACAGACTAGGTTGGCAGCCTTCCCCTTAAAATGAGGAGACAGAGGTTCAGAATGGAGTGATGGCTATCGTCAAGACCAGACACACTCAGACCTCTCACCTCTCAGGCTCTGCATTCTTGTCTAGATTGCACTTCTTCTTTTTTTTTTTTTTTTTAGACAGAGTTTCACTCTTATTACCCAGGCTGGAGTGCAGTGGCGCCATCTCCACTCACTGCAACCTCTGCCTCCCTGGTTCAAGTGATTATCCTGCCTCAGCCTCCCAAGTAGCTGGGATTACAGGTGCCTGCCACCATGCCTGGCTAATTTTTTGTATTTTTAGTAGAGAGAGGGTTTCATGTTGGCCAGGCTGGTCTCGCACTCCTGATCTCAGGTGATCCACCTGCCTCGGCCTCCCAAAGTGCTGGGATTACAGGCGTGAGCCACTGCACCCAGCCTAGATTCCACTCTAACTTAAAATGTTTTATTGGCTTCCTATTTGTTAAAATGTTTTAAATTTAATTTAAAAAATTTTTTAAAAAAATAATTTCCTAGAAAGCACAGATTCCCAGTTTCTCTGGAAACATGGAGCTTACATCTCTGAAAGATAATACCAGGTAGGGGCTGGGTGCGGTGGCTCACGCCTGTAATCCCAGCACTTTGGGAAGCCGAGGCAGGTGGATCACGAGGTCAGGAGATTGAGACCATCCTGGCTAACAAGGTGAAACCCTGTCACTACTAAAATTACAAAAAAATTAGCAGGGCGTGGCAGCGTGCGCCTGTAGTCCCAGCTGCTGGGGAGCCGAAGGCAGGAGAATGGCGTGAACCCAGGAGGCGGAGCTTGCAGTGAGCCGAGATTGCGCCGCTGCATTCCAGCCTGGGTGACAGAGCAAGACTCCGTCTCAAAAAAAAACAAAAGAAAAAAAAAAAAGAAAGATAATACCAGGTAGGAGCTGAGTAGACATCATATCCTTTAGGGAAACACTGGCTTTATAGCTCAACACAGTCCCCACCACCTCGCACTGTCAGTCATCCAGCTGTATTTGCACACTTACGGTACCTACCTGGCCCTGGCGGGCATTTGGACCTGAGACACCTACCAAATGCTTTGGTGTCTTCTTCTGAAATTCGGTTCACAAGGGTTTACTCTGAGGAACAGATCCTGGTTCATGAGAGCTGCTAAGATTCTCTTCCAGGCACCTGGTGCCAGGGATTGCCTCAGAAATACAAGGATGCTGGTTGCTGGCAAGGAGGAGGGCAGCTCTTTGGGCTGCTTGACAAGCTGGATGGTGCCTGGAACTGGTCTGAGCCAGCACTGAGGCAGGTCCCCTCCTGGGGGAAGCTCTGGGGAGGCCCCAAGCCTGGTCCCAGGTCTTCACCTTCACAGATGGGGCTGGGAGCTCAGGGAGCCCCTCCCAGATCTAAGCATGTTAGAAGCAGACAGATGGAGCCGCAAATCTTGTTAGCCGGTGGCAGATGTGCAAGGAGCTACGGTTCTGTGTCTGCTGGTGAGCATGCTCTGAGAACCCCGGCCATGAATCAGGAGTGTGAACGCCAGGCAACTCTTTGCTTTTATGAACCCACGTCCATTGTTCTGTCCTAGTGGGGTGTTCCCTACCAGGTGAGTGGATGGCCAGCTGGGCCAGCCACGGAGACTTTACCTCTTGCACTCCGAAGCCACTGGGTCAGGAGCACAGGATGCTGGGGCGTGGGGTTGAACTGTGGCTCCTTCACTGCCGCTGCTGTCCTTAGGCAAATAACCTCTCTGTGCCCTTATTTTCTGATCTGTAAAACACAGCTAATAATACTTCCTATTTTGTAGGGTTACTAGGATGGCTGTAGGAAATAATATGAGCAAATGCCTGAAATACAACAGTAAGTACTTAATAAATGTTAGCTGTGATGACTACTGCCACCACCACCAGGAGCTATTATTATATGGGGTGGTGGGAGGGGAGGTAGTTTAGGCACAGCCATCAAATCAGGTAAACAAATTAATTCGGTCATTTCAGATGGTTTGAATACCATGAAGAAAATCAACAGCTAATGAGAGAATGACTAGGGTTGTTACAGAGGCCTGTTCGGGAGGTAGCACGTGAGCTGAGACCTACAGCAGGGTTTCTTAGCCTCAACACTATTGCCATTTGGAGCTGGACAGTTTTTTGCCATGAGGGGCTCTCTTGTGCAGTGTAGGATGGTTAGCAACATCCTGGACCTCTACTCCCTATATGCTGGTAGTAACCCCCCTCAGTTACAACCAAATGGGTGTCCAGACATTGCCAAATGTCCCCTGGGGGTCAAAATGACCCCTGTTGAGAATCACTGATATAAAGGGTGAGCAGCAGGCCAGGCACTGTGGCTCACGCCCGTAATCCTAGCACTTTGAAAGGCCAAGGCAGGCGGATCGCCTGAGGTCAGGAGTGTGAGACCAGCCAGGCCTACATGGTGAAACCTCGTCTCTACTAAAAATACAAAAATTAGTCTGGCATGGTGGCGCTTGCCTGTAATCTCAGCTACCGGAGAGGGTGAGGCAGGATAATTACTTGAACCCAGGAGGTGGAGGCTGCTGTGAGCTAAGATGGTGCCACTGCATTCCAGCCTGGGTGACAGAGCAACTGTGTCTCAGAAAAAATAATAATAATAATAATAAGGGTGAGGAGCCAGTCCCACAAGGACTAAGGGGAAGAGCAGAAACAGCTTTGGAGAGATGGGCTTTGAACCTGGAGGGCAGAAGGAACTGGAACCCTGACTCTAAGCCAAATCCAGGCATTTAGTCTGCAGTGTTAGTTTGGAAAGAAGCAGATTCTTCTTGGAAAAGAAGTCTGGGTGTCCTAGCCCTTCACTCAGCTAAGCCAGAGAAATGCTGCATAGAACAAAGAAAGAAATACTAAGTATAGAACAAAGTTGAGGTCTAGGACTCAAATGGTTGACATTCAGACAGGGATGCTACTTCCTTACTCTCATTTGAGTTTGGGAACCAGTTCCTGCACAGTTAATCCTTCAATGTTTCTTCAAAGAAATCACACAGGCAGTCTCTGGGTACCTTTGTGCACGTAAAGATGGGAGAGCAGGTGCCTAAGTCGGTGCTGTTTGTGTGTCTGGGTAACATCTGTTGGTCACCCACTGCAGAAGCAGTTTTCAGATCAAAACATTTCAAAGTCCTGCGTGCAGTGGCTCATGCCTGTAATCCTAGTACTTTCGGAGGCCAAGGCGGGCAGATCACCTGAGGTTAGGAGTTTGAGATCAGCCTGACCAATATGATGAAACCCCGTCTCTACTAAAAATACAAAAATTAGCTGGGCATGGTGGCATATACCCGTAATCCAGCTAAGCGGGAGGCTGAGGCAGGAGAATCGGTTGAACCCGGGAGGCGGAGGTTGCACTGAGTCAGGATTGCGCCACTGCACTCCAGCCTGGGCGACAGAGCGAGACTCTGGCTCAAAAAAAAAAAAAAAAACATTTCAGAGAATTGGAGGGTAGACAGTGTGGTGACGTCTGGGTACGAGATAGGGAATCCCCTGACTACCGAGGGCACAGCTGCATGAAGAGACACAACATTCCCATGAGCCACGTTGCCCAGCAGAGATAGGAATAGAAAAAGCAATCAAGTTAAAAACTGCAAAGCTAAAATTGAACTACTTG
Organism: Homo sapiens; assembly: GCF_000001405.40. Classification (NCBI taxonomy): domain Eukaryota; kingdom Metazoa; phylum Chordata; class Mammalia; order Primates; family Hominidae; genus Homo; species Homo sapiens. The sequence continues at coordinate 160,248,100 of NC_000005.10, forward strand.
GGAGCTGTGATCACAAAACCAACTTATTAATGCAGATCCCTATTATGGAAATGGCTGCCTTTTGAGACGGTGTACCAGCAGTGTGTCAGGTGCTGCAGAACGTTCTTGGAGGAAGCCCACCGAGGCTGCTCTGTACCCTGCTGCGGCCAACCTGACTTGACCCCAGCCTTCGGCTCTGCATCTCTCAGTGGGCAAGCTAACCCAGCTCTTTCTTCACTGACTTACTGTTTCTTACCTTAAAAAATAATTGCAGATGGAAATCAGTTGTGTTTGGCAGAAGAATAAAAATAATTGATTCAGACAGTTTCTGGGGTATATTAAGTGTTCTTAGATTAGCTGAACCTCTCACTTTGCCCCAATTACAAAAATAGTGGAACAAACGACATAAAACAATAAAATAAAACACAGTGGAGTAAAACCTCCCTTGAAGGCCCAGGTCAACACCTAACCCACTAAGACTTAATCGGGTCTGCCTCTTCGGTGGGTTTGATGATGGCTGGATGGAGGACAGGCGCCCTCTGCTCCCTGCACTACCTCCATCTTTTTGCCCTAGGGCTTTTTATAGAGTGACAATAGCCCCGCCCATAGGAGCTCACAGTCCAGAATCGTCTTAATTCACACACACCCACAGTGCACACTTGTATATTTAAAAGATAGGGAAGAGGCTGGGCGGGTGGCTTATGCCTGTAATCCCAGCACTTTGGGAGGCCGAGGCGGGTGGATCACTTGAGGCCAGGAGTTTGAGACCAGCCTGGCCAACATGGTGAAACCCTGTCTCTGCTAAAAATACAAAAATTGGCCGGGCATGGTGGCGCGCACCAGTACTCCCAGCTACCTGAGAAGTTGAGGCAGGAGAATTGCCTGAACCTGGGAAGCAGAGGTTGCAGTGAGCCGAGATCGGACCACTGTACTCCAGCCTGGGCGACAGAGTGAGACCCTGTCTCAAAATTAAAAAGAAAAAGGAAGAAATAAAAGATCTGGAATCAGTCTTTAGCAACTTTAATACTTCTTGATTTTTTGCCTAGTGTATTTCATGAGGAGGTCAGCTCATTTGCTCCCATTTGAACCATGCTGCCTCTGAAACTTAATTACATCCAGAAAGGACACTTGCATGCTAGTTTATCTATGGTCAGTTGTGGAATAGGTCTGTTTCTATATGCACATGTAACCCAAATGTCAAATATAAATTGGGTTAGGTGGGAAAAATAATTTTAAAAGGTGGAAAAAGTTCTATTATGTTGACATGCTTAAATATTGGTATATTGAGTATTCTTTCATCAGCATCTCATATTTACTGGCAAATACAGGTAATTTCTGTGTACTTTGAGATAATTCTGTTAAATTCATATAGACGTCAGAAAATACTTTTCAAAACAAGCTGGACCAGGCGTAGTGGCTTATACCTGTAATCTCAGCACTTTGGGAGGCCGAGGCAGTCAGATTGCTTGAGCTCAGGAGTCTGAGACCAGCCTGGACAACATGGTGAAACCTCATCTCTACAAAAAATACCAAAATTAGCTGGGTATGGTGACAGGTGCCTGTAGTCCCAGCTACTCAGGAGGCTGAGGTGGGAGGATCACTTGAGCCCAGAAGGTTGAAGCTGCAGTGAGCCGTGACTGTGCCACTGCACTCTAGCCTGGGCCACAGAGTGAGACCCTGTTTCAAAAAATAAATAAATAAATAAATAAATAAATAAATAAATAAATAAAATAAAAATTTAAAAAATCAAACTAAACTGGGGAGTTATAAAAATACAACTGAAATATAAAAAACAAACAAAGAAATCATATGCCTGAATGACCAAGAAGCTGGCTAAAGTGCAGATTCCAGGTCCCCACCCCTCCTAGAGAAGGCTCCAGGTCATTCTGCAGCTTGCTCAGGCTTGAAAACCTCTGAATTTAACCTGATGCCAGCCCTGGGAGGAACTTTAAGACTATCTTTGTGCTTTTTAAAGCTTTCATAGCTGTCCTCCAGCATGGGAATTAACACAATCTTACATGGGAGTGCCCAAGGGTGGAAGAAATACAAGTGGATCCCTCTGGCTGAAGGCCACAGAGGTCACAGCCTCTGTGGCACAGTCTCCCCCCGCCCCAAGAGCTTAGAACCATCCACCAACTTGACCATCTCCATAGTAACAGATGGAGAAATGGAAGCCCAAAGAGGGAGGGATTTGTCCAAAGTGAGGTGGGTGCTCTTGGTCAACCCAAGACTTGCCTTGTCTCTGAATCCCCAAAACTTAGAGCTTCCTGCCTCACCTAGCCTTGCACACAGCGGGTGGTGAGCACTGCCCTCAGCCCCGCCCTTGGCGGTGTCAAACACACTCCTGGGTCTGGGCTGCAGCCTCAGGCCCTGAGCTCATCTTCCCATTCCTCCCCTAATTGTCTAATCAAAGGCATCTGCACTTAGCAAATGTCTCAGCCCCACAGTGACACCGGCTCTCTGGGGTGGTTCTCCTGCTGGAAGCTGGGTAGGTAGAGGGCAAGACAGAAGTCTTGAGTGAGACTCCCTTCAAGGAGGAGTACGAATCTGACATTTTTCATAACAGCTGATGCTATATCTCATCAATTCTACATATACATATTTTGACATGTAACGCTTCTGAAATCAGAATGCAACATATAATCAATGGTATCTTGCAAACTGCCTCATGATTTAGTTTTCTAAAAAGTCTTATTAGTGCATAAAATAATAGTGCATCTTACAAAAAGCTGATCTTATGCTTGAAGAAATATAATAATTATCTCCTTTTTTGGAGGTACTGGCCTTGATGTACATTATGTTATTTAATCCTCTTAAGAACCCTATGAGGCAAGGTGTTATCACTCCCATTTTAACAGGTGACAAGATGGAGGCTCAGAGAGAGGTTGGGTCAACTGCCTTCCAACAGCTGGTAAGTGGTGTGATCATTAAGTTTATGTGGCAGCTTGGCTAGGCTACAGTGCCTGTTGTGTGGCTAGGTACTAGTCTAGATGTTGCTGTCAAGGTATTTTTAGATGTGATTAACATTTACAATCAGTTGACTTTAAGAAAAGCCTCCATAATGTGGGTGGGCCTCATCCAACTGGTAAAAGGTCGTAAGAGCAAAGATTGAGGTTTCCTGGAGAATAAATTTTGCCTCACGACTGCTAACACAGAAATCATGCCTGAGTTTCCAGCCTGTGGGCCTGCCCTACAGATTTTGAACTCTACTGCAACATCAGCTCTTACCTGAATTTCCAGCCTGCTGACATGCCCCACAAATTTTAGACCACAGCCTCTGCAATCACATGAGCCAATTCCTTAAAATAAATCTCTCTCCATATATATCCTACTGGTTTCTTTGGAAAAACCCTGAGACGGTGATGGAGCTGGGGTGTCAAGCCTTATACACCCCTCCGCTGGCCTCTGTGTGCCCAGGGAGGCCCAGCTCCTACTCAGAGGGCAGGACTCAGCTCCCGAGGTCTTGCTGCTGCCCCCAATATTCCACCCTCTACCATAGGGAGATGCTCACCAGGGCTGATTTGAGAGAGGGAAGGAGGGGCCGGCCCAAGAGGGGATGCCTAGGACAAGAGGTGAGAGATCAAGAGCAGGTGACGTGTTTATTGTGGGACGCCTCTTTCTGGGGGTCGTGCTGGCTGTGAGGGAACCCTCACAATCCCCAGGTCCCAGAACAGACAGATACAAGAACTTGAATCCAAACTGCTTGCACATAAATAGAACGGAGGTTGGCAAAGGAAAAAAAAACAACAACAAATGAACGTGCAGCCTCCTATGCTAGTGTGACACGGTGGCAGAGTCTTATCCACACCCCGTCTCTTTTCTTACTGTCTCCATGCTGAGATTTTCAGCTGCTCTGGAAAGATTCACCACCTTCCGATCTGACTCAGCAGCAGACAGCTGCCTTCCTGGCGGCCCCTGCCACAGTCTCCAGGACTGGCAAGGGGCTAAGGAATCCAAGACAGGTATTCCTCAAACAAAACAAAAATTGCTTCCACGGTCCTTTGCACCTCCCAGTTCTGCTGGGTGAACAATGTGTCCCCCAACCCCAAACTAAACCAAAGAACATGCTGAGCACAAGCTGCGAGTCAGAATAAAAACATATTGCACATGGTTACAAGAGTCTTCCTGAGGGCCCTCTCGCTGCAGATCCCTAAATACTGGCTTTTGATCCAACCAGTCGCTTGCCTATCAATGGTGGTATCAAACGCCCATGTACATCCCACTCCCCAAATACAGGTGGGACTAAGCAAATTTTCCACATTGCTATCCTTCGCTATCAGCCACACTCAAAGCCTAGACTGGGTTAAACTCATGCCCTGTAAGTATGTGGTGGAGAGAGGTGGGAACTGTTTAAATCTTTGTCTTCCTTTCAACGAGCTTCTCCCTCCCTGGGTAGTTATTAAAGTTCTAGTGGTGAACACAGCCTCCAAGACGTGGAATCTTCCGGAACCGAGAGCTGGGAAAATGGTTCTCTCCAACCATATGCCTTCAAAAAGGAAGCTCTGTGGTTACCTGCGGGTCCATCACAAGTTGGGTTCAAACTTGGGTTCCAAATTAACAGCCCTCATGTGGGACAGGCAGTGTGGCAATTAAATTTGTTTTTTTCTCCAAAGGAATTTTCAAGTATCACCAAATCCCTGATACAGTGTGTAAACAAGACATCTTACGAAACAGAAAGCAAGACCACTTCGGGAAGCAGCAGCACATGACATATCTAAAAGGCTGAAAATGGTTTTAGGTTCGAAAACAAAGGCAAGACAGCCACCCACTGTGCCTCGCAAGGCAAACACTCAGGCATACACACCAACTCAGGCCCCTCTGCATAGAGCCAGGGAAAGAAAAGCACCCAATATGGGATCCTCCGGGGGTCCTGAGAACACGCCAGGCTGCCCCTCCTTTTTCAGCGGTGTAGCTGCCATCAGCAAAGAATAGAAAAGTCTTTAATGCTAAAAACTGGACATGCTTGAGATCAGTGGTCTGTGTCCAGTTCCCACTCTCCTGGCCTCTTATCAAGTCTTTCTCGATTCACTGGGCCCCTGTGTGGGGGGACGGCCACCAAGCCATCCTTTTGTACCCTAGCCACACGTGGCAGACGTTTCTCAGAGGAATGCTCTCGGGTGAGGTATGTTATTGAATGTTTTGCTCTGGGTCAGTTTTATTTAAAAGGAGCACAGACCCTCCACGTTCCAAGGCTCTTCAGGGATGGCCTCCTGCTGCCTCACTTGGCTGAGCTCTCCTCTTCAGTGTCCTCTTCCTCTGCCCACATCTCCAAGGCTTCCTCGTGAGGTCTGGAGGTGGCCTATCTGTCAAAGCAGCCGGTGGGGAACATGTGGCTCCCACTGAAGTAGCTGCTTCCATAGGTGGTGGCGAGGCAGTGCCTGGGCTCAGCTGCAATGGCCATATGCATGCTAAGGGATGCAGGGACGGGCACGGGACACATATCCAAGGGCTGCAGCGGTTGGTACGGGGTGTGGAGGGATGAGCCTGTACTCCCCGAGAGCAGGCTCCCTGAACGGTGGGCCTGCAAGGAGTCCCGATAGGCCAAGCATAGGTCCTGCACGGGGGTCTGGAACTGTGCCAGGGTGGTCGCTGGCTGGCCGAGGGCCGGGTAGGCTGGTGGCTGGAACAGCACTTGAGTGGGGGTGGGGGGTGTGCCGGGCACCATTGCCAAGGCCTGGCTCTTGACGGCTACGGCATCCTTGAGGACGTTGTCATACACTCTGAAACGAGAAGACCTGGGTGAGAACTGGAGGCCAAAAGCCACCAGATGCCTGTGTGTGTCTCTACCTGTCTTGCTAAGTGGGACTGGAAGAGATGCGTGTGTCCTGTGTCCACCAGGCCTTACCTGGCTGTGCTCACTGTGTGTGGCACCGCTCCAGCTGTTCACAAACTAGATTCAGGCCTTGGCTCTCAGCTTGGATCTGCTTCCTACAGAAAATTTCTTCTGGCCCCTCCAGACTAGGCTGGCTGTCCCCACAGCCCCATGCTGCCCTATCTCCACAGTCAATACCCCAGAGAGTAACCTGCTCCAGAGGGTAACTTCTAGTTACCTGGCTTCCAGGAGGATGGCGCCTGCTTGTGCTCACCAATGCCTTCCCATCCCCTGGCACTGGAGTGTTCCTGGGGCCTGAATGAGCCCAATCTCTGCTTTCCAGGCAATTCTGGGCCAGCTCCATCCCCAGCGGGGTCACTCCTTAGCTAGCTGATATCAACCAAATTGACCGCTGGGGCCTAGGATTTTTCATCTGAAAAGGGGGCTGGAACAGAGATTTTTGCCATCTCAAAAAAAGCTTCCCATATAGCTTTTTGGGAAAACAAAACAATTAGAGGCTTATGTAAGGCATGCACCGACACTCAGACCAGGCTTTGGGGACCTTCTCAAAAACACAAATTTTAAAATAAGGCCTACGGAGTAGGACTGACTTTTCAGAGGAATGAGATAAAGACAGCTGCCAGCAAAGCTTCCCACATCGGGGAGGGCTCTCTTCAGGGGTCTAAGGGCTTCCGCTTTGCCCACACAGCCCACCAGTCAGTCAGGCCAGCACCCAGGATACGCAGTGCCTGGCAGGTGGAAGGGGAACTGGACAGTGTGTGCCTACTGGGAATGGCTCTGTCCTGTTTGCCTTGCTCCCTGCAGTAACTATGGGGCACATTTACCTCCAGTGTCAGTTTCAGGGTGTTGGGCTCATGATGCCTTTAAGTATCTTCTCTGACACACTGAACATTTCCTCCCCAAGATTCCCAGGGACCCTTGCAGAGGCTGTGGCGCTTAGGGGAGCTTACTGGCTAAGAGGTCAGCTTTGTGACCATGTCTGAGAAAAGTAGCTTATAATGGAAGTCCTTCAATGCGATTATCTATAAGATTACACTGGGACTTAGATCAAATAGCCTAGACATTTAAAGGTGCAAACAGCCCGCTTCTCCCTTGCTGCCTGACTTTAAAGATGTAAACCCGGTCGGGCGCAGTGGCTCACACCTGTAATCCCAGCACTTTGGGAAGCTGAGGTGGGTGGATCATGAGGTCAGGAGTTCAAGACCAGCCTGACCAACATGGTGAAACCCCGTCTCTACTAAAAATACAAAAATTAGCCAAGCGTGGTGGCGCGCACCTGTAATCTCAGCTACTTAGGAGGCTGAGGCAGGAGAATCGCTTGAACCCGGGAGGCGGAGGTTGCAGTGAGCCGAGATCGTGCCATTGCACTCCAGCCTGGGTGACAGAGCGAGACTCTGTCTCAAAAAAAAAATAAAATAAAATAAAAAGCAAACCTGAAGCTATTCAAAATAGGAAGAACTGGTTCTCGAAACCCCACTTCTACCAGGAGTCACCATGGCCCACTTTCCCTGAGACCCTGTAGCTGGAAGAACCACCACAAGTTCCAGACTCTGGAAACTGCCCGTGGCCTGAGGCAGGCCTCAAGGCAAGAGGAACCTCACTATTTCAGAAACACAGGATTCAGGGGAGAAACTTACACCAGCAGGATTTCAATACACGTGCTGAGGTGCTCCAGGGAATAGCTTGAGATCCTCTGCAGGTCTCTGGTCCAGTAGGGAGAAAGCTGCAGGCAAATCCTGGAGGCCCCAACACAGGCCGCAGCGACCACAGAAGGCTGGAATTTGTAGAATATGTGATCTGAAAGAAAGCCACGGAGGGAGTCAGCATCCAAATCCTCCCCTTGGAATCCCAGGCCCACCCTGAGAATGGATGGACAAATGAATCGCTTTCAAGGCTTTTCATCGCTGCCCTACAAATAGGATGGAAAATTAGAAACTGTGAAGTTCCATTTTTGAATCTTAACCTTGGCTCTTGGTCTGGGATTTATTTTTTGTTGAGACAGGGTCTCGCTCTGTTGCCCAGGCTGGAGTGCAGTGGTGAGATCACAGCTCACTGCAGCCTCAACTTCCCAGGCCCAAGAGATCCTACTACCTCAGCCTTTTGAGTAGCTGGGACTACAGGCATGTACAAACACATCTGGCTAATTTTCGTATTTTTTTGAGAGATAGGGTTTCAGCATGTAATTCAGGCTGGTATCGAACTCCTGAGCTCAAGCAATCCTCCTGCCTCAGCCTCCCAAAGTGCTGGGATTACAGGTGTGAGCCACCACGCTCAGACCAGTCTGAGATTTCTGATAGCAGCCTAGAACAGTGTTTTCAAAATACTGTCCACGGCTCCCAGGGAGCAGCAAGGAGCTTGCTGATGTTCTACAAATAGAACTGCAAAACATTTGTCCTTTCTTTGGTTATTATAAGAGAATGACACACTATTTCAAAGGCTTCCGTTTTGGGGTATGACTTAAAGCTACTTATTAATTGTAACAATGCCTGGCCCATAGTAGGCACTCAGTGAAAATCTACTGAATGAGTGGTTGTAAGACTTTGATATTTATAACTAAAATTGGCACTTAGGTTGACTGAGGAATCTTAATGTCCAACTAAGATATCTGGCCACGAGGAAAAGCTGGTGCTAAATATGTGCAAACAGTTGAAATTTCTGCAGTTTTCCTGAATGACACTGGATTTTCAGTTTATTACTCTGTTGTCTTAAATTGTTCATGATTTTTGCTGGGCGCAGTGGCTCACATCTGTAATCCCAGCACTTTGGGAGGCCAAGGCAGGTGGATCACGAGGTCAGGAGTTCGAGACCAGCCTGGCCAACATGGTGAAACCCCCATCTCTACTAAAGATACAAAAAATTAGCCACGCGTGGTGGTGGGCGCCTGTAATCCCAGCTACTTGGGAGGCTGAGGCAGGAGAATCGCTTGAACCCGGGAGGTGGAGGTTGCAGTGAGCTGAGATCGAGCCATTGCACTCCAGCCTGGGCGACAGGGCAAGACTTCATCTCAAAAAAAAAAAAATTTTTTTTCATGATTTTCAATTACTTCCACTTTTGCCTTTTAAAGATCAGTTCATAGGGCAGCTAAACAACAACAACAAATTTAAAAAATAAAGTATCAGTCAGGGTGCTAACAGGGTGATACAAACGATCATTCAGTCAGACTCCCAAGGTTCAAATCCTAGCAATGAGCAGGGCATGGTAGCTCTCACTTGTAATCCCAGGAGTTTGAGACGAGCCTGAGCAACATGGCGAGACCCCATCTCTAAAAAAATTTAAAAAATTGGCCGGGTGCAGTGGTTCACGCCTGTAATCCCAGCACTTTGGGAGGCCGAGAGGGGCAGATCACGAGGTCAGGAGATCGAGACCATCCTGGCTGACACGGTGAAACCCCAACTCTACTAAAAATACAAAAAATTAGCCAGGCGTGGTGGCGGGCGCCTGTAATCCCAGCTACTCGGGAGGCTGAGGCAGGAGAATCGCTTGAACCTGGGAGGCGGAGCTTGCAGTGAGCCAAGATCGTGCCACTACACTCCAGCCTGGGTGACAGAGCAAGCCTCCGTCTCAAAAAATAAAAATAAAAAATAAAATAAAATCCTAGCAATAACCTTGGGTAAGTTACAGCTGGGTGTGGTGGCTCACGCCTGTAATCCCAGCTCTCAGGGAGGTAGAGGTGGGAGGATAGCTTGAGCCCAGGAGTTCGAGACCTACCTGGGCAATATAGCGAGACCCCGTTCTCCACAAAAAGGAAAAAAAAAAATAAGCGCAACCTTGGGTAAGTTACAGCATCATTTTCCTCTTTTGTAAAATATGATTAATGGAGGTGATTTTGGTGTGGGGTTGCTGTGAGGTTCAAATGAGATAATGTATGCAAAGCACTGAAGCAAGACACTTGGCATGCAGTAAATGCTCAGTTAATGCTTGGGATCACAATCACTGATTTTTTTTTTTTTTTTAGATGGAGTCTTGTTCTTGTTGCCCAAGCTGGAGTTCAATGGCACGATCTCGGCTCACTGCAACCTCTGCCTCCTGGGTTCAAGCAATTCTCCTGCCTCAGCCTCCCAAGTAGCTGAGACTATAGGCGCCCACCACCACACCTGGCTAATTTTTGTATTTTAGTAGAGATGGGGTTTCACTATGTTGGCCAGGCTGGTCTTGAACTCCTGACCTCAGGTGATCTGCCCACCTCAGCCTCCCAAAGTGCTGGAATTATAAGCATAAGCCACCGCGCCCAGTCCAATCATTGATCTGGATACTCATGCCCATTTTAGTTTGTGGTAGGTTATGGGATGGTTGTATCAACAGTATTTTTTTTTTTTTTAAGACCGAGTCTCGCTGGTCAAAATGGCTGGCAAGAAGGCTGTTGCAGCATCAGGCAAGTGGCTGGATGGTATTCGAAAATGGTATTACAACGCCACAGGATTCAATAAACTGGGGTTAATGAAAGATGATACAATATATGAGAATGAAGATGTGAAAGAAGCCATAAGAAGGCTTCCTGAGAACCTTTATAATGACAGGATGTTTCACATGAAGAGGGCACTGGACCTGTCCATGAAGCATCAGATCTTGCCTAAAGAGCAGTGGACCAAATATGAAGAGGAAAATTTCTACCTTGAACCGTATCTGAAAGAGGTTATTCGGGAAAGAAAAGAAAGAGCAGAATGGGCAAAGAGGTAATCATGTAGTTGAAGTCTGTGGATGCAGCTGTTACGAAGATGGTTAAACCTGAAACAATCTTAAGAATTATTTGGTCTGCAGCTGTTTTACTTTAAATAAATATCTATTGTAAAAAACAAACAAAAAAAAGACAGAGTCTCGCTCTGTTGCCAGGCTGGAGTGCAGTGGCGCAATCTCCGCTCACTGCAATCTCCGCCACCTGAGTTCAAGCAATTCCCCTGCCTCAGCCTCCCAAATAGCTGGGACTACAGGCATGCACCACCACACCCGGTTAATATTTTGTATTTTAGTAGAGACAGGGTTTCCCCATGTTGGCCAGGATGGTCCCGATCTCCTGACCTCGTGATCTGTCCGCCTTGGCCTCCCATTACAGGTGTGAGCTACCGCGCCCGCCCCTATCAGCAGTATTTTTGACCCAGTTAACATCTAGATTTTAAAACACTGGGAAGACTGAGTTTCAAGTTTCAAGTAAGTTTCAAGTAACAGGGTAACTTTTATTGCTAAAACAGATGTAAACATAATTCCCTCTCCCCATACTATCTGTATGATGGCCGCTATTTGAGAATAACCGATCTGCAAATCTGTGCTATTTAATTCATTTGCAATGTTTCAGGTTACTGTAAGAAAAATTACCAGTTGATCTGTAAGTTTCTAGGTTTCTGGCTGCCTGCATATAAGTTGCTATTTCTCTTTTACATGTTACTGGGCGAATCCTTGCCCTTTCTTTGCTTACTGCCTGCAAAGTTAAGAGTGATCTGGGTGCACAGGCCCCAGTGAGAAGGCCTGATCTGGATGGACATGCCTTTTAGAGCCGCCTGACCCCGACCCCTGGGTGGTGGGGAAGGGGTGGGAGGTCCTGCCATCGGGTCCCAGCTGTCACCTTGCAGGGTGACCTCTAGGAAGTAATGGGCATACTCCTTGAGGCACTCTTTGGTCTTGCGGGGGCAGGTGGTGGGCCAGGTGTGGCAGTGGTGGTCCTTCTGGCTGACGGAGGCCAAGAGGTAGTAGTCCAGGAAGTGGGCAGGCGTGGGCAGGCAGAGGTTCCAGCTGAAGGCCTCCAGGAGCAGCAGCTCTGTGCTCAGCAGCTCCTTCTTGGTGAGGGTGAAGTTCTGGCTGCTCAGGATCCTCGTGCTGTTTATTTGCTCCAACTTGGGGACGTGGTCTTCCCGATCCTCGAACTTACCTGTCGGGGAGCAGGGGAAGCAGGGGTTACTGGAAGACATTTACCTGAACCCAGGAAGCTAACGGCCCACCTTACAGTGCCTGGACATTGCTGGCAAAGAAGACAGAAAGCAGACAGGCCAGACTGCGGAGGAATAGGAGCACACATTCCAGATCTGTCAAACCTAGGCTTGAATCCACAAGCCATCACTTCCCACTGGGGGATCATGGCTAGGTGTCTCAACCTCTCTGTGACTCAGTTTCCTCATCTGTAAGATGGAACCTATACTTCATAAGGCTTTTGTTAGAGTCAATGGGAAAATGCAAACCAAATGCTCAGACAAGCCTCTGGAACACAAAGCAGCCGATAGCGGTCAGCAGCAGCAGCCAGGGGCTGGGGAATAAGGTGCCCTCCCTACTCTCCATCTGGCCCTAACCAATCCAACCTCCTGGCTAGAGTCAGCATGGCCACGCAAACCTGGCCCTGTCCCTCCACGTGTAGAAAAGCTCTTCAATGGCTTCCCGCTATCCTGGCTATTGAGTTCAAACTGTGTAAACGGGGTCTTAGTGTGGGTTCCCTCTGGTTTCCAGGTCTTGGAAGGTAAGCCCAGGAAAGATCGGTAGGTGGGGGACGAGAACAGGAAAGGGAAGAAAGCCCAAAAGGACACAAGCGAGTCACCACTGTGGACAACCCGAGCTTAATCCTACTGAGGAATTCTGAGAAACAGCCTAAGACAGGCCTCAGGTTATCCTACCCACGGGTTAAAGAGCAGAGGCATTTACATAGCAACCCCGGCAGTCATCAGTTGTGGATGCTCTCAGGGAACAATGGGAGGTCCTTGTGCCCTGAGGGTCAAGACTCAGGGGCTGGTGGGGGGGCATGACAGCTTCCACTGCGTGAGGCTCTGCAGACTGTGGGCCTCTCCAGCCTCAATGTTCCTCACTCTGGGAAAACCACCCCACAGGTGGCCGTGGACCCTGTCCTTGGCAGTTCTTGCCTATAAGCCTTCATTGACACAGCCCCCTGGGCCTGGAGCACCCTTCCCCATCCCCTCCTCACTCAGCCAACCCTGACCTGTCCTTCACCTGGAGTCCCTGCCTCTCAGAAGACGCCCTCCACACCAGCCCCCTGTACTGTACGACTCCCACATCAGGTGGTGAGGCCTTCAAGGGCCTGGCCTCGGTCTGTTCACCCATGACCCCAAGGCCAGCCTCATGGGGTGTGGAGCTGCCACTAAGTAAATGCCAAAAGAGGCATTGGGGCGGCCCAGCTGACCTCAAAGCACACATCAGTGCTCACGAAGGGAAGGGCAAACAACACATGCACGCACCTGCTCCCAGCTGCAAGTGCCTCTGACCCAGTTCCCATCTCTCATGCTGCTTAGGGGAGATAAGGAAGTAACCACCACAGGCTGCTCCACAGTAGATACAACACATTCCTGAGGACGGCTCAAAAGACGTCACTGCAGAATGAATCAACCACGTCTCAGCAAGCCAGGGTTGCTCCCTTCTCGGCAAGCCTTGCAGCAGCCCACTCGGTGGGTAACGACGACCTGACACAGAGCTCTGGTCTTTGATGCAGAGGAGTCTAGTGATTGGAAATGTACAAGACAGTGAAGGGCAGAGGCACTACCAGCCCCGCACCATGCAGTTTACAGCAAGCACACATTCCATCCCTTTCCGGAGCCCAGTCACTCAGCCTGCAATGGTGCTGTGTCCGAAGTACACACTTTCTTGTCTTGCACACAAGAACAACTCAGGCAGGCCAACGCGAGGTCAAAGCTGCCCAGAGAGGAAGAGCCTCCTGCATGGCTGGAAATCCCAGGGTTGAGGCTCTGGCCGACTGGCTCTATTGGCTTTGGCAGCTCCCCCCATACTCCCCCCAACACTCCCTCTTCAAGCACAGGATCCAGCCACGTGGGACTCCAACCCCTCCCCGGGCTGGGAATGCTCTTCCCCTCACCCCCCTTATCGGTGTCCTCCAGAGCTCAGTTTAGAGACCTCCAGATATTAAACGGACTTCCTACACTTAGATTACTTGCTTAACATCAAGTATTAATATGAATGGCTGGCATCTGACTCTAAGCCTTGTAAGAATAGGAACTGAGTCCAACCCATTCGCTGCTGTGCCACCAGTTCCCAGCACATGCCTGGCACATAGTAGGTACCCAATAAATATTTGTTAAATGAATGAATAGTCCTCTCAGGAAACAGATATTTTAGGCCATTTGAATTTTTCTCTGATGATCTTGTATTCCCCAGTTTTTTCTCCAATGATCATGTATTCTTTGTGCAGTTTTTAAAAGGAAGAATTTTATTTATTTATTTTTTCCAAAGTTGCCCCGGCTCCCCTGAATCTTGTGCTGAGCCAGCCTTGGTTGCATGCACTCAGCAGAAACGAGCTCTTTCCCTCCCCAGAGCAGGAGGTGGCGAGGTGAAGGTGCACTGTACTGGGGTGGCACTAAGACCCTTGCACAGCACTGCTGGCAGCCAGCAATCTCTTAGAACTGGCAGATGTGCTCAATCAGATTAGTTTCCTCCTCCCCTCCTCGCTTTTCAAACCTTTCAGAGCTCTGCTACCAGGCCCAAGAGGATTATCCTCCAATGGAAGGCACCAGGGATTACTGCGGAATCTGATTTCACCTGCTCCCTCTGCTTCCTGGGAACGCACACGGCAGGCCACAGCCAGGCAGTGCTGGGTCTGAATCCTCAGGAGTTTGCCCTGGACCTACGAGCACTAAACTCGACAGGCTGCTTATTTGCTTATGTTGTAGGACCTTGTCCCACATGAAGATAAAATGGTGCTGCAGAATGGAAAGTGCTTCACAAGCCCCCGGCACACAGAATGGGCTGTGCTTCGAGCTGGTCATGCACTTGCTCGTGGCAGGAACCTTCTAGGTAGGTTCTTTACAATCCTCAGAGGCTCAGAGAAAAAGCTGATGGGAGAACTCAGCTTCTACACCCAGAAGCAGACTTCAGAGTTAACCTGGGCTTGGCCTGGCCAGCAGTTAAAAAGCAGCCAGAAAAGATTTTATGAGTTTCCTGATGCTGCACGTGCCTGGCAGACATTTCCTCCCTTCCTCCTGGGACTGTGAGTGGGGCTGGCCCCTTGTCCCCAGCGCTGCCACCACCAAGCACCGTTACTCAGCTGCTTCCTCCTTATCGACAAACTGCACAGGCAACAGATGCCTAGAAGACTTCAGGCGAGTCCCCTGGGAGAGGCTGGGAACAGAATTCTGAGTCCTTCCAAGCCAGACAATAGCCATGGAATCTCTGACTTCTCTGATGCACTTTTGATTTCGAAAATTTTCAAATCAGAGAAAAGATGAAAGACAACAATGAACACATAGGACCCTTCACCAGATTCTGCCCTTGCTGACCCTGATCCATGTGTGCTCTGTCTAGGTGTATTCTGTCTGTAAATACTGGTTTTGTTAGACCATTTCTAGTCAAGTTGCAGACGTGACATGCCACCCCGAACACTTCAGCATCCGTTCCTGAGGTCATTTTCCTACAAATTGTAATGTTATTAGCATTTCTAAGACATGAACATTAATGCAATCACATTTTCTAATATTCAGTCCACATCTGACTTTCTCCAGGGGTCCTAAAAATGCCTTTTATAACCTTTGTTTTGTGTTTTTGGATCCAGAATCCAAACTAGGTTCACACATGGAGTCTATTACCGCTGAAGTCCCCTTGTTTCGTTTGCTTTTCATGACACTGACTCTGGGAGAATCTAGGCCAGTTGTCTTGTAAAATGCTCCACATTCTGGATCTGCCTGATTGTTTCCTCACAATTAGATGCAGGTCAAACAGTACAGGCAAGCAAATGACAGAAGCTGTTCTGTCCTTCTCACCCACTGGACCATAGCAGGAGTCCTAGGAAACGTCACTTTGTCCTGGCTTATGTTAGATCACTTGATTAAGGTGGTGACACGAGACTGCTCCAGTTCAAGGTACCAGCTTCCCTGGGAAATTAATAAATAATCTGGGAGGGCACACTTTGTGAATATCCTGTTTCTCAACAACCTTTAGCTCAATGGCTTTGCATCCATGGATGATCCTTTTCTGAATAAATTATTATACTGGGGGTTGAAAAGGAAGTTTTAAAAATCATATCATTCCATCTACATTTTTCTTTTTGATGTTCACATTGTCCTAAATTGGAACAGCAGGAGCCCTATCAACCTCTTTTTTTTTTTTTTTTTTGAGATAGGGTCTCACTCCTGTCGCACAAGCTGGAGTGCAAGTAGCTCAATCTCGGCTCACCATATCTTCAACTTCCTGGGTTCAGGTGGCCCTCCCACCTCAGCCTCCTGAGTACCTAGGTATATAGGCACACGCCACCACACCTGGCTAATTTTTGTAATTTTAGTAGAGCCCAGGCTGGTCGAAATCCTGGGCTCAAGTGATCTGCCCGCCCCGGCCTCCCCAAGTGTTGGGATTACAGGCATTAGCCACTGTGCCTAGTCACTATCAACATACTTATAAGATTAAAAAGCATTCTAAACCTAGTGAAGCACTTCTCTGGCTCTCGGAGGCTAGGCAGACGCACGTGTACCCCCAGTGTTGGTGGTGACGGTGGTGCCTGTAAGTGATGCCTCTTATGTGCCCTCCTTTCTGCATGTGGCTGGCTGATCCCTAACACCATTTCCTGAGGCTGGCACACAGAGCTCCTGGGCAATTCGTGGCAGGTGAGGATGACCATGCATCCATCCATGTGGCCTACATGCTTAACCACAGATGAGGCCGTGGTGGCAAGATGCTGTGGATCCAGCTTACAGACTGGCTTTTTTTTTTTTAATTAGAAAAAACTTATGACAACACATAATATAAAGTTTACCATTTTTCACTGTACAGTTCAGTGACATTATATGGACACTCACAATGACGGGCAGCCATCACCACCATCCCTCTCCAGAACTCTTTTCATCCTGCTGAAACTCTGTCCCCATTAAACAATAATTCCTAGGTCCCCCCTCTCCCGAGTCCTTGGCAAGCACATTCTACTTTCTTTCTCTATGAAGGTGAACACTCTGAAGACTGGCTTATCTTCTACCTACTGTCCTGGCAATCAAGCCTCAAGGCAGACCAAACAGGATTCCTGACTCTTCTGAATTAGCGCCAAGAGAAGCAGTTATTTTTAATTGCTTAAAAAGCCGTTTCATTTTAGAAAATTTTAAATATACGAAAAGAGAGAGAGAAATGTTACTATAATGAACTCCCTTGAATGTTATTACCCAGTGCCAACAGTCATCAGCATTTACACTGCCTTTAAAAAAGCCCGAAAACTTAAAACAAAAAGGTAACCAGCACAGAACAAGGTTCTGTAGAAATTCAGCATTCTCTCATTCCTGTTGCCCAGGCTTGAGCGCGGCCCACCCCCAACTAGACAGACCGTGTTCTGCACTGTGCCCCACGAATGCCCCCAAAAGTCCTTCATGCGTGGGAAGATGCCTACTGATGGACCCATTCAGGGCTACCTGCTGCCCTTTCAGGTGCTTAACCCAGGCTCAGAGATTAGGCCAAAGTTTCCTGGCTAAAGAGAAACAGGTTTTAAAGCCACAGCTGGCTACTTTTCTTCCCTAAAGAAATGCAATGCCGGCCAGGTGTGGTGGCTCACGCCTGTAATCCCAGCACTTTGGGAGACCGAAGCAGGCGGATCACGAGGTCAGAAGTTCAAGACCAGCCTGTCCAATATAGTGAAACCCTGTCTCTACTAAAAAAATTTAAAAATTACCCAGGTGTGGTAGTGTGCGCCTGTAGTCCCAGCTACTCAGGAGGCTAAGGCAGAATCGCTTGAACCTGGGCAGCGAAGGTTGCAGTGAGCCAAGACCACGCCACTGCACTCCATCCTGGGCAACAGAGTGAGACTCCATCTCAAAAAAAAAAGGAAATGCAATGCCCCAGCCTGGCCAACATGGTGAAACCCTGTCTCTACTAAAATACAAAAATCAGCTGGGTGTGGTGGTGCATGCCTGAAATCCCAGCTACTCAGGAGGCTGAGGCAGAATTGCTTGAACCCCAGAGGCAGAGGTTGCCATGAGCCAAGATCGGGGCACTGCACTCTAGCCTGGGCGACAGAGCGAGACTCCGTCTCCAGGGGAAAAAAAAAAAAAAAAAAGAAAAAAGAAATGCAATGCCTTTAAAAACAAGCAAAGCTATTCTTCCACAAGAATGGCCGCTCTCCTATTAAAAAATCTCTTCCTCATTTTATCTGAGAATGAGAACCAGACTTTTATCAGAAGTTGAGATCCCATAGCTATCCCCATGCCCCTCCAGCAGCCACCAGCCTACCCTGCAGGTGCTGATGATAAAGGAAAGATGGTGCTGGCGGGTCAGAGGGATCAAGGACCGCCCAGTGGTACCCAGGCCTTGCCTTTTCCCAGGTGGGGCCTGACATCTATCTTCCCAGGTGCATGTGGGCAGTGCTACGCAGTCAGGTGGCAGGGACAGAAGAGGAAAGAGAAAGCTCTGGCTGAAAGGGCTTTTTCCCAGCTTTGCAGCCTTTGCTGGCAAGGGAGGCCAGTGTCCCAGGGGTGGAAGCCCACGCAGGGCCAGGCTCAATAGAGACCTTTCTGATGCTAATGCTTTTTTCTCTCAGATTCTTCCTTCCTGGAGTGGAGAAAAGTAGCCCCAGAAAAGGCAGAACTTCTACCAGCTTTATTTATGGCCTTGGAGCCGGTGTGACCAGGGACAGCCAGGATTCTGGGGGAGGTCCCCACCAGAAACAGGCAGGAATGTCCTGGAGCAGGGGCAGGGCAGGGGCTCAAGTGCCAGTTTCCCATCCTCACTCCTGGTATCATTTGTGTGATCTTGGGCAATCACCTGGAAACCCACACCTCATAGGGCAGTAGGGAGGGTGCAAGGAGTGTCCCAGGTAACATGACGGGCATGTGGGAGGTGCTCTATAAATGGTAGCAGCTGCTGTATTATTTATTGAACATGGTATTCTTTGCACTCCAGACCCGGGATCTTCTCAAGTCCTGTTATCTAGAAATATTTTCTTACAGGTTCTGAAAAAGGGGCTGAAAAAGGCCCAACAAAAGGCTCCCCTACCCTTACCCGACTCCACAGTCAACACTGTGCTGGAATGCATGGAGTGGACTGGAGTCGTTACAGCTTCCTTTCCCCAGGACTGTGACCTTGAACTCTGGCCTCCTGCTGGTGATTTCAAGGCTCACAGTCCGGGAGGAAGAAAGGGGAGTGAGTGTTGCGTCCAAGGCCTTTCCCAGATGTCCCCCTCCCCCAGGGTGAGACTTTTCCCAGGTAACCCAGTTGGGTTGCAAGAGGCAGAGAATCCACTGGGTAGCAAGAGGCAGAGAATCCACACACCAGGATGTGAGCTCTGGGAGGGCGGGGAGCTTCGTTTGGCATTTGGTTCTCTGCTGCATCCCGAGGCCCAACGCACAGCAGGCATCAAATGTGCTGGCAGACCCTGGACCACACATCTATTTACTGCAGGGTTGGGTGGGCTAGGGGGTCTGTGAACTGTGCTTGCTGTGCCCTTAACAGATGCTCTCAGCTGATTCTGGCAACGACCCTGGGAGGTTGGGGGTGTTTCCCACATGGAAACAGAAGCTCAGAAAGGTTGAGTTACCCCGATCTCCCAGCTGATAAGGGACAAAGCAGCATTTAAAAGTCTGTCTGCTCCATGAGGGTAGGGAACAAATCTGTCTTGCAGAACACCACAGATCCTGTTCACCTAGCACAGCCTCTAGCATAAAATTAATAATAGCTTTTGTGTATTTTAAAAAATGAATGAATAAATGATTCCAAAGTCCCGAGCTTTTTACATCATAAGCAGGAAACCTTATATACAGTCACAAGGCCCCCTGCAATCCTATAAGCTCCATAATAAGTGTATCTATCTGGGTGGAGGAACTTCCATGGATGTGTCAGGCTAGTTTCAGCTTCACCCCATCTAACCGCCCTGTTCTCCACAAATACTCTTAATTTTGAAAAAATTTTTAAAAATTGTTTACTTGTTGAAGAGATAGTGTCTCACTATGTTGCCCAGGCTGGTCTTGAACTCCTGGGCTCAAGTGATCTTCCTGCTTCGGCTTCCCAAAGTGCTGGGATTACAGGCATGCACCACCATGCTTGGCCCTTCCACAAATTCTCTTGACTTCAATCTCTCCTTTGCTTACGCTACTTAGCAATTTAATTCCAGAGCCTTTCCACTAAAGAGCTATATGATCAACAGGACTTAGTTTTTTCTTCCAATGATAGCATTTAAGTCAAAGGAGTGGCTCTCTAACAGGAAACTTTTTGTACTAAAGGTGCTCCCCAGCCTGACTTTTTTTAAAAAACAGAAACTCTCTTTGACTTCTTGCAGTTATTGAAGGCAAGAAAGGTGCTTCCTACTCTTGGCAAAAAAAGGCACTGCTCATACGCCCAGCAGACAAGCGTCTTTCTGAGGAACCAGGGGAGACAGATTTTGAGCAATTGATGGAGAGGGTGTGAAACTACTCTGAGGGCACCATGCTCTGGCAGGCTGTTTTTACTGTGTAAGGCAGTGCAGCGGGCAGTGCCCACACTCTGATGATGACTGTCCTGGATTCTACGGAGTGGCAGCCGCTTACTAGCCATGTGGTCTGGGGTAAGTCACAACTTCTTGGACCTGTGTTTCCTCATCTGTGAAATGGGAAGAAGACAAGTAGATAGAATTGTGGTGAGGGTGACATGATGGCTTAGTGTGCTTAGAACAGCACCCTTTGTAAACTTGTGCTCAATTCAGAGCCAGCCCTGTAATGACAGTCACAGCTACAATGACAGTGGTTTGGTTTCTGGATGAGATTTGGTGTAGGGGAGAGAGAAAGCCAGGGACAAAGCAAGAAAACCCTTCATCTGTAAGAGGGTGCTTCAGTGGTGCTCAAGGAAGGGAGAAAGCTGAGAGGACCACAGGGGTTGGAGGCCAGGTAGCCTCCCCTTAAGTCCCCTTAAGGACCTGCTGTAGCTGCATCCAAGATCTCTGGCCCATTTCTGATCCTGTAGTTAGGAAACATCCTGGAGAAACAGGCCTCCAACACCAGCCATTCCTGGGCTTCCAAAGTCCGCTGGGTAGACCTGGTGTGAAGGTGGATCTGGGTACCCTGCCTGGCTGAGCTTCCTTTCTCCCTCAGGAAATCAAGAAAAAGCTCTCTTCTTCTCCTTCCTCTCTCAAGAGCAGGGCTGCATCTCCAGTCTCTGGCACAGAGGCCTTGATAAATAATCAACGAATGGATGGAAGGACGGATGGATGAAAGAATGAAAGCAAGCCCATTTCTGACAGGCTGAATCAATTCCTGAGCCCAGTTTTAAAAAGAGACCAGAGGTGAGGTTGTGGGTGGTTGTTTTCTTTAGGAGGAAATTGTGAAAATGCCTTCTAGGTCAGAGGTGGCATTCGGCCAGCTGGGTCACCCACGGGCTTCCCTTCTTGCTGGGAGGACTTCCCTGTGTCAGGAAGGAGAAACTGCTGTGATGACATCACACTGCGGCCTCAGGCAACCCCTGGTTCCTTTGTGCTCCGCTTTACACGTGACCCAAATAAGTGTCACTGACTGAAAGCAGGGCCTGCGGGGTGGGGGCCATTTGTCACCCGAATAGCTGGCATCTGGGGCCTGCATCCCACAAGTGCTTCTGTCCTCGTACGGAGGATAGGAGTTATCTCCTGTCACGAAAGAAGGTTTCGGTGTCACTGCTTTAAAGAAAGCTCACTCCTAACTCACCAGGGGCTGCCTCTGGCCCAGGTCTGACGGCACTGCTGCGCTGAACGTGTGGGCACTGGGGACCCTGATCCTTTGTTCCGACCTATGCGGGGAACAGGGAGAAGGAAAAGGAGAGGCCATCTTGGGTACCGCCCTTGTGGTTCAGAGGGGAGATGCTTCCAGATACAAGAGCTGGTCCTGAGGGCTGATGTTTTCATCGGGGTCAGCACAAATGCTGCTCTGCTGGCTCAGAAGGAAGTGTGCCCAGGAGTCTCCCAGCAATCTCTCCGCGTTCTGACCTGAATCTTCCTGGCACAGCCAAGGAAGGACGTGGTCTGGCTGTACAACTAGGGCCATAGTTGTACAGTGGCTGAGAACCACTGAGTCAACCCCAAGGTGACAACCTGTGTCCCCATTACTAGGCACATCCGAGCTGTATGCTTTTAGGGAAGTGTCCTAACTTACTGGGCCTCGGATTCTTCCTCTGATACTTGCGGAAAATACAACTACAGCCTACCTTATAGAATTGTTTTGAGGATTAAATTAGTAAATCTGTGTAAAAAATTCAGAACACTGTGTGACATATAGGCTGGGCACAGTGACTCATGCCTATAATCCCAGCACTTTGGGAGGCCGAGGCTGGTGGACTGCTTGAGCACACAAGTTAGAGACCAGCCTGGGCAACATGGCAAAACCTTGTCTCTACCAAAAAAAAAAAAAGTCTGGGCGCAGTGGCTCACGCCTGTAATCCCAGCACTTTGGGAGGCCGGGGCGGGCAGATCACTTGAGGCCAGGAGTTCAAGACCAGCCTGACCAATATGGTGAAACCCTGTCTCTACTAAAAATACAAAAATTAGCTGGGTGAGGTGGTGGGAACCTGTAATCTCAGCTACTCAGGAGGCTGTGGCAGGAGAATCATTTGAACCTGGGAGGCGGAGGTTGCGGTGAGCCGAAATTGCGCCACTGCACACCAGCCTGGGTGACAGAGCAAAATGGTGTCTCGAAAAAAAAAAAAATTAGCAGGGCCTGGTGGTATGGACGCGCCTGTGGTCCCAGGTACTGGGAGGCTGAGGTGCAGGGAGCCGTGATCATGCTACTGTACTCCAGCCTGAGTGACAGAGTGAGATCCTGCCTCAAAAAGATAAATAAAAATAAACAAACACTCAATAAACATTAACGATCCCATCACCACTGAGGCTAGGATTTACCCTCCACCCGCAGGTTCCGATTATAGAAAAGAGAAATGTAGTGAGATTACAAGTGATTTTTATTTTGTTATTTTTATTTTTTCCCATCTTCTGGTTTTCTACAGGAACAAATATTACTCTCCTGCTGATAAAAACACTTTAAACTCCTCAGAAGGCAAGACTCTGCTGCTGGGAATCTAGAAGCCAGAGCTAGCAGAATAACTGCCAGAGAACATTCCAGAACGTAGGTCTGCTCCAGTCCAAGAATATCTCGGCATGAACCTGTTTTACAAGTACCTACAAGTCGGGAGGCATCAGACTTTCCTAGAAAAGTCCCAGAAACCTCACTATGTCGGTGACAAAGAGAGACTTTTCCTGTCTAGACACCACAATGCTTGTAATTAAAATTAAGATTTAGGAGGTGGAGGGAGGCAACACACACTCCTTGAAGACAATCTCAAAAATCCAGGTAAATGCTCCACACATAAAAATAATCTCTAATCTTAGCACCAAGGGATAGAATAGGCCAACATATCTCGTTCGAGTCTGAAACGGATTTCAAAATCAACCAAAGCTGCCCTGCCAGTGCTAGCTATCACAACTGACAATACTGACAGGTAAGTGCTTGGGTGGTGAGGGGTGGGCTGCTGCGATCAGGGGCTCCTGAACACCGCATGTTCAATTAATTATTCGTGCAGCTTGAAATACAACCCCCACTCCCGGAAAACAAAAATAAAATTAAAATAAAAAAAAGCCATGCAGAGCCCGGAAAGTTAGGCCCTGGACAAACAGGTCTGGGTGTTAAACTTGCTAAGGCAAATTGAACAATTTAAGAGCTTCCGGCCCAGCCAGCTGTCTGACAGGCAGTTTACACAAAATCCCTCCCCTGAAACAGCTCTAAGCCTGCCAGTCTGCAGAGATGGGAACAGGAAATGGAAAATCACCATGTCCTCCGCTCACTGTGCTGTGACATTCGAGCCCCGTGCCCAGATTTGCTCAGCATGGCCCTCACTAATGTGACAGACCACCTTTTCCAGTTGCCCTGTGCCGCGTGGCCACCACGCAAACGTCACTGATTAGAGAAGCACCATTGATGTCATGGCAGTGTTTTGGAAGAAAGATAAGCAATAGTCACTTTAATTGCACACATCAAATGTAAGACCTGTTCTGATTCCTGAAATGTTCAAACATTGAAAGGCTCAAGCATTTCAAATGCTCTCCACGGCAGGAAGGAAATGGAGTTTCCTCCTGACCACTCTTGCATGAGATGTAGGGAGCTATTAAATTATCTCCTGCAAGGGCGCTGCCACGTTTCCTTGAAGATTTAGGTTTAATTCTATCAATAAATCTCATGTTTTGTCAGAAATACACCCCTGAAAAAGACCACCTGGAAATATTGCCCCATTTGCAGCTGCTGCCTACAATTAGAGCCGTGGAGGCATCTCAAGCATTCCCAGCTTTGGGGAGAGCTGATGTATTTAACTTCTCCAGGCTAGGAAGCAGCATATTCATTCATCCTTGTCGACCAGAAAGGATTAAGACTGCTTTCAAGTTTCTGAAATCTCCAGTGGGGAGACCCCATCCCGTCCCCTGCCTTGTTGTCAAAGAAGCTGCTTTTCAGAAGCAACAGTTGCCAAGTAATCAAAGCAGGGGTGAGTGGGGGATGGAGGATGCAAAGGGGAGTGATGCTGGTTTACTGGGAGGAAGACAGGCCTCTCCTAGAATCTCCTGAAGCCCCACTGCAGGTACCTGGCAGGCAATAGCTTTTAGTGGTATCTGCCCTAAGACATGAGGCTTAACAGGCACTAAAAGCAATCAGTCTGGAAAGGATTCCTTGTCTGTGCTTCCTGGATAGGGAAAGGCAGAAATGCAGGGCAAAGGCTCTCGTGGCTGGGAGCACAGAAGAGAAGCCCCAAGTGGACACGGGTGAGGGGCCGGGATGGAGAAGAGACATTGCTTGTTCTTTTATAGTTTATTGTTTAGGTAGAGAGTAAGTCAAATAAATGTTTTTCTGGAAGGCAGCTGTGCTCACCACTGTACCACCAATGCTAACAGTTCCAAAGGCTCCCACAAATGAAGTCAAATTTACGGAAAAACGGGTCTCATCAGCTGTTGGTTGAGTTAAAACTTCTGTAAGGCAATTTGGCACTACTTATCAAAATCTTCAGTGTTACCTACCTGTTGACCAAAACAATTCCACCTCTGGGAATTTATCTTACAGACAGACTCATGTAAGTTTGCAAAGATACAGGGAAAAAGCCAGTCACTGTACAGCAGTGAAAAAAAGAGATGGCAACCTGAATGTCCAAAAATAGAGAAATCATTACATAAATGACAGTGTTTATAAAACAAAGGACTTTGCAGTCAATAAAAAGAGTGAAGTAAATCCACAAGCGCTGATGGAAAAAGAGGTTCCGTAACATACTATGAAGAAAGCACCTTTAGCAGTAACCCAGCTGTGTAAATATATCTGGTCAATTCTTGTTATTCATGTCAGTTATGCTCTATAAAGCCATTGTGAACACTGAATTAGTGAATACTGAACCACTGCTCCTAGGGGAAGGTACAAGGTTAGGTTCCTGCAAGGCTCTGATCACAACATTTCATCAACTGATCAGCCTATAACTTTGTGTTGTGTATTTGTTTAATACATTAATTCATTAATATTGAACTCATGGCCAACAGCATTATAACTTCTGCCTGAACACAGCTTCTCTAACAGAGGCTTTTTTCTACAAGGCACATCACAGCCTTCTTGACCTTGGGAGCTCTAGACAGCACTTCAGCTCTATTCTTGGAGACTTGTTGACACCAAAATCACCAACAAAAAGCACAAAAATATGAAAAATGTGGCACTAAGTCCACTAAAAACACATTTGTTTACAGTGTGAGAGGTGAAAGAAGAAGACAGAGTGCTTCTTACTGGGTCTCAGCTTGGAATATGGGTATGGGTCAATCCATATGGGACACACAGCTCTGTGCGTGTTTGCAAAGCACCACGAAAGTGCCGCCACTTTTTTTTTTTTTTTTTTTTTTGAGACAGAGTCTCACTCTGTCATCCAAGCTGTGGTACAGTGGCGCGATCTTGGCTCACTGCAACCTCTGCCTCCCAGGTTCAAGCAATTCTCCTCCCTCAGCCTCCCGAGTAGCTGGGACTACAGGTGCCCACCACCACAACCGGCTAATTTTTTTGTATTTTTAGTAGAGAAGGGGTTTCCCCATGTTGGCCAGGCTGGTCTCGAACTTCTGACCTCAGGTGATCCACCCACCTCGGCCTCCCAAAGTGCTGGGATTACAGGCGTGAGCCACTGCACCCGGCCTACAAAAGAGTTTTAGCAAGTAGGCAAATTCGCAAGAACAGAACCCGTAATGAGAATCAACTGTGTTTGTATATCCATGGAACAATTCCAGAAAAATACACCAGATCAAATTCAGAAGAAACTGTTCCCAGGGGTTACCTGGGATTGGGAAAAGGATTTTTATTTTATTCTTTGGATCTCACTTTACAAGTGAGTATAATAATTGTAATTTTAAAAATCTATAGTAAGGGCCAGGTGTGGTGGCTCACGTTTGTAATCCCAGCACTTTGGGAGGCCGAGGCAGGCAGATCATTTGAGGTCAGGTGTTTGAGACTAGCCTGGCCAACATGGTGAAACCCCGTTTCTACTAAAAATAAAAAAATGAGCTGGATGTGGTGGTGTGTGCCTGTAATCCCAGCTACTCAGGAGGCTGAAGCACGAGAATCACCTGAACCCAGGAGGCAGAGGTTGCAATGAGCCAAGATCATGCCACTGCACTCCAGCCTAGGTGACAGAGTGAGACCTCGTCTCAAAAAAAAAAACAATCTGTAGTAAGGAGATGGGCCTTTTCACAGGTAAGCTCAGCACAGCATGACTGACTCACAGAGCTAAGGGACCCTGCTCTGCAGGAGGACCAGAGCCAGAGACGGGGGCTTTCCCACCCCCCTGAAAGAAAGGCCATGCGACCACCTCCTGCCAGACACTTCTCCTAGGGAGGAGGACAGGGGCCAGCACGAAGGTCAGCACAGGATGTGGCCCCACCTACAGAAACCAGAAGTCAGAACTTTACTGTAAGAGTCAGATCTATCAGCCTCACCTTCCACTGCTTTTCACAGACAACAGGCAGTGGGCCAGGGGCAGGAGGGGCTCAGAGGACAGAGGAAAACCACTCACCAGTGAGAAACCTTGTTTTCTCAGGGACAGGCTCAGGCTCAGGGTCCGGAAGTGACAGTGAAAGAAAACAGAAAAAGTACGATGGAATTGCCATTAGATGGGGAAGAAAAAGGAAGAATGGAAAAGGAAGGAAGAGAGGGAATCTGGCAGTTTTGTTCACTGGGTAGTGTGTAGGGGTGTAATCTATGATTCATTTTCCCCCCATAAATGAAAATAAATTTTCCCAGCTATGAAAACACATCTAGGTTTGGAAGGATTTGTGTGTTTTTTTTTTTTTTTTTGAGACAGAGTCTTGCCCTGCGGCCTAGGCTGGGGTGCAGTGGTGCAATCTTGGCTCACTGCAACCTCCGCCTCCCGGGTTCAAGCAATTCTTCCACCTCAGCCTCCTGAGTAGGTGGGATTACAGGTGCGTGCCACCATGCCTGGCTAATTTTTGGAATTTTTAGTAGAGAGGGGGTTTCACCATGTTGGCCAGGCTGGTCTTGAACTTCTGATCTCAAGTGATCTGCCCGCCTTGGCCTCCTAAAGTGCTGGGGTAACAGGCTTGAGTCACCGTGCCCGGCTGAGGTCTGGAAGGATTCACACAAAACTGTGGGAGTGGGACTGTGAGCAAAGGGGAGAAACTAATTTTTCACACTAGGTACTTCTGTACCTTTCAGGTTTTTTGTGTTTGTTTGTTTTGAGATAGGGTCTGGCTCTGTGGCCCAGGCTGGAGTGCAGTGTCAAGATCTCAGCTCACTTCAACCTCCACCTCCTGGGCTCAAGAGTTCCTCCCACCTCAGCCTCCCAAGTAGCGGGGACTACAAGCACGTGCCACCACACCTGGCTAAATGCTTTCAGGTTTTTAAAAGTAAAAACGTATCTCACACTTCTTGTGCAAAATAATAAGGTCTTACAGTTAAGGCCTAGCTACCCTAGCAAAAGGTCACCTCTTGCCCTCCTGGCTTTCTCCCCAACCCTCCCTCCCTCCTCAGGCTGGTCCATGCCCTGGGGCCAAAGACTCAATACTGCAGTCATCTCCAGGCAGCAACCACCAAGCAAAAGCAAACCTCCAAGGTGTCTCAAAAAGTCCAACATAAAATTACCACATGACCCATAATCCAACCCATAGGCATATACCCAAAAGAATTAGAAACCAGTGTTCAAATATAACTGGTACCCAAATATTCACTGCAGCGCTGTTCACAACAGCCAAAAGGTGAAAACAACCTAAACATCCATCAACAGATGACTGGATAAACACACTGTGGGATATACAATGGAATATTATTCAGTCATAAAAAGAAATGAAGGCTGGGCACTGTGGCTCACGCCTGTAACCCCAGCACTTTGTGGGACCGAGGCGGGTGAATCACCCGAGGTCAGGAGTTCGAGACTAACCTGGCCAACATGGTGAAACCTTGCCTCTACTAAGGATACAAAATTAGCCAGGCATAGTGGGACATACCTGTAGTCTCAGCTACTTGGGGCGGTGTGGGTGGGGGGTGGGGCGCTGAAGCAGGAGAATTGCTTGAACCTGGGAGGTGGAGGTTGCAATGAGCTGAGATCATGCCACTGCACTTCAGCCTGGGCGATAAGAGCGAAACTCCGTCTCAAAAAAAAAAAAGAAAAAGAAAAAAAAAAGAAATGAAGTACTGATACATGTTGCAACATGGATGATCCTTCAAAATTCTGTATGAAGAGAACAATGCTAGACACAAATGGTCACATATTGTATAATCCCCTTTATATAAAATAGCCAGAATAGACGAATCCATACAGACAGAAAGCAGATTAGTGGCTGCCAGAGCTGGGGGATAGGAAGAAACGGCAAGTGACTGCTTAATGGGTACGAAGTTTCCTTTTAAGGTGATAAAAATGTTCTGGAAGTAGAGAGAGCGTGAAGGTGCTAAACACCACTCAACCGTACACTTGAAAATGGTTAAAATCCTGAATTTTATGTTGTGGCATGAATTTTATCTCTCTTTTTTTTTCTTTTTTGAGACAGAGTCTTGTTCTGTCACCCAGGCTGGAGTGCAGTGGCATGATCTCAGCTCACTGTAACCTCTGCTTCCCAGGCTCAAGCAATTCTCCAGCCTCAGCCTCCCATGTAGCTGAGACTACAGGCATGAGCCACCAACACCCAGCTAATTTTTGTGGGTTTTTCTTTTTAGTAGAGACAGGGTTTCTCCATGTTGGCCAGGCTGGTCTTGAACTGCTGGCCTCAAGGGATCTGCCTGCCTCAGCCTCCCAAAGTGCTGGGATTACAGGTGTGAGCCACCGTGCCTGGTTGTATTTTTCTTTACAAAAACAAACAAACAAACAACAACAACAAAAAACCCACAAACACAACCCCACACTACAAGTTGGGCAAGTTTTGTGGCCTCTCTGAACCTATAAAAAGGGCGGGTGACAGCACGACCGCATAGGCTGGTCGTGAGGATCCGTGCGATGTGTGTAAAGTGCCTGGCATGGGGTCCAGCATGTAGAAAGAACAGTAAGGAAGGAAGCCACAGCCGCTGTGATGCCGATGATTCAGGGGCACTGCCAAAGCCAACTCACCTGGAAGTTGTGGGATTTCCACGTTGTCAAATTATCCTTTTAATTAAACAACAGGAAGAACAAAAAGACATTGCAGGAGGGGTGCTGTATAAGATGAAAGATTAAAGAAGAGGGAGGCTCAACTTCATTTACTGTTTAGTGATCTCTATACTATATTTATGGTAGAGTTCTATCCTGTGTTAAGGTAGGAGACGCAAACAATGAACTCTGAGGGAGAGAGGGTGTCTTTGCCACATGTCCACTGTGGAATGACGAAATGCTCTCGCTTCTTCTGCCTCCTCCTGTGGCCCGCAGACATGGGTCCCTGGCTGAGCCCTGTTGGACGGGGCAGAAGGGGCTGTAGGTAGGTGAGAAAATCCCATCTCTGCTTCCTGTCTATCTGTTTTTTTTTTTTTTTTTTGAGATGGAGTTTTGCTCTTGTTGCCCAGCCTGGAGTGCAATGGCGCCATCTTGGCTCACTGCAACCTCCCTGTCCTGGGTTCAAGCAATTCTCCTGCCTCAGCCTCCTGAATAGCTGGGATTACAGGCGCCCATCACGCCTGGCTAATTGCTTTTTTTTTCTGAGATGGGGTTTCGTTCTTGTTGCCCAGGCTGGAATGCAATGGCATGATCTCAGCTCACTGCAACCTCTGCCTCCCGGGTTCAAGCGATTCTGCTGCCTCAGCTTCCTGAGTAGCTGGGATTACAGGCATGCACCACCATGCCCAGCTAATTTTGTATTTTTAGTAGAGATGGGGTTTCTCCATGTTAGTCAGGCTGGTCTCAAACTTCTGACCTCAGGTTATCCGACTGGCCTGGCTAATATTTTTGTATTTTTAGGAGAGACAAGGTTTCATCATGTTGGCTGGGCTGATCTCAAACTCCTGACCTCAGGTGATCCACCTGCCTCTGCCTCCCAAGGTGTTGGGATTATAGGTGTGAGCCACCGCGCCCAGCCTTCCTGTCTATCTGGAAGCAGATTTAAAAACCTGAGATTGACAGGTGGGGGGGCAAGAACCCCAGCTCTTCTTATCTCAGAATAATTTGGTACCAAATTAGCAGATCTCCAAACTTCCCGAGGCAAGGGGATCCCCCTTGTGGCCCACAATGGCCTGGGGAGAGGGGAGGAGGGAAGAATAGGATTTCAGGCTGTCATGGAAACTTTTCTTCCCTCTGGTCTCTGCAGCATATGGCAGGTGTCCTGAAAAATCTGTTCCTGCTGCCCGAGGCTGTGCTGCCCTCAGACACGTGGGTGGGGGCGTCTGCCTCTCTGTCTGAAACGTCCCCTCTCTCCGCCAAGGTGGCAGCAGCACAAAGGAGTCTCCAGTGTGTGCCTCACATCCCAGCTCCCCAGACAGACACTCGGGGAGAGCTTCCATGGCCCCATGGAAATATAAGTCCCCTGCCCCCAGCGGGCCGCGATGCAGCCCACAGATCACAGACAGCAGCAGGCCAAAGGCCGTGGCGCAAATTTCTCCTGTGCTGCTTGAAATACGATGCCCAGTGTGCCCTCCACAGCCGGAGATGTTTCACAAGCCCCGCAGACGAAAGGGGGCTGCACGTTGATTTGGGGTGCTGAGACAGGCTGGACACCCAGCAAGACTGGCTCGCATGTGTAACAAGGGAATCCAGTTGGCCAAAGGTAGAGAAAAATCACCAAATGTGGGGCTATGAGCCTAAAGCAGCCAATGGGATCACGAACAACAGCAGGTAAAAGGTGCCAGCGTGGAAAACGAGACAGAATTCTGAAAACTCTAAATCTGTGCTTCCGGAACTGGGTGATCGTGCCCATGGGGTTTATGGAAGCCTGCCAAAAGCAGACAAAGCTACAGGAGAAAGTGGGTGCCATAGTCCTGCAGCACCAAGCAGGATGAAGGATGGAGGGGCAGGGAGGGGAAATGAATAATGAAATAGGACACAAACATATCTCAGAGGAGAATGTAAAATCTGACTGTCAAGGATAAAATACCAGATGTCAAAGAAATGTCCTAATTGTACCTGGCCACTTTGAGCCTGAGGCCTCTGGGGCATTCCATTCCTCTGCATTAGGGCAACTATAGAAGTATAGAGGCCTGGCTCTCAAGGAACCATTAGCTCCATTAGTTTCATTGATTACACAGATTATTTTTGAGGTCTTACTATGTGCCAAGCTCCTTTCCATCCCTGAAACTTGCTATCCATGGGGGGTGGTGGTTGTTCATTCAAAGCACATGACGCTGAGGGTCTGCATACTTGGGAGACCTCACCTGCTGAGGGCAGTGGGGGAAGGTTTTCACAGGGATCTAGAGCCTCGGTGATGTTTACCCAGAACCAGGTGGGCAGCGGGAGGGAGGGAGAAGCAATCCAGGTAGAGGGAACAGCATGTGCAAAGCTCTATGACAAGAGGGGGCTTGGCCAGTGTGGCTGGAACCCAGGAAGTGATGAGGAGAAAGGCACAGGGCAAAGAGGCAGGAACTCAAGGGTTGGTCTTTAACCTAAGACTGCCAGTAAACCATGGGATGATGTTAAGTGGAAGGGTGGCATGGCAGAACTGTGTTTTAAGGAGATCATCCGAGTAGCAGCGAATTAACACAGTAATCTCTACCAAGGCAGACAGACAGATGGTCAAAGCTACGCTGTGTTTTTAGTGAGGCCTGTTTGGAAGGTGCAAACCCCAAGAGGGCTGTGCCCAGGCCTGGTGACCACACAATGGGTCCTGCTTAGGTCCAAATCAAGCAGTCACATTTCAAAACACCTTATGAACAGTGGTTGCTAGGGTTCCCCTCCCAGCACGTTCATATCCCCCATACCAGGAAGCAGGAGACAGGAGGTTGAGGGCACAGGTTCTGGCACCAGGCAGTTCTGGGCTCAAATCTTGTCTGCCATATACTACCCGGGCAGCCCAAAACTGGCTTCGTCACCTCTCTGTGCCTCTGTAAAGTGGGGTATACTAAGAGTATCTGCCTCCTAGGGCCACTGTGTGGATTGAGACAAGCTGCTAACATCCTTATCACTTGGTCTGGTACATTAAAGATGCTAAAAAATGTTGCATCTAAAAATGTTGATGCTAAAAAACGCTCAGTGAAGGATGAACATATAAGACGTGCAAAGATCGTCAAAATGTAAAGTGATTTGGAAGCAGCCAGGCGCACTGAGCGGGAGGAGACCGCACAAGCGCGGAGGAAGACGTAGGTTTTCGCTTACTTGCAAGCAGGAGGCAGGAGACGGCCACGGTGTAGAGCTGCTTGGAGGTGGTGACGTTGTAGCGATCCATGAAGTGGTCCAGCAGGTAGACGGCCAGGTGCCGGGCTGCAGGGCAGAGCTGGCAGTGGCTGCTCAGCAGGGTCAGGATGTCCACGAAGAACCGGCGGCTCTTCAGGAGTGGGGAGTGGGCTCGGAAGGTGGGCAGCTTCAGTTCCTGGAGGACAGGCGGGGCGGAGGGGTGACGGTCAGGGCTGCCTCCTGAGAGTCTCGGCTGTCCCAGGAAATGGGACCTCAGGGCCTGAATGGGAGGCAACGATTCCCTCCATACCCTTCTTAGTTTTCCTGCAAGTCCCAGGATGGCAGCCCCGCCTGGGCTATCTCCCATCTGCTTTCACTAAGCACAGGCTCATAAAGTATCAAGGACCTAGAGGATGACAGAGGAAGCCAGTCATTCCTTCCCATGGGAAAGGTTTGCTATTTGAGATACACAAGGCCATAAAGGAATAAAGGCATTGGGGTCAGAGGTCTAAGTCCAAATTCTTTTTTTTTCCCCTAGGGTCTGGTCTGAAGTAACACATCCAAATTCTGGTTCCACTACTCAGCCAAGTTGTGTGACCCTGGTCACCTGCCATCACCTTTGTTTCCTCCTCGAGAGCTGAGAACTAAATTTAAAATGTATGCAAAATGCCTAGCACACCTGTGACCTCTCAGGATCCACATCTAATTCTTTCTGAGGGTAGGATTACGAGAGACGGGTTTTTGAAAAAAATCAACCTAAAAAAGTTGTTGAAATAATAGTACAAGGAACTCCCAAATACCCTTCACCTCAATTCCCTAATTTTTGACATCTGCCTTCTTTTTCTCTACATGCATATACATTTTTTTTCTAAAAGTAAGTTCAGATATCATGATACTTCCCACACCCCTGGGAGGTGACTAGATGACTTTTACTTCTACTTTGCAATATATATACTGCCACATTACCTTATTTTATTTGTCTAACTCAAGAAAAACCAATAAAAGATATCAAACCAACAAAGTTTTTTACAACATAATAATGTTCTTATATGCAGTATCTCTCATATTTACCGTTCAATCAAAGAAGATTAGACACTATTTGTTTGTTTGTTTGTTTGTTTGTTTAAGAGAGGAGTCTCCCCCTCTTACCCAGGCTGGAGAGCAGTGGTGCAATCACAGCTCACAGAAGCCTTGAACTTCTGGGCTCAAGCAATCCTCCCACCTTGGCCTCCCAAGTAGCTAGGACTACAGGCATTCATCACTGCACCCAGCTAATTGTTTTTGTATTTTTTGTAGAGACAGGGGTCTCATTGTGTTGCCTGGGATGGTCTCAAACTCCTGACCTCAAGCGATCCTTCCCACCTTGGCCTCCTAAAGCGCTGGGATTACAGGCCTGAGCCATCAAGCCCAGCCTAGACACTACTTGTTTAGGAAATGTCTTTGCAACATTTTGCCAAAGAAGGAAACTAAAAAGAAGTAAAATTGAAGGAAAACAGGAAATAAGTTGGCAGAAAAGGAATGTGAAAGCTCACTTATGGCAGGCTCACAACGGGATGAGATCGAAACAAATTGGTGCCCCTCTTCTATAGAAAACCTCTCTCTTAACCCTGGGGCTTACTTAACTAGCAGCAGATCCAGGACTAGAAAGGGATATCTGCTCATTCATTCATTCATTCATTCAAGAGCTATTCATTCATTTTACTCAGTAAGTATGAAGTACCTTCTCTACACTGGGTGTTATTCTAGGCACTGGGGATGCAATCTGGAATAAGATAGACATAGACATAAACGTTAAGACTTACAACTATAAAACTCTTAGAAGAAAACAGGGGGAAATCTTTAATGGCCTTAGATTAGGCAATGGTTTCTTAGATATGACACTAAAACAAGAAGCATCAAGGGAAAAATACATAAGTTGAATTTCAAAACTTAAAACATTTATGCTTCCAAAGATACCATCCAGAAAGAAAAAAGACAACCTGCAAAATGGAGGAAAATATTTGAAAATCACATGTTAATAAAAGACTGTATCCAGAACATACAAAGAACTCTTACAGCTCAACAATAAAAAGGCAAACAACCCAATTTAAAAATAGGCAATGAACTGACCAGACAGTTCTCCAAAGAAAGTATAAAAATGACCAACAAACACATGAAAAGGTGCCCAACATTACTAATCATTAGGGAAATGCAAATTAAAACCCTGATAAGATACCACCTCACACTCATTAGAATGGTTGTTGTAAAAAAAATCAATACAAAACTGAAAATGTATATACAAGTGCTGGATAGGGGCAAACTGGAACCCTCATATACTGCTGGTGGGTAAGTAAAATGGTGCAGCCACTGTGGGAAACAGTCTGGAAACTCCTTAAAATGTTAAACGTAGGGTTCTTAAGTGACCCAGCCATTCCAGTCCTTGGAATATATATATATATATATATATATATATATATATATATATATACATATATATATATATATACCTAAGAGAAATGAAAACATATGGCCACACAAAAACTTGTATATGAATACTCACAGCAGCATCATTCATAACAGTTCCCAAGTAGAAACAACTCAAACACTTATCAACTGATGAATGGATAAACAAAATGTAATGTATCCATACAACAGAATATTACACATGTTACAGCAGGGGTGAATCTTGAAAACATTATGTTAAGTGAAAAAAGCTAGTCGTAAATGGCCACATATTATATAATTCCATTTATATGAAATGTCCAGAATAGGCAAATCCATACAAACAGAAAGTAGATTAGTGGTTGCCAGAGGTTAGGGGTAACAGTTAATGGGAAATAACTGCTAATGGGTATGGGGTTTCTTTTTGGAGTTATAAAGCTGTTCTGTCATTAGATAGTGGTGATGATTGTATAGCTCTGTGAATACACAAACAACTAAACTGCATATTTTAATTTTTTTACTTTTAATTTTGTGGGTACATAGTAGGTATATAGATTTGTGTGGTACAGGAGACGTTTTGATACAGGTATGCAATGTGAAATAATCACATCGTGGAGAATGGGGTATCCATCCCCGCAAGCATTTATCCTTTGTGTTACAAACAATCTAATCACACTCTTAGTTATTTTGAAATGTACAATTAAGATATTGATTATATTCACCCCGTTGTGCAATACAATAGTATGTCTTATTCATTCTTTATATATTTTTTGTACCCATTAACCATCCCCACCTCCCCCACAACCCCCACTACCCTTCCCAGCCTTTGGTAACCATCCTTCTACTCTCTATGTCCATGAGTTCAATTGCTTTGATTTTTAGATTCCACAAATAAGTGAGAACATGTGAAGTTTGTCTTTCTGTGCCTGGTTTATTTCACTTAATACAATGATCTCCAGTTCCATCCATGTTGCAAATGACAGGATCTCACTCTTTTTTACGGCTGAATAGTACTCCACTGTGTATATGTAGCACATGTTCTTTATCCATTTATCTGTTGATGGACATTTAGGTTGCTTGACTGCACGTTAAAAAAGCTAAATTTTGGCTAGGTGCAGTGGCTCACACCTGTAATCCCAGCACTTTGGGAGGCTGAGGCGGGTGGATCGCTTGAGTTTAGGAGTTTGAGACTAGCCTGGGCAACATGGCAAAACCCCATTTCCACAAAAGATGAAAAAATTAGCCTGTTGTGGTGGTGAGTGCCTGTAGTCCCAGTTACTTAGGAGGCTGAGGTGCAAGGATCACTTGAGCACAGGAGGAGGAGGCTGCAGTGACCCGAGATTGTGTCACTGCACTCTAGCCTGGACGACAGAGCCAGACCCTGTCTCAAAAAAAATTAAAATAAAATAAAAGTGAATTTTATGATATGTGAATTGTTATATCTCAATAAAGCTGCTATAAAAAAACAAGACAGACGTTATCACCCACAGTCATGGAGTCCACAGTCCAACAAGGGAGAGAGGTGGCAATCCAGCAATAAGACAGTTGCAGAATTCCAAACTGTGATGAACTAATACTGCAAAAGAAAGCCACAGATGCTCTGGGAGGCCCCATTGTCTCTGAGGGGAGGGAGGCCTGCCTCCTGAAAGTGAGGCTTGAGTTGAGATTTCACACTGATTACTTCTCCTCTGGCCTGATCCTCCAGAGAGCTCAGAGACCAGGACTCAGCTATTTTTCGCAGTCCTAGAGCTTTGCTCATGGAAGGCTCTCAAAGCCTGAATAAATTACTTCTTCTCCCTTATGTTTATATATGAAGAAATTGAGTTTCAAAAAGTCCCTGAGTCCCTGGGCTTTATCTAACTAGCAAAAGATCTTAATTAGAAGACTTTCAAAGTATCCCTTTTTTCAACTTTTTTTTTTAATTGCTTGGGCTTACCAGAAAACTTTTTTATTTTTATTTTTTTTAAGTCATGGAGCTCGGCTGGGCACGGTGGCTCACACCCGTAATCTCAGCACTTTGGGAGGTCGACGGGGGTGGATCACTTGAGGTCAGGAGTTCAAGACCTCAGTTCAAGAATTAGCTGGGCATGGTGGCACGCTTCTGTAATCCCAGCTACCCAGAAGGCTGAGGGAGGAGAATCACTTGAACCTGGTAGGTGGAGGTTGCAGTGAGCTGAGATCGCACCACTGCACTCTAGCTTGGGTGACAGAGTGAGACTCCATCTCAAAATCAATCAATCAATCAGTCATGGAGCTCTTTTAGCCCCAGCTTAACTTCTTTAAGGAAAAGACCTGATGTGCTTGTGTATTCTTCATCTTCATGGTTTGATGAATTTATGCAGCCACCATGGAGTTCAAACTCCTTGAGGGCAGATCTGGGTCTCCTTTGCACATCACTGTTACTTCAGCACCCCAGTGTGAAGAGAACAGGGTTAGGTGCCCAATAACTAATTGCTGAAAGACAGAAGGGGTGGGGAGGGAGGGAGAGGCAGTAAAGAAAGCAAGGAAAGAATTGCAGTGGTGGATACAGAAGGTCCTGGCCAACAGAGGGAAGTCGTGGCCAACAGAGGGAAGTCGTGACCAACTCTACAGAGTAGCAAGTCCATGGGAACTTCAAAGAAGACAGATTGAGCCAAGTTGTACAATTTACCTGTTGAAGATGCAGGAAAGGTAAGGATCTCTCACTAGGAGAAACAGCACCTGCAAAGCCACACAAGTGTCCCATCTGGGGAACAGCCAGCCAGGCAGGGTGTGCCTAGACACAGGCTGGAAACGTGGGCAGGGGCCCAGCTTGCATGCCCTGTTGAGAAAACTGCCTTGCCCTACTCTGAGGGCAATAGAAACTGAAGGGATTAGAGCAGATCATTGGCCTGGTCTGAGCAGCCTTGCATAGAGATCTTTTGGCCAGCTTCTTCCTAGGGTAAGGCCAGACAGCTGGTAGCAGCAGCCAGTGCGGGGCGGCAGCTCCTCTCAACAGTGCTCCTACCTTCCAGCAGCCCCTACAAGCTTGCAGACTACGTGGGTATTTCCTCTAAGCACAGGGCTCTAAGTTTAGGGTCATGACAAGCAGCAGCCACAGTCATAGATCCTTGGTGTCTGGTGGGCTGCAGCTGCCGGAAATTAGACTTAGCCAAGTGACCTTTGGCCGGGCCACGCTGCCTTCATCAGTGCAGTCCAAAGCCCCCAAACACAAGTCAGATAGGCAACGTCTTGACCTCCCTCCCCACTCAACTGGCCAAGCTCAAAGCCTTCTAGATTTTCCCTTGAGCCAAGTGAGAGAAGAGAACTCAAGGCAACACAAAGAACGTCTTTCCTGTACGTGTTCCTGGGAGAAGCGTCCTTTGCCTTGAGCAGATTCTCAAAGAAAGACATTGGTGCATAAAAGAAAAAGTTATGGACCAGGTGCAGTGGCTCATGTAATCCAAGCACTGTGGGAGGCCAAGGTGGGCGGATCGCTTGAGGCCAGGAGTTCAAGACCAGCCTGGTCGTCATGGCAAAACCCCGTCTCTACTAAAAATACAAAAATTAGCTAGGCATGGTGGTGCACACCTGTGGTCCCAGTTACACGGGAGGCTGAGGCACGAGAATCACTTGAACCCGGGAAGCAGAGGTTGCAGTGAGCCAATATTGTACCACTGCACTCCAGCCTGGGTGACAGAGTGAGACTCTGTCTCAAAAAAAAAGCAAAGAAAAGAAAAAAGGAAAAGTTATGGACCACTGGAATGCATAGCAATATATGGCAAGTAGGGGTTAGTAGGTACAGCGTGCTGGAAGGGGCTGGTCTCAAGAGGGCAGGATTTTGAAGCTAGAACACTGGCTCCCTGGGATGCTCTTTCTCCCTGTTTCTGTTTGTCCCTCAAATACTGACTTAAATGTCACTTCCTAAGACTTCTCTGACCTCTCCATCATTCCAAATCAGGTTCCCCTTATTCTCTTGGTAGTCTTCTCTTTGTGGCCGAAAATTTACTTATTTATGTAGCTGGCACAGATGCAGACATTCAATAAATATGTATCGAATAAGAAAGAATAAATACAGAGTCACTCCCTGTACCAACCACCTCACCTCCCGCCCCCACATACCGGGGATTAGCTTGATACCTACAGAGTGTGAGGTCAGGCAGTTCTGGGTCGGAATCTTAGTTCCACTATTTACCAACCTTGGGCATGTGAACTGACCCTCAGTGTCCCTATCTGAGAAATGGGGGTCACGCTGCCGTAAATGTAGAGTATTTGGTGTTAACAGCAGCTCAGCAAGCCTAGTGGCCCTTCCTCTTCCCTCAAGCTGGGGAATCAAGTCTCAGAGAAGTTGAATTGATCTATCTCTGTCAAAGGCTCTTTGGGCTTTCAAAGAAACCTGCTTTGAGAAATGTGCAATGAGGCTTTCTACCTTTGAGCTGAGGTGCCTCTGTCAGTGTGTCCTCTGCAGAGCCCTCAAACCAAGTAGAATTAGCAGCTCTGAGCCTCAGCTTGTTCCCCTCACTGGGAAAAGGGAGATTCTTTGTCATGGAAATAACAATGTAGGACTGCAGCATGCCTATCCTGTTTAGTTTGAGAATCTAGCTGATCACTTCGCTAACCCAATTAGGGGGTGCAGGGAAGGCATTCATTACAAGGGCTTTGCTCTAAGGGACTGCATTCCTCCCCAGGCACTCTTGACCTAAGTCCACTTGAAGGCCGCAGCAGCGCAGTGCAGGAAGCCAGCCCCTCTGCTGAGTGGCCTGGATTCCAGAAACAAAAGAGCAGCCTGCCCTAGGGCGGCTTCTAAAGCTCTCCCCAGATTAGGCAGGAGCTTGGCAGGCATTCAGCAATCAGGCAGGCGCTGGGCGGGCAGGAACCTGGCCAGGCAGGGTGACCTTCCCCTCAGCATGCCTGGCAGGGCCACAGGCGGTGAGAGTGTGGGCAGCAGAAAGGCTAGGGGGAGGCTGTAGAAGAAGGGGGCTGAGGTGGGAGGGGAGGGAAGGGCAGAGGCTTCCTGATCACTCTCCCTCCCCAGCTGTTGGCCCTTGATCACCTGACTCAGGGAAGCCCATCTGCCGCAGGAGTATCTAGAGATGAACAGGTGGAGGCATGGACAGATGGCCATGGTGGAGTTCCGGGAAAAAGAAATCCACCTTACAAAAACCCCTGCTTTTGTCATCACAGTCCTTTATTATTATTATTATTTTTTAACATAATAGCTACGGGCTAGAAAAAACTTAGAAAAGATACATCAAAATATTAACAGTGGCTACGGAGGAGAGGTCGGGATGGGCACTGAGATCTTGCATTTTCACGATCATGCTTTTCAACAGCCTGAATTTTTCAAAAATGCTCAATGCATAACCACTTTATTACTTCAGTTACTATGTTTTCAGTTTGGAAACAAACAAAAAGACTAGATACCCACTGTGTTACAAGGCCCAGCTCAAAATTTATCCCTGAGGATTTCCTAGCAACCCCACATCATCCCTTTAACAAAATCTGCCCTGTCATAATAACACCCCATGCCCAGTAAGTATCCCACTTCATCTTCCTACAATGCAAAGCCCCTTCCAGAAGGAATTTTCCATTTTTTTCTTTTCCTTTCTTTTTCTTTTTACTAATTATAAATTATATGTTCACTGATGAATCTTAAAAAGAATAACCAGCCAGGTGTGGTGGCTCACGCCTGTAATCCCAGCACTTTGGGAGGCTGAGGCGGGCGGATCACGAGGTCAGGAGATCGAGACCATCCTGGCGAACATGGTGAAATCCTGTCTCTACTAAAAATACAAAAAAATTAGAGGCTGAGGCAGGAGAATGGCATGAACCCGGGGGGGCGGAGCTTGCAGTGAATGGACATCGTGCCACTGCACTCCAGCCTGGGCGACAGAGCGAGACTCTGTCTAAAAAAAAAAAAAAAAAAAAAAAGAATAACATCACTCATATTCCCTCACTTAGAAGGATTCAGACAGAAGTACTACTAGGTTCTACCTGGATTCTTCAGATATTTCTTTGTGCAAACTCTCATAAAATGCCATAGCGATCTACAACTGCTTCCCACTTGCCCCTCAGAGAGCATGGGAAACAATGTCTGCAATGGCTGCCTAGTTTTCCACCGTAAGGTTGTGCCATGACGTCATCAAACCCAGATTTTGGGCATGTGGGCTGTTTCTCTTCCTTCAGGTCCCTGTTCAGACCATTCCTCAGAGGCCATCCCTGACCTCCCTCCTACCCAGCAGCCTCCTGTGGGCTTCCCACCGCCAGCAGCCACTGCACATTGAAGCATGTTTAGGAACTGTCCCCTGCCCCCCACAGAAGGGGGTTTCCATGAGGGACGGAGCTGCTTTTCTCTCCTGCCCTTGGCCATACCCTTGGTCCCTGGCACAGAGTAAGTACTAATGAGTAGCTGCTGGCTCAGTGAATGGACGTCTGAATACATGGAGAGTGTTTTGAGGAATCTTCCCTCTGCCTGTGGCCCTCTATGCCCTCCCTTCCTCTCGGGACTCCCTTATCTACCCTGGCTTCCTTCCTTAGGGTAACCCATGGCAGAGGTCACTGCTCCCCAAGTGGGAAACCCCACTGTGACGTGTGAGCCAGCATTTCTGAGACCAGAGGAGCCATTCTGGGGGAAGGAGAGGTGGCTGCCCCTTTAGAAACCACTCTCCTTGCTGCCCAAGAGTTTTGCCTGGGGGTTCTCAAGCAGAAAGAGGATTACCTGAGAGGGAAAGTGCCCCGGAAAAGGCCAAGGACTCATGAATCACAGCCCACCTAAAGCCCCAACCTAAGCTACACGGAGAGACAGAGAGGCAGCAGGGCTGCCTGGACAGGTCTCTGAAGATTCCAGGCATGTGTCTGGTCCTTGGCTGCTTTTCCCAACCCCCGTCCCCAGGTGCTGACCTTGGCAGAGTGACAAACACTTCCCATACCTGTGCTGGGCTCAGACGTGCCCGGGAGTGCAGGTGAGGCCAGGTGAAATGCAGTCACTCAAGACCCTGGGCCCACGGCCAGATGTGCAGGGCAGAGACTGCCCCCAAGAGAACCATACCTATCACTGCTGCATAGCCGGGGAGGGGGAGGAAAAAATTCAGCATGTGCTCTTCACACACAGGCTTTGAAAGCATTTTGAGGCTAACCTCGGAGGGGTTAGAAGGTGACTTGTACTATGAAAGTTCCGCCAGGCACCCTTGGTTTCTTCTATTAGGGGAGGAAGTGAAGTCCTCGGTTTAACTTTTAGTGTCCTGCACTGCATTATTTTCTTCTAATTGCCTTGAGGTTTTACTTCTCATTATTAATCCACTTTTCCTTCAGATCTCAGCTTAAAAGTCACTTCTTTTTTTTCTATTTATTTAATTTTTTTTTTTGAGACAGTGTTGCTCTGTTGCCCAGGGTGGAGTACAGTGGCACGATCTCAGCTTACTGCAACCTCCGCCTTCTAGGTTCAAGAGATTCTCCTGCCTCAGCCTCCCGAGTAGCTGGAATTACAGGCACCCACCACCACACCCGTCTAATTTTTGTAATTTTTAGTAGAGACGGGGTTTTCACCATGTTGGCCAGGCTGGTCTCGAACTCCTGACTTCAAGTGATCTGCCTGCCTCGGCCTCCCAAAGTGCTGGGATTACAGACATGAGCTACCATGCCTGGCCTAAAAGTCACTGCTGAAAAAGGTGTTTCAGGCTCATGCTTCTGTGAGATCCCCCCCAAGCACCTAGGACTTTTTATCTACTCATTCATTTGCTCTTACTGTCCTCCTGCCTGCTAGACTGTAACCACCATGAGGGCACAGACTGGGCTTGTCTTGTTCAGCTCTGTGACCCCAATACCTGATGCAAAAGGAACACCTGATAATTACAAAAACCTCCATATTTCAGGAATGGCAAATACTTAAACAGGTGAGAAAAAACATTATTTGTTCCTGATCTTAGGTTGTATAAACCTATTTATCATAATAAGCAATTCCCAGTACTCATGAAGACCAGCGAGGAGGCATAAGAAACAGGGCAGGGGCTGGGTGCAGTGACTCACACCAGTAATTGCAACACTTTGGGAGGCTGAGACAGGAGGATCGCTTGATGAGACCAGCCTGGGCAACATAGAAACACCCCGTCTTTACTTAAAAAAAAAAAAAAAAAAAAAAAAAGAAAGAAAGAGAGAGAGAAAGAAAGAAAGAAAAGAAAGTAAGTGAGGGAGTTGGATTCCAGCAGAAAGAGAAAGCTCTGTCCTTGCCCTGGGGTGACATGTGCCTCAGTCTACCCAAGAGCAACAGTGGGTTTCCACGGAAGAAGCGGGTCAGTGTTTATGGAGAAGTGGAAGCTTCAAAAATTATAAACTGTGCACCTAGCAGTCATTTTTCAAAGGCAATGTTTCCTAATGTGTGTTCTGTGGCACACTAGTCCCAAGATATGCTCCCTGAAAAAAAGGGTTCTGTGGGCCACAGTTTGGCGAAACATCGCATACTACATTGCTCCTTAAAGGAAGCCTATATTAGCCCAGTAGAGGCCCTGAAACATTTGTTCGTCAAAAAAATAATATAACTTTGGAAAACTCTAGGCTGAATTTATCCACAGGACACTCCTCCTGCCCTCCTCCCTCTTTGGGGGCAGAGTAACATCCCAGAAAGCTGACTCTGGGAAAAGGTGCCTGAGGGTGCCAGCTACGGGGCACCTGGTATGCCAGCGAAAATGAAACTGCAGTGCATCCACAAGGCGAGACTTGCAAAAATCCCTGGCGTGATGCCTAATAATTCAATGATTCTAAACCTAGAGATTTACTGAAAAGCTTGCCGAGATTAAGAACCACAGCTTTCACCTGCAGAAACGCCCTAGTAAGAACGTCCACATGGCCATGGCATCAGGAGCCTAGGAGAGGCTTACAAAAAGCGCATGGCAGCTCACAGAAGCCCCAGGCAGCCAAGTGCTGGGTGTCCTGCCTTGGGAGGTCCAGGTGCCCATCTCTTATATATTATGTATATAATATGGTGATTTCCCAGGGGTGGGGAACC
This sequence comes from Homo sapiens, assembly GCF_000001405.40. NCBI lineage: Eukaryota > Metazoa > Chordata > Mammalia > Primates > Hominidae > Homo > Homo sapiens. The sequence goes on from NC_000005.10 coordinate 160,291,923, forward strand.
ACCAGGTTGTTTAAGGAGGGGTGAACTGGCCCGACTTGGAAATGGAACAGGTCAAAACCCCCATGCTGATCACTATTGGGATCATACCTCTGAATACGCGCTGCATTCAAGCCTGGGCATCACAGTAAGACCCCGTCTCTTTAAAAAACAAAACAAAACAAAAACACTAAACTGCTTCCTCCGTGGAAACCCTCTGTTGCTACTTGGTAGACCGAGGCACACACCATCCTAGGGCAAGGAAGGACACAGCCTTCTCTTTCCTCCGAAATTTAGCTCCTCCAGCTTCTCATACCTTCCCGCAAGTCTTCATGAGTATTTGGAATTGCTCATTATGATGAATAGTTTTATAGAGCCTTATGAGATATATAGATATCTCTATACATACAGATAGATATACATTAAAAATATTTAACTTGAGGCCAAGCATGGTGGCTCATGCCTATAATTCCAGCACTTTGGGAGATTGAGGTGGGAGGATCACTTGAGGCCAGGAGTTTGAGACCAGCCTGGGCAATTTAGGGAGACCTCATCTCTACAAAAGATAAAAAATTAGCCGGGCATGGTGGTGAGCACCTGTAGGCCTAACTACTTGGGAGGATGAGGTGAAAGGATCATTTAAGCCCAGAAGTTTGAGGCTGCAGTGACCTACGATTATGCCACTGCACTCTAGCCTGGGTGACAGTGAGACCCTGTCTCTAACGTGTATGTATATGTGTGTGTGTATATATATGTAACATGTGTGTGTATATATATATAGTAGTTTTATATATATATATATAACTTGAAAGTCTGTATGTATATATACAATTTAATATTTTTTTCTATAATTTGGCAGACACTGCATTCCATGCATCTTGTACTCTAATTCTCCAACAGACCCACAAAGATTGGAAGCTTCAAAAATTATAAACTATGCACCTAGCAGTCATTTCAAAGGCAATGTTTCTCAATACATATTCTGTGTCACACAATCTCAAAATATGCTTCTTACAGAAAAGGGTTCTGAGATTACCAGCATCCCTACATTACAGACAAGGATGGCTCAGAGAGACTAAGTAACTTGCTTAAGATCACCCAGTTAATAAATGGTGAATCTGAACCTGGGTCTTCTGACTCTACTGTTTTCTAGACACTATGTTCTCAAAACACTGTGTTCTAACCCTCCATGTGATAGTTTAGGTTTGTTTGTATTTTCCTTTCAAAATAATGTTTTAGGCTGGGCATGGTGGCTCACACCTGTAATCCCAGCACTTTGGGAGGCCGAGGCAGGCAGATTACCTGAGGTCAGGAGTTCAAGACCAGCCTGGCCAACATGGTGAAACCCCGTCTCTACTACAAATACAAAAGGATTAGCTGGGCGTGGTGGTGCACGCCTGTAACCTCAGCCTCAGCTACTTGGGAGGCTGAAATAAGAGAATTGCTTGAACCCGGGAGGTGGAGGTTGCAGTGGGCTGCATTCCAGCCTGGGTGACAGAGCGAGACTCCATCTCAGAAAATGATAATAATAATAATGTTTTATTTAACTGATTATAAAATACTTAATCACTATAGGAATTTTAGAAAATACAGAGGAGCACAAAGAGAACTAAAGTCTCCAGCAATTCCATCAGCACGTAAATACTCGGAGAATGTACACATGTCGGCATGCGCATGTCCGGTCCTGTTTCTCTGTGCGCACGCATGTCCACTTCTCTCTCTCTCATGGGACTATCTCCTCCCTTACAACTAGAACGTAAATGCTATGTGCATTTGCTATCTCCCCACACCCACCCTCCGAGGTGGAACCAGCACTAGCCCTAGTAGCCAGGAAACTGAGGCACAGAAGTATAACTGCCAAGGCCACACTGCAGGTGAGTGGTAAATCTTGGGCTTGGACATCAGAGGAGCGGGCCAGGGCTTGGGGTATGACAATACTTGGAGGGCGACAACCACTTCGTAAACAGCTCAAGGTGCAGTAAAGCAGGGCTGAGCTGCTCTCAAACACCAGCCACCAAGAGAAACCACTCTGCTTTCCTCCTCCAATCTCCCTACCATGCCTATCCCTACTGCTGCCAACAAGAGCCCGGGAATCCACGCCCTGGGTTGAGACAACAGCTAGAGGGGTCTTGTCTAAGAACAAAGAACCGCAGAGAGGTGAAGAAACACCATGTGTAACCAAGGTGACCAACAGGAAGTGGAGACTTGCAAATGTAAAGTGGCAAAGAAAGGGGGAGAAAGGCTGGCTCTTCAGAGGCCTCAGTACACAGCACGACCTGGGAGGCCCAGCAAGGCAGGAGGCTCACCCTCCTTCCTCTCTCTGCCCCGATTGCTTCATAAGGCCCAAGGAAGCATTTTCCGTAAAGCATCAACACCTCTGTGGGAACACTATTTCAACATTCTTGAGAGGGTGGCCCGTGTCACATAAGGCCAACAATGCCCGTAACGTCCCCTCCTGCTGAAGTCCAGCCTGTAGCTTCCTTCCAGCAGAGTGAAAGGTAACCCAGGCACCACATCCGCAGCCGGCGTCTGTACTACTCCTGGGCAGATGGCAGGCAGGCCAGCTCCAAGCACACCTCCTCATTCCCGGAAGCCAGAGCCACTGCCCTTCTGGGCAAACTCTGTACCAGGCCCAGCCACAGCTGCCAGGGCATCCACAGTGACCACACACATGCGTGCACAACCCTCACTGGTCCCCCATCCAACCCATGGCTCTGGGGCCTCCAAACACCCCCATACACAACATTCATGGCCTTTTTAAAAGACGCCACACCCTCCAACTGAATTCTTTACTTCTGCCAGCTTCCTACAGGACCGCATCCCCCATACCTTCTGGAGTGGAGGACTGGGGTGCCCCTCATCCTCCCACGCCCTCTGTTATCCAGGGGAAGAGGTCCCGATGTCCCCCTCCATGCTGGTTCTCTGTCACAGGTCCAATTCTTGGATCTCTCCGCTTTCCTCCTGGATCACTCTGTGGAGTGGCTCCAAAGCTCTTCCCTCCACACCTCCAGCTCCTGCCCCCGATTTCCAGATTCCTTTTGTGGATTCTCCTGGGAGCTTCGACCCTAATGAGAAGCCCAAAATGGGACAGTAGGGTGACTGCACCACTACCCCCTCGCTGCGACTCTACTTCCCTACCCATCTACAGTCCAAAGGTTTCTCAAATGGGTTGCCAGTTGACCACACGCATTCAAATCCCCTGGGGACCTATTTAAAAAGGGGGTTCCCCCCCGTACTGGGATGAATAGTATTTCCCTGACAATTCTTGTCTACTCAAAACCTCAGAATGTGACCTTATTTGAAAATAGTCAGCCGGGCACAGTGGCTCACACCTGTAATCCCAGCACTTTGGGAGGCCAAGGAGGGCGGTTCACGAGGTCAAGAGATCGAGACCATCCTGTCCAACAGGTGAAACCCTGTCTCTACTAAAAATACAAAAAATTAGCTGGGCATGGTGGTGCACACCCGTAGTCCCAGCTACTCGGGAGGCTGAGGCAGGAGATCTCTTGAACCCGGGCACTGGAGGTTGTAGTGAGCCGAGATCGCGCCACTGCACTCCAGCCTGGGCGACAGAGCGAGACTCTGTCTCAAATAAATAAATAAATAAGAAAATAGAGTCTTTACAGATGCAATCAAGTTAAAATGAGGTCATATTAGATCAGGATAGGCGCTAATCAGTGTTTTGTGTTCTTATAGGAAGAGTAAACAGAGACAGAGACACAGAGGGAAGACGAGGTGAGGACAGACAAGGAGGAGAAGGCCTTGTGAAGATGGAGGCAGAAACTGGAATGATGCAGCTACAAGCCAAGGAAGACCACGGATAAAATGCCAGCTGCTGCCAAATGATAGAAGAGCAAGGAAGGACCTTCCCCTAGAGCCTTCAGAGGGAACCATGGTCTGCTGACACCCCGATGTCAGACTTCTGGTCTCCACAACTGTGAGAGAATAAAGCCCCAAGTTTGTGGCACGTTGTCACAGTAGCCCTAGGGACCTAATACACCCTCTATTTCCTGTCTCACCGAATCAGAATTCCTGGGGATGGAGCTGGGCACCTATCTATGCTTTACAAGTTCTCCGCTTGAGCCTGATGCTCAACTATAACCTCCATGACACAATTTTTGTTCATCCCCAATTGTGTACACAATTTTTGTTCATCCTGTAGGCAGTGGCTAGCACAGTGTGTAGCATGCAGTTGGCTGCTAAAAACAGTGTGTTAAATGCAGGAATAAACATGCAGATATTCAAGAACCACCAGTGCCTTGGTCAGTACATTTAACTCATCCTTTTTCTTTCTGAAGCAACTTTAATAATCAAGCCAGATAACATACACAAGGCACTTAACAGTTGCTAGCACTCTGCAGGTGCCCAATGAACATCAATTCCCTTCACTTACAGGGCAGAGGGAGTCCTTCAACTGACAGTTTCCAGAAGGGGCCCTCCAAGAATAATGTTTACTATGAAAAAGGCTGAACAAGCTCAGCTAAGGAAAGTTACTTTGTTCCAACTAGCAAGAAACTTGAAATCTTCCACGCTTTTTGTTCGCTGGTCCTTTTGACCCTATTGTCTACAACCTGTCAAATATCCTCACTTCCTCCCCTAGTTCAGATGCCATCGCTTTGGGGCGACTGCAATAACTGTAATAACTAGTCTCTGAGGCCAGGGTGCATTTCCAGGGAGCTGGCACTCTCCTCCCCACCCTTCCCATTGCCCTCCATGGGTTCTCAGGATAAGGTTCAAACATCTAGGAAGACCCACATCCTCTAAGCCAGTGTTCCTGGTGCATCTCCTGGTCCTCCCCACAACTGACCAGGCTGCCCCTTGCAGGCCGCTAATGCTTGACTCTCCCTAGCTGCCCTGGACCCTGCAGAGAGATGAACTTCACACCTGTCTCTGCCTGGCAAACTTCTACTCATCCTTCAAACCCAAATCAAACAGCACCTCCTCCTTGAAGCTTTTTAAGACTTCCTTGGGCAACTGGACCTGTCTTTGGTATAGCGGTAGGAGTGAGCTTTGGAGCCAGGTTGCCTACTAGCTATGTGGGCTTGGGTAAGGTATGTAACTCTCTAAACTTTGCATGTCCCATCTGTAAAATGGGGATAAGTATAGGACCTACTGGAAGGAGTTGCCTGAGGACTTAGCTAATGGAGGGGATCTCAAGCTCTCAGCACATGGTAAGCACCCATTAAAAGTGGACTATCATTACTAACATTAAATGGCTATTATGGCCATTAACATATGGCTATAAGTGGTTTGATATGACTATATCTTCAGCTATGCTAAGGGCCTCAGGGCAGGTTTTGGGTCATGGTTTCTCCTGGCAGAGCCTCCCACAGGTCTTGCAGATTACACATGAGGCTCACTAAATGACCACTGGATAAAGAGGCTGCTTTCGCAGGCACTGTGTGACAACCAAGCCAAGAAGATGGCCCCAGAAAATTAGCCAGAGCTCTGCCTTCCCCACAGTTGAAGCCAGCAAAGCCCACCAGTGACTGCTTGGCTTCTTCCTAACTAGAATGCTGAATCCCCTCTTCCTGAAACATGGCTCTGGGGAGGTCCTGGGAAGATAGATGTCCCTAGTGATCTGACAAAAATTCCCGCAGAAACCACTTCAGAGCCCGTCTTAAAAGTAACCATGGCTGGGTGCAGTGGTTCACGCCTGTAAGCCCAACACTTTAAGAAGCCAAGGTGGGAGGATCGCTTAAGCCTAAGAGTTTGAGACCAACCTGGCAACACAGTGAGATCTCGTCTCTATTTACAAAAAAAAAAAAAAAAAACAAAACACCGGAGAAATAAACCCTGAAGTATTAAGGGATAATAGGGCATTATTTTTGCAACTTGGTTGAAGAAAAGAAATATAAATAGAGAAAAAGAATGACAGGACAAATGTGTTAAAATGTTCACAAAATTGCATATTATGCTTGCAACTCTTCTCTAAGTTTGAAATGATTTCAAAACCAAAAGTTAACACAAAAGGAGAGACCGAAGAGAAATTCCAGCGCCAAGTCAACAGCTTTGCTCCACCAACCCCCGCCTTCTCACCTAGCTTGGTGGCTGCCCAGGGTGTCAGCTCTGCTTGAGGGGAAGTCCATGTTATACCATCACCAACTTGGAGGCTGCATTGCAAGTCCTCTGCTCTATGTGTGCCTTATCTAAGGTCAGGCGGGGACAGCAGATCCGCAAAATATTAAGGCTTTAACTACCTTGCTTAAAAGGGGGACTCTGGTCAAACATTTAACCCCTCAGAAGCCATTTTTCTACTAGTACATGGTGGAGTTACTGGTAGCCATGCTACCTACCCCACAAGACTATGTTGAGGCCGGGCGTGGTGGTGCGCACCTGTAATCCCAGCTACTCAGAAGGCTGAGGCATGAGAATCGCTTGAATCCAGGAGGTGGAGGTTGCAGTGAGCGAGGTTGCGCCACTGCGCTCCAGTGTGGGCAACAGAGAGAGACTCTATTTAAAAAAAAAAAAAGACAGTTTCGACAGTGAAGTCCAGGAAGGCAATTTGCGGGCTGCACAGCACAGACTTCAGTCAGATAAGGTGTCAGTGATGAGCAAATCCTGATGGAGGGACTCTTATGCAACACACACTCTGCTGAGAGCTGGAGAGACCCAGCGCCTGCTCCCCTGGGCCTACAGTCTGGGGAGGGAGCTAGCTCTACAACAAATAATTGCAGAAATAGGTGTATGATTACAAATTGTGCTAAGTGCTTAAGGAATCACCAAGGGTGCTCTGAGAACATACAAAAGGCCCAGCCCGTCCTTGTCTGGGAGTCAGGGACGGCTTCTCTGAGGAAGCGATGGACAACAGCTTGAGTCTACAGCTAGAAAACAGGTAGGCTAAAGCATATTATAATCCCACAACATTAGCGAAGTGTATAAACCAATCTGTTAACAATGAATTCAAGTTAAATGACAGTATGAGGAGGTAGCAGGTCAAATCCAGAATATAGGACATTTATCAGGACAAATCAAACTGTTTTCTCTGAAAATCAATGGCATGAAAAAAAATATTTTCAGGCAGGGTAGGGGACCATTGGAGAGTAAAATACTTGAGAACACTTACGTATTTTATATTTATTTATTTATTTATTTTTTGAGACAGAGTCTTGATCTGTCACCCAGGCTACAGTGTAGTGGCATAAACACGGCTCACTGCAGCCTGGACCTCCCGTGCTCAAGCAATCCTCCTACCACAGCCTTCCAAGTAGTTGGGATTACAGGTGTGTGTCACCATGCCTAGCTAATTTAAAAAAAAATTTTTTTTTTGAGATGAGTTTCCCTCTTGTTGCCCAGGCTGGAGCACAATGGCGTGACCTCGGCTCACTGCAACCTCTGTCTCCCGGGTTTAAGCGATTCTCCTGCCTCAGCCTCCCGAGTAGGTGGGATTACACGTGCCTGCCAACAGGCCCGGCTAATTTTTTTGTATTTTTAGTAGAGACAGAGTTTCACTATGTTGTCCAGGCTGGTCTCGAATTCCTGACCTCAGGTGATCCACCCACCTCGGCCTCCCAAAGTGCTGGGATTATAGAAGTGAGCCACCATGCCCAGCTTAAAAGACGCTAAAAAAAAATGTAATGCATGGACTTTATCTGGATTATGATGTGAACAACTATAAAAACCATTTCTGAGACAACAGAGGAATGGACAACAGAAGATATTAATGAATTATTGGTAATTATTTTAGGTGTGAAAATGGCATAGTTGTTATGTTAAAAAAAAAAAAAGCCCTTATCTGGTAGTGCCATTTATGGGTAAAATGACACACTGTCTGGGGGAGCAGATGAAACAGGTGAGGAAGCTGGGTGGTGGGTATGTGAGGACTCATTCTACTGTTCTTTCCACATTTGTGTTATCTTTTTAAATTTCCACAATAAAAAGTTAAGGAAAAAACAATGGTTCACTCCAAAGAGTCGGAAGTGCTCTGAATTGCTTGGATTTTTTTTTTTTTTTTACAATAATCAGAAAAGTCCATTGCACACCAACGCTGTCTACCACGTTGCGTCTAATGACTGCACCATATTTTCATGCATGGACGGACCGCAGTGTGGCCAATTTCCTTCTGATGCCATTGAAGTTCTCTCCAACTTTCCCTTACAATAACTGAATCTATCCAATTCCCGATGCTTCTGTTCTGAATGACATCCTCTCCTTCCTCCTCGTGTCCCCCCAACCCTTCCACCCAAATCACTTGATGACCACTTCCAGACTTAGCAGCTGGCGGCATGGCATGGGTATCCATGTCACAAGAATGCCCAGGGCCTGGAACCATCTGCTCCAGGGACCTACAAGGCACTGAGTGCCTCAGGATGATTCAAATTCTGCCTCCGAAGGATCCAGTTACCAGGGGCAGCACACACTGCAATGCGGGGACTAAGAGGGAGCTGGAGGAGTTTTCCAGCCAGGTCACCTTAACAGCCCTCATCCAGCCCTTGATGCAGGTCTCAGCCCAGTTCCGTGCTGCAGATGGGGCTCCATGAAGCCTAGAAAGGATTCAGAGTTCCCTTCCTCTCGCCTTGCCATCCTCTAGCACAAGCGTGTCCAACCCACAGACCATGGGCCCCATGCTGCCCAGGACAACTTTAAATGTGGCAAGCACAAACTCCTAAACTTTCTTAAAACATTATGAGATTTTTTTGTGATTCTTTTTTTAGCTCATCAATTATTGTTAGTGTTAGTGTATTCTATGTGTGGCCCAAGGCAATTCTTCTTCCAGTGTGGCCCAAGAAAGCCAAAAGATTGGACACCCCCGCTCTAGTCATTTTCCCACTCGAGGTTCCCACTCTTTTTTTTAAAAAAAGAGATAGGGGTTTCACTCTGGCATAATCATAGCACACTGCAGCCTCATACTCCTGGGCCCAAGTGATCCTCCCATTTCAACTTCTCTAGTAGGTGGGACTACAGGTGCATGCCACCATGCCCGGCTCCTGCTCCTTTTAAACACAGCCATTCAGCACCATTTTTAACCTATCCAAATGGTACTAATTTTTTTTAAGGGTAATATCCAGGGTTAGCAAAGTTGCTGGGAAGCAGGCACTCTTCCATACCACCACTGGAAGTATACTAGCGCAATCTTGTGGGAATGTATTACCTGGTGATATGCAAGGTTCTTAAAATCATACCCTGTGATTAGGGCTTCCACTTTAGGAACTTATTCCTGAGCATACTGACAGATATAAATCAAGGATCACCACAGCAGTGCTATATAAAATCAAATGGTGCACGAGAAGCAACTCAAAAAGGCATTCAGTGGGGAAATGGATGAACAAATTTTTATAGACATAAAACGGAATACTAATCAGCAATAAAAAGAAATAAACTCCTGATAGACACAACGACATGGATGAATCTCAAAAGCATTACATTAAGTAAAAAGGAGCAGGCAGAAAGGAGTACATATATATAACTCCATTTATGTGAAACTCTAGAAAAGACAAATCTAATTTACAAGGACAAAAAGCACATCAGTGATTGCCTAAGGCTGGGGGCAGGATGGGACTGATGAGGAACTTTCTAGGTTGATGGCAATGGCCTATGTCTTTTTTTTTTTTTTGAGATGGAGTCTCACTCTGTCACCCAGGCTGGAGTACAGTGGCACAGTCTCGGCTCACTGCAACCTCTGCCTCGCGGGTTCAAGCGATTCTTCTGCCTCGGCTTCCTGAATAGCTGTGACTACAGGCATGTGCCACCACGCCCAGCAATTTTTTTGTTTATTTTTAGTAGAGATGGGATTTCACCATGTTGGCCAGGATGGTCTTGAACTCCTGCCTTTGTGATCCACTTGCCTCGGCCTCCCAAAGTGCTGGGATTACAGGTGTGAGCCACCGCACCCGGTCGTCTTTTTTTTTTTTGAAACAGTCTCTCTTTGTCACCCAGGCTGGAGTGCAGTGGCATGATCTTGGGTCACTGCAACCTCTGCCTCCCGGGTTCAAGCAATTCTCCTGCCTCAGCCTCCCGAGTAGCTGGGATTACAGGCATGTGCCACCACGCCCAGCTAATTTTTGTATTTTTAGTAGAGATGGGGCTTCACCATGTTGGCCAGGCAGGTCTCGAACTCCTGGCCTCATGTGATCCACCCACCTCGGCCTCCCAAAGTGCTGGGATTACAGGCATGAGCCACCGTGCCTGGCCTTATGTCTTGATTATGGTGGTGGTTACATGAGTATATACATTTGTCAAAACTCACTGTACACTATAAACGGTATATTCACTTAAGATCTGTATATTGTACTGTATATAAATTATACTTCAATTTTTAAAAAATGAATAAGCAGTCCCCTAAATATCCAACAATGAGATGAGTTAGTGAAATCATGATGTATCCATAAAACATTATGCATTGGATTGCAGAAGGACAGAAAATGACATAGAAGGTTATTTAGCACGTGCAGTTAAGGAAAAAAGTTATGAAACTGTGATATACTTGATAGTATTTTTGTAAAATAAAATGTATATACTTGAAAAGAAAATGACCAAAAGGAAATCTTCTATTCATTTGTTCAATATAAATTTCCTGAGTGCCCACTATATATCATTATTGCTACAATTAGCGAAATATATCAAAAATCCCTTCTATTCATGGTTTCATAAAAGTTATTTAGATTATTAAAATCTACACATTAAAATAATGAGGCCAGGCATGGTGGCTCACTCCTATAATCCCAGCATTTTGGGAGGCTGAGATGGGCGGATCACTTGAGGTCAGGAGTTTGAGACCAGCCTGGCCAACGTGATGAAACCCCATCTCTACTAAAAATACAAAAATTAGCTGGGCGTCATGGCACATGCCTGTAATTCCAGCTACTCAGGAGGCTGAGGCAGGAGAATCATTTGTCCCCAGGAGGCAGAGGTTGCAGTGAGCCAAGATCATGCCACTGCACTTCAGCCTGGACAACACAGTGAGACTCTGTCTCAATAAAAAAAAAAAAATAATAATAATAAAATAAAATAAACATTAAAATAATGAAATGGTAAAGTGTGTAATTCATACTACCTCTCTGTCAAAGCATACGTAATTTATGCTTTCTTATGCACAGAATAGGATTCACGAGAAATTGGGGTCAGTGGTATCTTCTGCGGAGGGAAATTTGGGGACAACGGTGGCAGGAAGCCTTTCCATCATCTACTCTTTTGTATAGCGTGGTTTTACAAAATCACATTCATGTGTTATCTGTTCTAAACAAACAATTGATTGTTTCTAATTTTTTGCTAGTGTCCAATAATCAGGAATTGGGTGGAGAAGAATGATATGGAAAAATGTATATGGGAAATAGATAAAGTGTTTTACGACAAGGTATTTTCCTTTTCATTTATTTATTTTTTTTGAGATGGAGTTTTGCTCTTGTTGCCCAAGCTGGAGCGCAATGGTGCAATCTCGGCTCACTGCAACCTCCGTCTCCCGGGTTCAAGCGATTCTCCTGCCTCGGCCTCCTCAGTAGCTGGGATTACAGGCACTCATCACCATACCCAGCTAATTTTTGTAGTTTTAGTAGAGACAGGGTTTCTCCACGTTGGCCAGGCTGGTCTCAAACTCCTGATCTCAAGTGAGCCACCTGCCTCAGCCTCCCAAAGTGCTGGGATTACAGGCGTAAGCCACTGCACTCGGCCGGTATTTTCCATTTTTACAAAAAAAAAAAAAAATCCAAAATAAAAATGTATTGTGATGACACACACAGTAAAGGACACACACCAAAAATGTCAACAGAGATTGTTTCCAAGTGGTAGGATTGTGAGGGGAATTTTACTTTCTTCTGTTTGCTTGTATTCATTTTTGCCATTTCTTAAACAAATCCTCTGTGTGTCTGTGTGTGTGTGTGTGTGTGTGTGTGTCTGTGTGTGTGTGTGTGTAATAACTCAAAAAGAAAAAGAGAGAACAGCAGAGTCGCAGTGTCACCTCTTTCTGCCAGGTGCTCAGATATACTAGAGAACTGCTGGCTGCACTCCCTTTACCCGAGGGACTGTGTGATTTAGGAAGACAAAGAAGAAGTCAATGACAAGGGCACAGGGCCAGCTCCAAGTCTTAAATGTCCTCCACTCCCTTAGCACAGGCTTCCCCAGCCAACCAGGGTGCCCAGCCAAGTCCCTTGCCCATCTCATGATGTGGAGGCCCTGGAGATTGATGGGGTACACCCACACCCATTTTCTCCCTGGGACACCTGGGTGGCAGGTGGGGCAGGGATTGCTGTCGTGATTTTGCAGAGGAAAGGAAGCCTTCAAAGGTAATTTGCTTCTGCCACAGATAAGGTGCACTGAGACCATGTCTTGACTGGGTATCGTGCACACACTGAGCATTTTGGTATTCTAAGACCTAAAAGACTCAAGTGACAACGCCAAGTTCTGGTTCAGTTTTGTCACCAGATTCCTCGAGAATACGGGTGAAGCACTGCAGTCAGTTTCAAAGCTAGACACTATCTTGAGTGGCAGCCCATCTTGTCCCCCAACCTCATTTGCGGTTTTCAATTCTTCCCAGTCCATCTTCCATCCTCTGTATACACCTTCTAAGACAGCTTGAATCACCTCTGCAGGTTAGACTGCAGGAAATTTCTCCTTATTTTATGAACCCCCACACCTTCATCTCCAGGGGGTCATGAGGGCAGACTGCTTCAGGTCTCACTTGAAGACTGCAAACATAAGATAGCCCTGCCATTAGAGGAGGAAAGAGCTTGTCAAAGCCAGCATTTGAGCTTGAAAGGCCTGAATGACACATTCCTGTAACTAAGCCGGGCAGACACATCCCACTGCCAGAGTTTGGAACACTTTCTTTTTGGTAGATCTGGGGGCATCTTGTGATTTGGGGGGAACTTTCCCTTGAGGGATGCAGAAATCCAAAAGGAGGGGAAGGGAATGGAAAAACCAAGCGGAGGATGACCTACCCAAATCCATGAGCCCTTTGTTGAGTATGGACCTTGGTCACTACTTTCTTTCTTTTTTTTTTTAGAGGAAATCTCGCTCTGTCACCAGGCTGGAATGCAATGGCGTGATCTCAGCTCACTGCAACGTCCGCCTCCCAGGTTCAAGCAATGCTCCTGCCTCAGCTTCATGAGTAGCTGGGACTACAGGTGCACACCACCACGCCCGGCTATTTTTTTTGTATTTTTAGTAGAGACGGGGCTTCACCTTGTTGGCCAGGATGGTCTCGATCTCTTGACCTCGTGAACCGCTCATCTCGGCCTCCCAAAGTGCTGGGATTACAGGCATGAGCCACCGCGCCTGGCCAGGTCACTGATTTCTATAAGGAGACAGGTGTTCAGCCTTGAAGTGGGGAAATTTGAGGAATTTAGGGGAAGGAGTGAGAAAAAAATACTGATGTTGAAAGAGAGAAATAAAAGGACGTGCAAGCTTCAGGAGTCACTAAAAAAATAATGCAGTTTTGACACAGGGGCTGAGGATGAAGCTGGGATGAATTTCTACCACTATCCAGCTGTCAGAGTTCGGCAAGCGGGGGGGCCCTGAGGTGTCCTTTTCCCTGGCAAGTTAGGGACAGGCAATGGCAGAGGCCAAATCACTTTGAGGGGAGAGGCACCACACACAGGTGAGGTCCAGGCATGGCCACTCACCAGGGCCAAATAAAGGCGACCTTGGCCTAGTCATCAGCCCTTTCCAATGCCCACAGCAAGGCCCACGTCCATAGCGGCTGGCTTCTCAGGATGGTTTAGAGAGAGCACATCCGTTGGAGAGCGCCAGAAAACAAACTAAAACACAAGAGCCTATAGTGTCATGGATGACAGAACCTCAATTTTCCCCTGCTTTGTATTTCCACTTTGTGTTAAATTGGATATTTTTAAAATGAATTTACGTTCAAGCTTTGATACAATCCGCGGTTTCATCTCAGACACTTATTCCTGTGAGCCTTGCAGTTTCTTGTCTGTAAACTGGGGTTAATCCTAACACTAGGGCCAAAGTGAGGAGTAAATAAGATAATATATGGGAGCATGCTGGCACACTGCCTGAAATCTAGAAAGTGCTCAATAAACAGTAGCTACTAACATTATCAACACTAAACGAAATGTTTGCTGTTCATGTTTTGGAAGATCTTTGCATAGATTCAGTCACAAATCAAACATCTTTTATCTGTCCACTGGTTTAAGAAATGTGGCCGGGAACAGTGGCTCACGCCTGTGATCCCAGCACTCTGAGAGGCCAAGGCGGGCGGATCACCTGAGGTCAGGAGTTAGAGACCAGCCTGGCCAACATGGTGAAACCCCGCCTCTACTAAAAATACAAAAGTTAGCTGGGTGTGGTGTGCGCCTGTAATCCTAGCTACTCGGGAGGCTGAGGCAGGGGAATCACTTGAACCCAGGAGGCAGTGGTTGCAGTAAGCCAAAATCATGCCACTGCTCTCCAGCTTGGGTGACAGAGCAAGACTCCGTCTCAAAAAAAAAAAAAAAAAAAAAAGCGGTCTCACAGAGCTGAAGTCCTCTGAGTGTGCAATGAAGTAAGCTTCAGGAAGTGGGAAAAAATGCATTAGGTGGCTGGTTGCCCTGCAGATCTCAAGTCTGGAGCAGGATGAGAAGACCCCTAAGGTATCACATGACTCCCGTCTTGGGAGAAGGTAAACACCCAGTGGACGAGAAGGAGGGAGCCCCTAGCCCCTGGCTCCCTGGAGCCCAGGAAGATAAAGTTACCAGCTCATGTCAAGCAGAGCTTATCAACATGGCTTTGGGAGGGAGATTTTTTTCCCCTAAGAACTCCAGAAATCCCTGTATTCAGAAAGTCTTCTACACACTCATGAAGCCTTAAGTCACAGTGGTGTGTGTCTTTGCTTACTAACATAACTATTTCCTTCTAATTGGAGAGGGAAGACTATGTGTAAAATGGGCATAAATCAAAAGGAGACGAGTGCAAGTTCTATCTACTTTGCTGCTCAGAAAATTCAGGAAG